>NC_000010.11:34878518-35182800 GCF_000001405.40 Homo sapiens | reverse complement strand
AGGATTCTGCAGGTACAGCTCACTTACTTGGTGTTGTAATAATGGATCCCTGTCTATTTTATGCTTTTTCCTACTCCCCAGGGAGCAGCCTATTCCAACTTTCACTTTTTAGTTTTTGTGATAATAGTAAGTCAATATAATAAGGCCAACTTCTGCCAAATATCTTTCAACTATTAAAAATGTAACTGCTTGTATATGGGAAAACTTGAATATACTTTATTTCTTCAACTTTGATACACATTTAGTTCTTTTAAACACCAGCTAACTCATTATTCCAAATTAAAAATAACTAATAAAATATTGGAAAAAAAGAAATAAAAGCAAAGTTTGGGAGAAAGCCATCCATGGATAAAAGCTGAACAATTAAACCTAAAATTTTTTTTTATAATAAAAGGTTATGAAAGAGCATTAAAAAAAATTTACAGCTCAAAGGGAAGGAAAAAAATAGGAAAATCTCCAGAAATTCTAATAAAATACGTTCCTCTATTCAAAAACCAAAGGAAACTGGCAATTGTTTCCATTTCTAGACATTCTGCTACAACATTAAAGCATTAATATCTGCTAAGTTAGTTCTATAAAAAATAAGATCAATAAAAATGGATGTTGTGTGTGTAAGTATGTTTACCCTCCAATTAAAGTAAACGTCTTCTAAAAAGTTTGAATGTTGTTAGTATTCACTTCTCAAAGAATTATCTACATATATTTCACTAAATGTCCCCAAAATGCATTTTTAACAAAAGAAATTCACATTGTGTGAACAAATGGCAATTTTTACCTGCAGACTGTACATACAGAACTATAACTTCTCATCAGAATAATTTCTAGGATCATACTGTATAGACTCAAATTAAGAAACCAAAGTAAGAAATAGTCCATGACCTCTTATGTGGCAAATAGACAGATGTGTTTTTTTTGTTTGTTGTTTTGAGACAGAGTCTCACTCTGCTGCCCAGGTTGGACAGTGCAGTGGTGCAATCATAACTCACTGCAGCCTCAAACTCCTGGGCTCAGAGAATCCTCCCACCTCAGCCTCCTGAGTAGCTGGGATGAGCGCATACCACCACACCCTGCTAATTTTTAAAATTCTTTTGTAGAGACAGGGTCTCACTCTATTGCCCAGACTGGTCTCAAAGTCCTGGCCTCAAGCAACCCTCATTGCCTAGACCTCCCAAAGTGCTGGGATTACAGGTGGGAGCCATCACACCTGGCCTAAGATCTAATTTCTACAGATGCAGTTTTCTAGTTCTCAACCAAAATTCCTGACTCTGCTCCTCTCATCCCCCCCACAGACACACAGAGTGAGGTTTAAGGCCAGCCCCCTGCTGTGAGCAGGTACCAAGGACACAGGGAATGAAGCCATTGGGGCTGGCTGGAGGGAAAGTTCAATGAACATGAATGAGACAATGGTACACCTAACTTAATTTCTCTGTTTCATGCCAATAGTAGCATGTCTTTTTCCCCCTACTTTTACCCATTATCTCCTTTGTCTTCACAGGAACCCCAGAGTTTGGCAATTTAGTATTATTCCCACTTCAAAGACTAAAACCTGAGATGTGAATTTAATAAAGCTTCTTGCTCTGATCATTGAGTTTGCAAATGGCACAAAGATGGTTCCTTCCACATCCTCTCCAGCTTCAACCCCATACATTTTCACAATTTCAAATTTTCAGCTAATAATCTAGACAAGTTAACCCTACAGCATCTGCTTCCCTATCAACTTGTAAAGGAATCACTGCTTCTATCAGAAGTCCTAAGTAGCATTAGCATATGCCAGAGAAATGTTACGATGACAGCATCTTAGTGGTTCCCAACACTTTGAGAAGTCTTAGTGTCATTTCAGCAGTCACTTCCAACCTTTTCCCTGTCATTACACAAACAGAACATGATGACATGTGTACAGCCCACTGGGGTGAGTGGATGGAGCTGCTCAAGGCCAGGGCTGACCAGCCAGGAGGCGCCAGCAGCTTCTGCCCAGCCCCTCTGGGGACGGGGGGACGAGGCACTCAGCACTCTCATAACCTGCGTGCTGTGCTGTAGAGGCTCATCAGCTGGCATATTCAGTTTTACAGTTCTAAAACCCACCAGAGATTCCCAGTGTGCCAGACAAAAGAGCATGTAAACGAGAGAAGTAATAAAAAAATGACAATGTAAACCTCAAGGTCTATTTCTTACAGATGGTGGGGATTTTCTTTTCCTAACACTGACTTTGGACAAGTCTACTGGGTGCCCTGTCAAACGTGTGAATACACTACACCCCGGATCTGCTAGGTATCATGGTAGGAGTTCCCCTCAATTACCAACAGAGAATGTATTTAATAGTTTACTACTGCAAATCTACCACTGCTACAAGAAAAACTCTAAAAAGCTCCACAAAAATAATGACTATATAAAGTCTTCTCATACATTAAAGATTATAGCTTGTTTTAGTAGTCAGGACTTAAATTAAGACTTGAGTTTTTTTTTCTTGGTATTGCTACTTTTTAAAGGAAAAACAAAGAATATATCTAAAATCTTAATACCTTATTTGGATAAACACATTATTTAATATCACATATATTCCAGTACCTAAGTAGCTCTTTTTAAAGTCAGAAAACTAAAATTATGAATCTCTTCAACAACATGACTGCTGTCAATATATTTGTTCAATTACTTTGAGGACCTAGGGTAGCAGAGTTTACAAAACTCACTTTACTTCATATTATAATTACATGGGAAATTGATTTAGACAACTTCCATGGACAATTTATACTTCAGAAAGGACAGGAATATCACATTATTCCAGTACCTAAGGGGCTAGCTTAGGATATGTGATATCCCTAACCTTTCTCCTCCTTTTTCTTTTCTTTCTAGCTCTTGCTTTTTACGTATCAAACACTCTTCTTTTGGGAAAAAAACTAGTGCTTTAATCAGAGCAAAAAGCACAGAATTAACGGTCCATTAAAATGCACAAGACTGAATGTGAATGTATCTGTTTATTTAGAGCTTTCAGTGTGTAAAATTTCAAATAAAATTATCTATCCAATTGCTACAGTTTAAAAAATTAAATCATTTTTCCATTCTCTTTTAGGAAAAACTGTAGCACAAATTAACAGAGTAGAGAGTAGTGAAACATTGAAAACATACTTTAGAAAACTCTCAGATTAGTAAGAATAGTATGTAATTGTGGGTAACAAAAGCCAACAAGAATGAAATACAGACATTTATGTTCGCATGCATCATAAAGACAACAAAAACAATGTTTTACTAGAGATTAATATAAACATGTAAATAGGAAAAATTCTCCTTTTTACCCCAAAATTTTCTTCTATATTCGGCAGTCAAAATTTTTACTTTTCAAAATTATATGACAGCTGTCAATACAAAGATCTCACTTTTTAACATATACTTTCATTCTATGATACAGTTTAGGTATTAATGATGCATTTTAAAATGGAACAATTTAATGCCAAAACCTGAGTTGCTTCAATATAACTAGAGAAGACTTAAAGCTAGCACTGTATCATATCGAATTGCAGCATACATACTGTATTGCCCCGTGCTAGTCTGATATATGCTAGTTGGTACTGCCATGGTAGCAATACTAGGTGGTGTTCCTTCTTCCTCTGATCTCTCTTCTTCAATCTTGGGAACACCAGGCACATCAGAGGACAGTTCATTCAGTATTTTCCTAAAATACAATTTAACAAGGTAAGTCACTAAGATACATGAATAAGTCTTAAAACAGAAAAGCTATAAAGGAAGAATTGATTTGATGTATAATTATTCTACCATTTTGGAAAAAGTATCTTTACATTAGGAAACTTGGTTAACTTACCTATAAGAGGGTCTTCGTGAAAGGATTTCTCTACGTTTATGAGAATCAATTACACCTTCTGATTCTGCAGATTCATCTGTCTCTGCAATTGCTGCTACCTATAATACAAGATTTTCTGAAATGTATCATAAAATATATGCTCTTTTCCCTCATTCAAAAAATTGAGGCTAAGAGTCTGTGTGTGCAGCACTGAGCCAGGAGCTGTGGAAGCAACTGAGCAATAGAACACAGTGAATCTGCACTGAAGGAGTCTGGCTCAAGAAAGGAAGCGCAGACGCAAACATTTCAGTTATAAAACAAATGTGTGTGGAAAGGAATGTTACGGGTACTCTATACTACAGAAATACTAGGGAAAGAGTGGTTGGGATGTCAAATGAGGCATTGCAGGAAAGAACAAAATGTAAAATACCCAAGACCTAAGCTCCTCAACCTGAAAGTGCTCCTACGAATCCAGGAGGGAGCCAGCGAGGGGCCAACGCAGAAGAGAGCTCCCGGATCACACTGCTGTTCCCACACTCTCACAGCTGGCGCTGGCGTGAGCTGGGTCTTCACATTAGCCATCAGATAGGCCCAAGACAGAATATTTAAGTAGATAAGCAAGTCAGTAAGCAAGCCTGGGTAAAATCAGGATTTCTATTACAAGGAGTAAGTTAGGGCTTGGTGGCGGTGGGTCTTGAAGATCCAAATAAAGCATTTCTCCTTAAGAGAAAGATCAGAGTTTTAAGCATGATTTCATTTTTCAAGTCAAGTAATAATACAGTGATATGATTATTAAAGAAGTCAGAAAACTAAAATAATGAATCTCTTCAACAACATGACTGATTTTGATATATTCAGTCAATTATTAATACTTTGAGGGCCTAGGGTAGCAGAGTTTACAAAACTCACTTCATATTATAATTACATGGGAAATTGATTTGGACAAAATCAAAAGAGCTTATTAAAATATCAACAATGCAAGCAAGAATATATACTTCCCGAAGTACACGGAGGTGTATATTCACCTCCACATATGACTCGTGTTTTTGCTCATGAACGCCCCACACATAAGCACACACACCCAATCAACAGGACTGAGAAAAATGTTGTTGCCTCAGATAATCATATATCACCACCAAATATTAAATATTTATCATTTTACACCGGGCTGTCACACATCTGTCATAGAATCATAACAACTCCCTTAGGTGAGGTAGGCTATTAATTTACCTATTTTAGAAAGGTGAAAATTAAAGTTCATGCACAGAGATTAAGTGGCTTGACCATGATCCAACACGTAAGTATTCTAGGACAAGATCCACTGGCACCTCTTTCTACAAGGACAATTAAATCGTTCACTTAACAAAATCCAAACAAAGTCTACTGAATATAACAGAATACTTTCTTTCAGCCGGGTGCTGTGGCTCACATCTGTAATCCCAGCACTTTGAAAGACTGAGGCAAGAGGATCACTTGAGGCCAGGGCCTCAACACAAACCTGGGTAACATACTGAGAATTCTGTCTCTATTAAATAATAAATAATAATAATAGACAATACTTTCTTCCAATACCAGCCAGGTTAAAACTAAGTAGAAATATGTGGACCTCAATAAAAGTCATAAAACAAAGAAGAGGTTGGAAAGACTTTCTTGTTTTATAATTAGTGTCAGAAAGAATTAGAAACTCTTGGAATCAGGGGCCATCACAGGAAAAAAAGATAATGATGAGAATTATTCTTACACTTCTGGGAAACACAGGAGAAAATACCCATGCCACAAAGATAATCAAGCTTTTAATGTATGTGAATTTGTCACATCAGGTATCTTGTCGCCACTCTTATCATTCTACTGTGATAAACTACTTGAACACGCAAGAAAAGGACTATACTATGTATACGTGTCTCCATTTTCCTCACAGATTTTTTTTTTTGTCATCAATTAGGTTCAAATAATTTCAGCATTTAAAGGATAATAACTGACCTTAAAAATGAACAAAAATAAATTCAGTAATTAAGATGCATACTTTAAAAAATGCATATTTAATAATTTACATCTATTGATGGAAAAAATGTTTTAACTTCAAGAAATGTTAAGGGTAAAATACATCTCTGGATCACAACCACAATAATAATCATATCTACAAAAGCCAAGGTTTAATCGAGAGGGATACATTAATAATATCATCTTACCAAGAATTATGTATACCGAATTTAAAATAAATTTATATCTACCTACTAAGGTGATTATAAATTTATATCTACCTACTAAGGTGATTATTCATGAAAACAGCATCAGCACTGGCTGGGCGCAGTGGCTCACGCCTGTAATCCCAGCACTTTGGGAAGCCGAGACAGGCGGATCACGAGGTCAGGAGATCAAGACCATCCTGGCTAACACGGTGAAACCCCATCTCTACTAAAAATACAAAAAAAATTAGCCACGCATGGTGGCGGGCGCCTGTAGTCCCAGCTACTCGGGAGGCTGAGGCAGGAGAATGGCGTGAACCCGGGAGGTGGAGCTTGCAATGGCCCGAGATCATGCCACTGCCCTCCAGCCTGGGCGACAAAGCGAGACTCTGTCTCAAAAAAAAAAAAAAAAGAAGAAAAAAAAAGAAAACAGCATCAGCACTATAATCTTTATATTACTGTGTTTATCACACATCTTCTCTGATGCACCCTCAAAATATTTTTCAGCACCCTTGGGGAGCATTGCTAAATAAATCTGAGTTTGAACACAGAACAACAAAGTGAAGAAGACATGAACTGCTCATCTGCAATTACTCAGTCCCCAAATGAAAAGTTGGCAACAAAGCTGCAGCTCTGAAGTGAAACCTACGTACCTAGCAGGACACAGAGCACCTTACGCAAGGAGAAGAGATTCCTCCAAATATCTAATAAAAAGATTTGCGTATAAGCACTTCATAAAGAAAAATGATAAATGAATTAGTGAAAGAGGAAAAAAATGGCTCAAGAAAGTCAAAGACAAAACCATTCAGGAAGGAAGCTAACCTGAACGGTGTGTATTTCTGATGACTGAATAACCCATGGCTGTGGTGTCTGAATTACTCCCTGGACATGTATAGTTTGGCCCGAAGGTAACTGCACTAGAGTTACAGCTGGGGAGCCTCTTCTGGTGCCTGATCCAGCCACAGAAACCTGCCAAAATGATCACCATTGAGGATTAAAGCTGGACCTTTTTTGTTATTGTTTTTGCTATTTTTAAGTAATACCACTCACTAATATGACTGGCCTACTTCTCTTTTTCCTGCTGCTGAGAAATGACAAACTATCTAGGATACTTACCATCGGGAGGTGGTTACTGTCCTGGAACAGTCATTTTCTGATGTGACATTTATTAAGGAACACATGCTCCTTATCGCTTTTGGTGCCCATACTTCGGTGGCTAAGAATGTTCCAAGCACAAAGTTCTAAAGCAGTTAAACTACCTCACTACGACCTCACGCCTACTAACAGTGAAGCCTTTCTTAGGCCAGAGTATAAACTACCCTCTAACTTCTTCAGAGAAATTGGAGATAGAACTTAACTATGGTTCTTTTTTTTTTGAGACGGAGTCTTGCTCTGCTGCCCAGGCTGGAGTGCAGTGGCGTGATCTTGGCTCCCTGCAAGCTCTACCTCCCAGGTTCAAGCCATTCTCCTGCCTCAGCCTCCTGAGTAGCTGGGACTACAGGTGCCCGCCACCACGCTCAGCTAATTGTTTGTATTTTTAGTAGAGACGGGGTTTCACCCATTAGCCAGGATGGTCTCGATCTCCTGACCTTGTGATCTGCCCACCTTGGCCTCCCAAAGTGCTGGGATTACAGGCGTGAGCCACTGTACCTGGCCAGTGAATTATTTTTATTAAATGTGTGACATATGATATTCTAGTGTTACTCTGGATGTGAGCTGATGCTTTGTCTCTAGACTGATAAAAATCACAGTCACTGTTATGCCCTCATAATAACTAAAAAGGCATAGGCCGAAGAAATTCCAGGACCTTTCAAGCCCCTGGTGTCTCTGACCCAGAGAAAGCTCATGCCTTGAAGGCTGATGAGGCCTCTGGACACTTTTCCTCTCCCTAGCTAAAGCATCCAGAGAGGCCAGAACTATCACTTAACTTTGGGCAGAGATCAGCACAACAGCCATCTCCTCACTACTTCCCTGAGTTCCTTCAACAGAGATCCCTACCAGAAAAACACGATACTAACCACTCCTCTGGACTCAAAACCTGCCAGGTTTTCTAATTAGTAAACAACTCTGTCCTATAGGCTAGCATAATTGCAGAAACTTTGCCTCATTTTACTAAGATTCACCATTCATTATGACTTACTCAAGAGTCAAAGACCTTGGAAATAAGTCACCAGTGTCTATCATGAGTGGTAGTAGAACCACAGCATCTAAAACAATTTTTTCAAGGAAGACTTTGTGTGTGACTTCACTTTGAGGAACACCAATGATTTCCAACTTATATTAATATCTGAAAAGAATTATTAAAAACTGGGTTTATAACAAATAACTAAGATTTATTTACATCATCATTCCCTTGGAAAACTAACTTCTCTGGCAATCCAAAAGTTAAAACATGTTTTATCCGTGTAAGAGAACCTAGGTGTTGAGCCTTGTACTAGGTGCACTATTAGAAAATAGAATTAATAAAACTAGCACCTAAGAAACAATGGCACACCAAATAGTACAGAACGAATTGCTCCATTTTAGAGGCCATGAATATCACAGGAGTACAGAATAGAAAGATCAGTATGGGCCCAAACAGTAAGTGAGGGCTTTATGTAGATGCCAGAGCTTGAGTGAAGGCTTGATCTAAACCTAGATAACAGTTGGACAGATAGTGTGAAACCAGGACAGAGGCAACCAATATGTAGCCCACAGGGAAAATTCAGCTCACCTACCCCCAGAGTATTATCATCTAGTTTAGATTCCAGGGAAAAGAAAAACATCCTCCCATTATGGAACCAGTAGATTTAACAACTGCAAGTTTTAAAACATTGGATTTATTCTACAAATGTTTCCGGCACAAAAGGCAACTCTGTATGAATTATACACCTCTATAGTGACTAACTCTCAAAAGATAACTCTTTCTCCTCACAACTAATTCTCAAATATTTTAGTCTCAGGGCATCTTTACACTCTTAAAAATTACTGATGACCTCAAAGAGCTTTTGTTTCTGTGATTGATATTCAGTAGAGGGCTGGTAAACACTTAACTAGATCTTAAGAAGGAGGAACACTGACTTGTAGCGTTTGCTCACTTCTGTGATGTAAGTACTCCTACTATGGCTGATTTCAAGCTGCCAATGGATGACATTGAACACAAAGCCGGATAAAGATTATACAATTGGTTTTCACTGGTACAAGCCAGCTGTGCACACCACTGGTTATATATGTTGATATTTAACATACTGGAAATTAAAACAGAAATTTTAAAAATAGTAACTTATTTTAAAATAATAAGTATGTGCTACCATAAATAACATTTTATGAAAAATGATTACATTTTCAAAAAAATCAGAAGAGTAGCACTGTTTTACATTTTTACAAATTATTTTAATGTCAGGTTTAACTGAAGATAGCCAGATTCTCATATCTACTTCTACACTGAATCTGTTGCAGTATGTTGCTTTAGTTGGTATGTGAAGAAAATCTGGGCCTCACAAAGACTCGTGTTAGAAAAAGGGAGGAATATTATAATAGCTTCTGTAGAAAATCATGGATATTCTTCATGGATACACCAAAACTTGACAACTGATTGTCTCTTAAGGATTAATTGCAACATACAATCTGAGACAGTATCAGTTACATTAAAATCCATTGATCTGTCTTGTACTTTGGATGAATCTCTTACCCACGTAAGATTTTGTAACATCCTGAAGTATTCATTTGGAAAATACTGGCTCACTGAGTTCAGGAGATCTTCCAAACGTGGACACATTTCATGACACAGTATTATAAATCACATTTCATTAAAGTATAACCAGTTTGATCAGAAAACTATGAATATTGTCAAGCTCACAATGGCAGATGCAGATTTTCCAAAATTCAAAGTTTTGGCTTAAAAGCTTGTGACAATAAACACCATGAGTTGTTTCCCTTGAACTGACAAGCTCACTTCATTTGTTTTTGAGGAAATGTCTTCAAGTTTGAATAGCCATCATTTGGAAATTAGTCATTCTTTTGAAGAAAATGACGTTCTGTGGAAAAACAGGCAGCTAATTCATCTTGGCACTCAAATAACACACGTGCTTTTCCTTAAGAACACCATGGGTCGTCAGGACGCAGCGGGGGGGTGCTTTCTGCAGCTGTCCCACTTCAGGACACAGAATATCAAAACAGCATGTACTCAGAGTCAAGATTTAATGCAATGGTAATTTTTACTGCTTCATCAAAGATATTCTTAAGTAAAACTGACTTAAAAAAAAAAAAACTGCAAGTGGATGGCAGTGAAGAATACAGTTAATACTAACACAGTTTGTGTCACTGACTTGAGTTAAGGCACCCAACAATTTACCACTCCCCCACCACCACTGTTTTTGCACCATCAGTGTGGATATCAAAACAGAGAAAAAGAAAAACAACATCTTAGCATCACCGTGAAAATGGTTTTGACCTAGCAAGCCTCATGAAAATGTCTCAGAGTCACCCCCAGGGTTCTGCACACCACACTTTGAAAACAGCTATTCCACACTAATCTAGCCCCTACACCCTGGCTTTCAGCTTAAAGAACTGCTCAGACAGGCTGAGATTTCAGCTCCAGTAGAGCAGCAGAGACAAAATAAACATATCCAGTAACCCTGACAGAGCCCATGTGTCAGAGACTGGCAAAATAGAAATTATGCTTTATAACTACATAAAACAAAAGAAAACAAAGGAAAAAAATTAACACAAAAAGAAGACTTCATTGACCAGCTTCTATCCCATCAGCTCAGGAAATTGGGACATGATCTTTAGTTCCAGATTCCAAACTGAGCTCTCTGGAGGACCCAGTACTCCACCACCACTTCTCCCACCCACCACCATGTGTAGGGACAAGCCACAGGTAAGTAAGGAGGGTAGAGTGACTTGATTTTCCTCTGTTCCTTTCCTTTTTTAAAAATGCAGTCACATAGCTGGGTGGTGGAAATTTCTGAAGATATTACATTTTCTCAAATCAAAATAATTTTCTTTTTAGAATTAAGGAGCTCCCAAAGCTTGTCAGATCCCAGTGGCTCTCAATGTTTTACTCTTTTTTCCAAGTACATAGAATAAGGTATCTGAAGACAATGTACTTGAAACTATAGCGGGGGAAACCCAGGGGTCCTACAAGTATTCTCACAAACTAGACCTGTGGGTTGAGATGGCAGGTGGTGTCCACATTCATTTTTTGTGGGGAAATGCCCAGCTTCAAAGAAATCAGATTATTATGGAGAACAGAAAAACAATTCAACAAAGATTCATGGGCATCTGATAGGCATAAATCATCCTTTACATTGCTTTAATCATCTTTCAAGTACAATTATCAGAATTTTAATTAAACAATAACTCTATCAAAAATGGCTAAGTCCTCATGACTGTAATCCCAGCACTTCAGGAGGCCGAGGCAGGTGGATTACCTGAGGTCAGGAGTTCAAGACCAGCCTGGCCAATATGGTGAAACCCTCTCTCTACTAAAAATACAAAAATTAGCCGGGTGTGGTTGTGCGCACCTGTAATCCCAGCTACTCATGAGGCTGAGGCATGAGAATTTCTTGAACCCAGGAGTTCGAGGTTGCAGTGAGCTGAGATCATGCCACCGCACTCCAGCCTGGATGACAGAGCGAGACTGTGCCTTAACAAAAAAAAAAAAAAAAAAAAAAAAAGGCTTGGTTAAGAATACCTGCTGCAGAAAAAGAACTTGTACCCGCTAACATAAACCATATCCTTACAATTCTGGAGATAGGTTATACAGATTCTGTAACTACAAGGAAACTTCCATATGTCCAAACTCTAGGCAGGCCAAAAGCTCATGAGACAATTTTTTCATTAAAATGCTAAAATAAAGGCTGAGAACCTGCATAAATGACGCATCTGGAGGTAGAATTCAAATGTCTCCTTTTAAAAAAGAAAACTCTTATATCTGGAGAACTATCATTCTACATTCTCACTGGTTAGGCCAAAACTTATAAGCAAGAGCGTCAACCTTATAATTATACTGGTAGAGTTAATAGGTTAAACTCCAATAAAGAAGAAAAGAGAGAAGAATCAAATAGATGCAATAAAACATGATAAAGGGGATATCACCACCGACCCCACAGAATTACAAACTACCATCAGAGAATACTATAAACACCTCTATGCAAATACACTAGAAAATCTAGAAGAAATGGATAAATTCCTGGACACATACACCCTCCCAAGACTAAACCAGGAAGAAGTTGAATTCCTGAATAGACCAATAACAGGCTCTGAAATTGAGGCAATAATTAATAGCCTACCAACCAAAAAAAGTCCAGGACCAGATGGATTCACAGCCGAATTCTACCAGAAGTACAAGGAGGAGCTGGTACCATTCCTTCTGAAACTATTCCAATCAATAGAAAAACAGGGAATCCTCCCTAACTCATCTTATGAGGCCAGCATCATCCTGATACCAAAGCCTGGCAGAGACAGAACAAAAAAAGAGAATTTTAGAACAATATCCCTGATGAACATCGATGCAAAAATCCTCAGTAAAATACTGGCAAACTGAATCCAGCAGCACATCAAAAAGCTTATCCGGCCAGACACAGTGGCTCACGCCTGTAATCCCAGCACTTTCAGAGCCTGAGGCAGGCGGATCACGAGTTCAGGAGATAGAGACCATCCTGGCTAACATGGTGAAACCCCGTTTCTACTAAAAAATACAAAAAAAATTAGCCGGGTGTGGTGGCGGGTGCCTGTAGTCCCAGCTACTAGGGAGGCTGAAGCAGGAGAATGGCGTGAACCCAGGAGATGGAGCTTGCAGTGAGCGAAGATCATGCCACTGCACTCCAGCTTGGGCAAAAGAGCGAGACTCCATCTCAAAAAAAAAAAAAAAGCTTCTCCACCATGATCAAATGGGCTTCATTCCTGGGATGCAAGGCTGGTTCAACACATGCAAATCAATAAACGTAATCCAGCATATAAACAGAAACAAAGACAAAAACCACATGATTATCTCAATAGATGCAGAAAAGGCCTTTGACAAAATTCAACAGCCCTTCATGCTAAAAACTCTCAATAAATTAGGTATTGATGGGACGTATCTCAAAATAATAAGAGCTATTTATGACAAACCCACAGCCAATATCATACTGAATGGGCAAAAATGGGAAGCATTCCCTTTGAAAACTGGCACAAGACAGGGATGCCCTCTCTCACCACTCCTATTCAACAGTGTTGGCAGTTCTGGCCAGGGCAATCAGGCAGGAGAAAGAAATAAAGGGTATTCAATTAGGAAAAGAGGAAGTCATATTGTCCCTGTTTGCAGATGACATGATTGTATATTTAGAAAACCCCATCGTCTCAGCTCAAAATCTCCTTAAGCTGATAAGCAACTTCAGCAAAGTCTCAGGATACAAAATCAATGTGCAAAAATCACAAGCATTCTTATACACCAGTAACAGACAAACAGCCAAATCATGAGTGAACTCCCATTCACAATTGCTTCAAAGAGAATAAAATACCTAGGAATCCAACTTACAAGGGATGTGAAGGACCTCTTCAAGGAGAACTACAAACCACTGCTCAATGAAATAAAAGAGGACACAAACAAATGGAAGAACATTCCATGCTCATGAACAGGAAGAATCAATATGGTGAAAACGGCCATACTGCCCAAGGTAATTTATAGATTCAATGCCATCCCAATCAGGCTACCAATGACTTTCTTCAGAGAAATGGAAAAAACGACTTTAAAGTTCATATGGAACCCAAAAAGAGCCCACATTGCCAAGATAATCCTAAACCAAAAGAACAAAGCTGGAGGCATCACGTTACCTGACTTCAAACTATACTACAAGGCCACAGTAACCAAAACAGCATGGTACTGGTACCAAAACAAAGATACAGACCGATGGAACAGAACAGAGCCCTCAGAAGTAATACCACACATCTACAACCATCTGATCTTTGACAAACCTGACAAAAACAAGAAATGGGGAAAGGATTCCCTATTTAATTAATGGTGCTGGGAAAACTGGTTTGCCATATGTAAAAAGCTGAAACCAGATCTCTTCCTTACACCTTGTACAAAAATTAATTCAAGACGGATTAAAGACTTAAATGTTAGACCTAAAACCATAAAAACCCTAGAAGAAAACCTAGGCAATACCATTCAGGACATAGGCATGGGCAAGGACTTCATGTCTAAAATACAAAAAGCAATGGCAACAAAGCCAAAATTGACAAATGGGATCTAATTAAACTAAAGAGCTTCTGCACAGCAAAAGAAACTACGATCAAAGTGAAGAGGCAACCTACAGAATGGGAAAAAATTTTTGCAATCTACTCATCTGACAATGGGCTAATATCCAGAATCTACAATGAACTCAAACAAATTTACAAGGAAAAAACCAAACCACCCCATCAAAAAGTGGGCGAAGGATATGAACAGACACTTCTCAAAAGAAGACATTTATGCAGCCAACAGACACATGAAAAAATGCTCATCACTGGCCATCAGAGAAATGCAAATCTAAACCACAATAAGATACCATCTCACACCAGTTAGAATGGCGATCATTAAAAAGTCAGGAAACAACAGGTGCTGGAGAGGATGTGGAGAAATAGGAACACTTTTACACTGTTGGTGGGACTGTAAACTAGTTCAACCATTGTGGAAGACAGTGTGGCGATTCCTCAAGGATCTAGAACTAGAAATACCATTTGACCCAGCCATCCCATTACTGGGTATATACCCAAAGGATTATAAATCATGCTGCTACAACTTGGAACCAACCCAAATGTCCAACAATGACAGACTGGATTAAGAAAATGTGGCACATATACACCATGGAATACTATGCAGCCATAAAAAAAGGATGAGTTCATGTCCTTTGTAGGGACATGGATGAAATTGGAAATCATCATTCTCAGTAAACTATCGCAAGAACAAAAAACTAAAACATAAAATGGATGTTATTTTATATTTCACAATTTTTACCCCTCTTTTCACAAGGCTTTAAAAGTGTGAAGGTACTTATAGCAGACATCATTTACCTTTTCTTCCACATCCCCTGAAGAATAATCCTCTTCTATAGGACGCCTGAAACATAGATTATGCTGATGCCACCACATCCACCAAAAATCCCACTATAAACAGTACTTAATCTGAAGAAATAAGGTAAGATGATGCAATTGACAGCCTTATTTGGCTTTGCAATTAAAAAAAACCCTAATAGTGACACTTATAACTGGGAAAACCTCACAGTGTTGTAACACAGCATTTGATTAGCACCTAGTGGACTAGCTCTGACCCGTAGCTAGGTTCCCTCACGATGGGGTTTATGATGTCATAGTATAGCTGCACATGTCACAAAGCTACTAGGCCTGCATTCAAGACAATAAAGGATTTTAAAATGTGAATTCACAATATAGCAGACTGCTCTATCAACTCTGCTCCTGAAAAATCAAATCTCTGTACTACCTAGTTTAAGGACTACAATAAAAATACACTAACAAGCTAAGCAAGAAGTTGAAAACTATCTTGATATTTATGTATTAAGACAGGATTCTCAAAAGTCTGTTCTATAGGGGAAAAAGCATTTAAGAGAATATTAGAATATTTCAAATGTTTTAAAGCTGAAAATAATAAGAATATTATAAATCAAATACCTGAATAAAGATGTAAAATATTCCACTTTAATTTTTTTTCCCCCCACTGAGACGGAGTCTTGCTCTGTCACCCAGGATGGAGTGCAGTGGTGCGATCTCGGCTCACTGCAACCTCCACCTCCTGGGTTCAAGCAATTCTCCTGCCTTAGCCACCCAAATAGCTAGGATTATAGGCATGTGCCACCACGTCTGGCTGATTTTTGTATTTTTAGTAAAGACAGGGTTTACCATCTCTGCCAGGCTGGTCTTGAACTCCTGACCTCAGGTGATCCATCCACCTTGGCCTCTCAAAGTGCTGGGATTACAGGTGTGAGCCACCGTGCCCGGCCCACTTTAATTTTTAAAAGTCATATTTGATTGTGCTGAGTAAGACAAACACAAAATGAAAAATGTAGTTGGTCTTCATTTCGGTTATCTTGAGTGACTTCCTTCCCATGAAGGTGTTTTTTGTTTTGAGTTGGAGACAGAGTTCAGCTCTGTTGCTCAGGCTGCGGTTCAGTGGCACAATGTTGGCTCACTGCAACCTCCACCTTCCAGGCTCAAGCAATCCTCCAGCCTCAAACTCCCGAGTGGCTGGGATTACAGGTGCCCGCCACCACACCCTGGTAATTTTTTTTTTTTTTTGATACAGACTCTTGTTCTGTCGCCCAGGCTGGAGGGAAGTGGCGTGATCTGGGCTCACCGCAACCTCCATCCACCTCCTGGGTTGAATCGATTCTCCTGCCTCAGCCTCCCAAGTAGCTGGGATTACAGGTGCCTGTCACCACACCCAGTTAATTTTTGTAATTTTAGTAGAGACGGAGTTTCACCATGTTGTCAGGCTGATCTCGACTCCTGGCCTCAGGTAATCTACCCGCCTTGGCCTCCCAAAGTGCTGAGATAACAGGTGTGAGCCACTGTGTCTGGCCTAGCTGTTTTTTTTGTTTTGTTTTTAAGATAGTGTGGCTAACAAATTGCAAATTCAATGCATTTAAATTTTACCTTAAGAATATATGTTGAAAATATTTGTTACAAAGAGATAAGCCAAGTATGATTATTATTTCTATATTTACTATCCATTATCTTCTAAAGAGATGTTGTTGTTGCCTCCAATCCTTTTTTTTATGTATAGCGCATAAGCTGAAATCCATAATCTGAATTGAAAAGGGGGAAAAGGATCATTGTTTCTGATACTGTAAACGTAAATGGTCAAATTTCATGTTTCTAAAAAATTCACTTCTTGAAAGCAAAGCAAGTGTTATAATTCAGTCATTCTTAATTATCCAGAAGGGTTTAAATAATCTATTTTGATAATGCTTCCAGTAAGCACTTAAATTAAAATTAGGGTTCTTTATCCTTTGAGAACAGTGCCCTAGCTAAACTTTTTTTTTTCTAGCTAATCTGTACAGTATCTTGGATTTCCTATTTATAGTATTTGGGGCATCATTTTATATTCTAACCAATATGAGATATGTTTCACTTATTATAATAATATATATATTAAAGTACTATAAAAATGGACATGACCTTTATAGAAGTCAAACTCTTTTAGCTCTGGAAGGAACTTTTGAAAGCCAATCTCGTATTTGGTTTCAGTAAGACTGAAACTGATCATAATTTACTAGCCAAATGTATTTCAAAATAATAAATACACATAAAGAATTTGCAGTAAGATTCTAAGCCAAAAAAAGGCTTTTTATGCAACAGGAAAGAAGAATTACATAAAAGTAGATGTCAAAATCAGAATCATTTTGACAAAACGTGATACAGTTTGGATGCTTATCCGCTCCCAATCTCATGTTGAAATATAATCCTCAATGTTGGAGGTGGGGCCTTGTGGGAGGTGTTTGGGTCATGGGGGATCCCTCATGAATGGTCATGAGTTCTCGCTCTGGTAGTTCTGAGAGCTGGTTGTTGAAGAGTGTGGCACTTCCCCTCTCTCTTGCTCCCTCTCTCTCCATGTGATACCCTGGCTCCCCCTTCTCCTGCTGCCATGATTTGAAGCTTCTGGAGGCTTCCCTAGAAGCAGATACTGGTGCCATGCTTCTTGTGCAGCCTGCAGAACCGTGAGCCAAAACAAACTTCTTTTCTTTATATATTATCCAGCCTCAAGTATTTCTTTTTCCTTTTCTTTTTTTTTTTTTTTTTTTTTTGAGATGGAGCCTCGCTCTGTGGCCCAGGCTGGAGAGCAGTGGTGCAATCTGGCTTACTGCAACTTCTGCCTTCCGGGTTCAAGTTTCAAGTGATTCTCCTGCCTCAGCCTCCGGCGTAGCTGGGATTACAGGCGCCTGCCACCATGCCCAGCTGATTTTTGTATTTTTTTGTAGAGACAGGGTTTCACCATGTTGGCCAGGCTCGTCTCGAACTCCTGAGCTCAAATAATCCACCCAACTCAGGCTCCCAAAGTGCTGGGATTACAGGCATGGGCCACTGCCCCAGCCAGGTATTCCTTTATAGCAATGCAAAGCAGACTAATTTAACACAGCCAGGCCAAATTGCATCTTTAAGTTGTTTTCAGTTCCAGTCCAATGGTCAGAGTACATAAATAGTAAAGTCTAAGAGTTTAGCTCCTTACAAAAATTATAATGCAGTTTGGTCTTACCATGAAATCTGAAATAGTTACAGATTATATTTTAGATTTTTATGCCCAAAGTGGCCAGCAATGTTTTAAAATATCTAGGAGAAATCTAAAGTACCTAAATTAAGAAGCATAAAACATATAATTTTAAGCAAGCTCCTGACATACCGGAACTTTGCTTATAAAACTATAAAAAATTAGCTTTTCTCCTCTATACCCTTTGGAGGCCTACTAAGCATTGTAGATTTTTGTTACTTTACAAAGGATTCCGAATACAATATATTTTAAAACCAGCATAAGCCATTTCATCTTAAAGCCTAATTACTACCATTTTAAGATCAAGGAAGGTCACTATGAGGATAAAAGCAAGCATTTATTGCACATTGACCAGATGCCAAACTCTGTGCTTGTGCTTCACACAAATCATCTCATTTAATCTATGAAATCAGTATTTTCCATGTTTTAGGTAAAGAAAGCAAAGGTCAAATGATTAGTCTTAATACTTAAAACTGCATAAAATTAGTATCAACTTTAATCTAGTATTAAAATATAGTATGAAAAATACCTTCAACACTACTTTTAAGTAAACAAGCTAAATTTAATTCAAACTGAGAATACATGTATAAATTAGGGCTCTTTTTTTGTTTTTTTTTTTTTGAGATAGGTTCTTGCTGTCACCCAGGCTAGAGTGCAGTGCAGCTTCCCAGGCTCAAGCGATCCTCCCACCTCAGCCTCCTGAGTAATTTGAACTACAAGCACATGTCACCACACTCAACTAATTGTTTTTTTTTGTTTGTTTTTTGTTTTTTGGAGACGGAGTTTCACTCTTGTCGCCCAGGCTGGAGCGCAGTGGTGTGATCTTGGCTCACTGCAACCTCCGCCTCCCGGGTTCAAGCGAATCTCCCGCCTCAGCCTCCCGAGTAGCTGGGATTACAGGTGCCCACCACCATGCCTGGCTACTTTTTGTATTTTTAATAGAGACAAGGTTTTACCATGTTGTTGGCCAGGCTGGTCTTGAACTCCTGACCTCAGGTGATCTGACTGCCTCAGCTTCCCAAAGTGCTGGGATTACACGTGAGCCACTGCACCTGGCCTAAGTTTTTAATTTTTCATAGAGACATGGTCTCCCTATGTTGTACAGGCTGGTCTCGAACTCCTGTGCTCAAGCAATCATCTCATCTCGGCCTCCCAAAGTGTTGGGATTACAGGCATGAGCCATCATACCTGGCCTCTTTTTATGTATGAAGCAGTAAACAAGCCCTTGGAGATGAGAAAATGAGAAAGCTCTAGGAACAAAAGACAGGGGAGACCAACTTACAAAGGCAATACCTACCATGGTATATTACCATATCCAATAGTAAATACGCACACATTTAATATTTTTGTTCTCTATTTTTTTTTATTTTTGTTTTTTGTTGCGTTGAGACAGGGTCTTGCTCTGTCACCCAGGCTGGAGTGCGGTGGCATGATCACGAATCACTGCAGCTTCAATCAACCTCCAGGGCTCAAGAGATCCTCCCATCTTAGCCTCCTGAGTAGATAGCACTACAGGCAAGTGCCACCATGCCTGGCTAATTTTTTTTTTTGTAGAGATGGAGTCTTACCTTGACCCAGGCTGGTCTTGAACTCCTGGGCTCAAGTAATCCTCCTGACTTGGCCTCCCAAAGTGCTGGGATTACAGGCATGAGCCACTGCTCCTCTCCCATTAATTATTATTTTGTATTTGATTTTATTTTCTGGTGGCCATGATTTGCTGGTGCCCGAAGAAAGTGTTTAATCTCACAACTGGGCAAATGGAGCTCAGGTGGTTAGAAAAACTTAAAAATAATTCTTGCTTTTTCAACCAAATTTGCTACAACTGGCCTCTACTGTGGCCTCTGAGAAGTCCAGGCTTCAGTACTGCCTGAAGCAGGCTGTGTAAGATTTTAGATTCTGGACTCCTTCTTTGTAAAGGATGACAGCGGCTTCCTAGAGAGGGTGTCTCATACTGACAGGGAGAGAGACAAGCAGGAGAGAAAGACTGGGCAAGGAAAGCATGTGGAGGTTGGAGATGTACCTTTTAAATGTTCTTACTTTACATTTTGAATTGACAGAAAAAATTGCATTTATCATGTACAACATGATGTTTTGGAGTATATATACATTATGTAATAGTTAAATCTAGCTAATTAATAATAGCATTACCTCACATAGTTGTTTTTGTGGTGAGAACATTATTAACATTCAACTATCTCTGCATTTTTCAACAATACATTGTCCTTAACTATAGTCACCATGCTGTATGATAGCTCTCTTGAACTCATTCCTCCTAACTGTAATTATATATTCTTGGACCAACATTTCCCCATCCTTCCCTCTGCCTAAGCACCCCCACCTCTGGTAACCACCATTCTTCCCTCTAATTCTATGAGAACTTTTTAGACTCCACACATGAGTGAGAGCATGCAGTATGTGTCTTTCTGGGCCTGGCTTATTCACTTAACAGAATGACTTCCAGATTCCTCCATCTTGTTGCAAATGACACTTCATTCTTTTTTATGGTTGAATAGTATTCCATTGTGTATACATACCATACTTTCTTTATCCATTCATCCACTGATGAACACCGAGGCTGATTCCGTATCTTGGCCATTATGCATAGTGCTGCAATAAATATGGAAGTGCAGATATCTCTTCCACACACTGCTTTCATCTCCTTTGGATAGATACCCAGTAATGAAATTGCTGGATCATCTGGTACTTCTATTTTTCATATCTGGAGGAACCTCCATACTGTTTTCCATATGGCTATACAAATTTACATTCCCACCGTCAGTGTATAAGTGTTCCCTTTTCTCCATATTCTTGCCAACATCTGTTATCTTTTGTCATTTTGATAATAACCAACCTAACAAGAGGAAGGTGATATCTCATTGTAGTTTTGATTTGCAATTCCCTGATGATTAATGATGTCGAGCTTTTTTTTTTTGGTGAGACAGTCTCACTCTGTTGCCCAGGCTGGAGTGCAGTGGTGTGATCTCGACTCACTGCAACTTCTGCCTCCCGGGTTCAAGTGATTCTCCTGCCCCAGCCTCTGAGTAACTGGGATTACAGGTGCACAACACCACTCCTGGCTAATTTTTTTTATTTTTTGTTTTTGAGATGGAGTCTTGCTGTGTTGCCCAGGCTGGAGTCCACTGGGACCATCTCGGCTCACTGCAACCTCCGCCTCTGGGTTTAAGCAATTCTCCTGCCTCAGCCTCCCAAGTAGCTGCGATTACAGGCGCCTGCCACCACATCTGCTTATTTTTGTATTTTTAGTAGAGAAATTTTGTACTGAAAATACAAAAATTAGCCAGGCATGGTGATGCACGACTGTAATCCCATACTCGGGAGGCTGAGGCACGCGAATAGCTTTAACCCAGGAGGCGGAGGTTGCAGTGAGCCGAGATCACATCACCACACACCAGCATGGGCAACAGAGTGAGACCCTGTCTCATAAATAATTAAATAAAAGCATAGCAATGCAATTATGTACAGTACATATGCTTGATAATAAAAAAATGACTGTTACTGGTTTATGTATTTACCATACTTTTTATTATTATTTTACTTCAAGTTATTTTAAAAAGTTAACTGTAAAACAGCCTCAGGCAGGTCTTTCAGCGAGTATCCAGAAGAAGGCACTGTCATAAGAGATGACAGCTCCATGAGTGTTCTTTCCCTGAGAACCTTCCAATGGGACAGGATATGAAGGTGGAAGACAGCAATACAGATGATCCTGACACTATACAGGCCTAGGCCAACATGTGTGTTTGTGTCTCAGTTTTTAACAAAAAAGTTTAAAAATAAAAAAAATAAAAAATTTCAAACACAGAAAAGGTTTACACAGCATAAGCATAGAAGAAAACATTTTTATGCAGCTGTGTAATATGTTTGTGTTTTAAGCTAAGTGTTATTACAAAAGTCAAAAAGTAAAAAACTTACAGTAAGCTACAGTTCATTGAAGAAATGATGTTTTATGAATTTAGTGTAACCTAAGTGTACAATGTTTATCAAGTCTACAATAGCAAAAAAATAAAATAAGTTAGCTGGGCATGGTGGCATGTGCCTGTAGTCCCAGTTACTCGAGAGGCTGAGACAGGAGGATCACTTGAGCCCAGGAGTTTGAGGCTGCAGTGAACTATGATTGTGCCACTGTACTCCAGCCTGGGCAAAAGAACAAAATTCTATTAAAAAAAAAGACAGTCTACAGTAGTGTACAATAATGTCCTAGGCCTTCACATTCCCTCACTGCCCACTCGCTGGCACACCCAGGACAACATCCAGTCCTGCAAGCTCCACTATGGTTTTGTGCCCTATACAGATGTGCCATTTTTATCTTTGATACCGTATTTTTACTGTACCTTTCCTATGTTTAGATACACAAATACTTATTATTGTGCTCCAATTGCCTGTAGTATTCAGTATAATCGCATCCTATACAGGTTTGCAGCCCAGGAATAACAGGCTGTACCATACAGCTTAGGTATGTAGTGGGCTATACCATCCAGGTTTGTGTAAGTACACTCTAGATGTTTGCACAAAGATGAAATCACCACACCATTGGTTCTGTTGGATCATAAGGGAAAAAAAAAAGATGAAATTGCCTAACAACACATTTCTCAAAATGTAGACCTGTTGTTAAGTGATGAATGACTGTACTTGGCCATTTTTATGTCTTCTTTTGAGAAAAATCTATTCGGGTCTTCTGCACATTTTTAGAAAATCAGGTTGTTTTCTTACTATTGAGTTGTTTGAGTCCTTCTGTGTTTCGGATATTAACCCCTTATCAGATGTATAGTTTGCAAATATTTTCTCCCATTCTGTAGGTCCCTTCTTCACCCTGTGGAATGTTTCCTTTGCTGTGGGGAAGCTTTATAGTTTGACGTAATACTGTTTGTCCATTTTTGCTTTTGTTGCCTGTGCTTTTAAGGTTGTATCAAAAAACTCATCGGCCAGACTAATGTCAAGGAGTTTCCTGTTTCCTTGTAGTAGTTTCATAGTTTTGGGTCTTATATTTAATCCATTTTCAAGAGTTGATTTTTGTTTATGGTGAGAGACAAGGGCCTAATTTCATTCTTCTGTGTAAATATCTAGTTTTCCCAACATCATTTATTAAAGAAATGGCCCTTTCCCCATTGTGTGGTCCTGCCATTTTTGTTGAATATAAGTTGGTGTAAGTAAATGCATGGTTTTATTTCTGGACTTTATATTCTGTTCCATTGATCAATGTATCTGTTTTCATGCTGGTACCATGCAGTTTTAATTACTATAGCTCTATAGTATATTTTGAAGTCAGGTAGTGTGATGCCTTCAGCTTTGTTCTTTTTTTTTTCCTGCATGACAAAGAGTCTTGACTTTCAAATGATTATCATACACCAAGTAATAAGATGTAACAAGTTCTTAAGTTCTATCATCTAGTAAACATGATTAAGAGAAACTAAAAGCAACCCAAACAACTATACCAATATTGTTGTTCTAATCATTAGCAGGAATAGATTAAGGCTGAATGTTGCTTCACATAGGTTACAAATAACTATTTACTACTTTTTCATAGATAAAGCCCTGATGAATTCAAGAATGCATTAGGGGGAAAAATTATTTAATCACTTTCTTTCTTCAAAAAAAATTGGTTTTGTTTAATTAGATCTAAGAAAGAAAATGTCAACACTGATATATATGTTGCTTGAACCAAAAGGCATATAAAAATAGACAACATATACCAATTAATTTTCTAAGAAACATGAAATCTTTAGATAAGTTCTAAGTCTGTAAAAAAAAAAAAAAAACAAACAAAACAACAAAAAAAAAACACTATATTTGCTACTCTCCAAAAAGTGGAGGGACCTATTATATAATATACAGAAATAATTTAATGCCTTAAGAATATAACTTGAGCTATGTTGAAGCTTCATATTCCATGAGAGCATCTAAAATGCCAATTCATAGAACAGGTGCTTTTTTCTTCTCCTACCCATTTATGCAGCAGTTTTCACAGATTTCTGGCCGGATGTTGCAGACAAAGGCCAAGAGGTTATTCAAGACTTCATCCTTGTTCTGCTGGAAGTAGGTCTGGAGGGTGATCATCTTTTCTCCTGGGCCTCCTTCTCCACTTCAGTGCTTCAGCTTCGTTCGCCTTGAACTCTTTTTACCCTCTGCAGGCGGCACTGTTCAATTTCAGCCTAAGCTACTTCTTTGGCCTGCTTCAGCCCCCGGTTCATCTGCCTGTGGGCCTTGGAAACCTTCTCAGCAGCCTGCTTCTCGGTCTGTAGCAGCTGCAGGATACCCTGCAATGGACTGGCCATGGCAGTGGTTCCAGCTTCATTCTTTTGGTTCAATATTCCTTTCGCTATTTGGGGTCTTTTGTGGTCCTGTATAAATTTGGGGATTGTTTTTCCCTATTTTTGTGAAGAATGTCATTGATATTTCTGATAGGGATTGCACTAAATCTGTAGACCGCTTTGGGTAGTATGGACATTTTAACAATACTAATTCTTCCAATCCATGAACATTTACTTGTGTCTCCTTCAATTTCTCTCATCAATGTTTTTTATAGTTTTCAATGTACAGATATTTCACCTCCTTGCTTAAATTTATTTCTAAGTATTTTTTTCATAGCTATTGTAAATAGAGTTTTCTTGATATTTTTTCCAGGTAGTTCACTATTAGTACATAAAAACAATACTGGTTTTTATAAGTTGATTTCATATCCTGCAACTTCAGTGAATTCATGTATTAGATCTAACAGGTTTTTCTGGTGGCATCTTTAAGGTTTTCTAATTTTTGTTCCTTTTTTTAAAGGTTTTCATATGTAAGATCATGTCATCTATGAACAGGGAAAAGTTGACTTCTTCCTTTCCAATTCAGTTGCCTTTTCTTTCTTTTGCCTAATTGCTCTGGCTAGGACTTTGAGTACAATGCTAAATAGAAGTGGCAAAAATGGGCATCTGTGACTTTTTTTTTTTTTTTTTTTTTGAGACAGGGTCTGGCTCTGCAACCTGGGCTGGAGTGCAGGGGCATGATCTTGGCTCATTGCAACCTGTGCCTCCCAGCCTCAAGCCATCCTCCCACCTCAGCCTCCCAAGTAGCTGGGACTTACAGGTGTGTGCCACCATGCCCGGCTAATATTTGTATATTTTCTGGTAGAGACAGGCTTTCACCATGTTGCCCAGGCTGGTCTCTTAACTCTTGGGCTCCAGCGATCCGCCTGCCTCAACCTCCCAAAGTGCTGGGATTACAGGTGTGAGCCACCACACCTGGCCTGGTATCCTTATCTTATTCCAGATCTTAGAGAAAAAGCTTTCAACCTTTCCCCATTCAGCATGATGTTAGTTGTGGGTGTGTCATATACTGCCTTTGTTGCACTGAGGTACATCCCTTCTTTATGTAATTTGTTGAGAGTTTTTATAATAAGGAAATAATGAATTTTTCAAATGTTTTTTATGCATGTATTGAGATGATGATATGGTCTTTTTCCTTCATTCTGTTGATGTGATTTATCAGGTTTACTGATTTGCATATGTTGAAACATCCTTGCATCCCTGGGATGAATGGTACTTGATCACTGTTAATGATCTTTTTAATATGTTGTTGAATTTGGTTTGCTAGTATTTTGTTAAGGATTTTTGTACCTATGTTCATCAGGGATATTGACCTGTAGTTTTTGTTGTTGTTGTTGCATCTTTATATGCATTGTTTTAAAGGAAAATAGTTATTATCTGCCAAAATAGAGGTCTACTTCTGAATGAAACCTGTTTAAAGACATGTGTTTTTCCTGAACTATGTCTGTTTTCTTCATCTAACATTGTCTCTACCTAATACATTCATTACCATAACCAGGCTTTTCTCCCCTATACCTTTTAAGAAAACCACTACAGTTTTATCTCTGATAGGGCTACAAAAATCCACATTTGTGGAGAGCACTATGAAGATATCGTCACAACTATGCAATGAAGCAGAAATTTCCCAAAGCCTCTGTTTTCCAAATATAATTCTTAATAGTCTGGGATTTACAAGGGTTATAATAACAAACGATAAAATAAGGGAAAGAAAATAGTCTCTGGCTGAACATAGTGGCTCACACCTGTAATGCCAACATTTTGGGAGACTGAAGAGGGAGGATCACTTGAGGCCAGGAGTTCGAGACCAGCCTGAACAAGACAGTGAGACCCCATCTCTACAAAAAACTTACAAGTTAGCCAGGCATGGCAGTATGCACCTGTAGTTCTAGTTACTCCAGGAGACTGAGGCAGGAGTATCACTTGAGCCCAGGAGACTGAGGCTGCAGTGAGTCACGATCATATCACTGCACTCCAGCCTGGGTGACAGAGTGAGACTCTGTTTCTTAAAAAAAAAAAGAAAAGAAAAGAGGTGGCCGGGAACTGTGGCTCACGCCTGTAATCCTAGCACTTTGGGAGGCTGAGGTGGATGGATCACGAGGTCAGGAGATTGAGACCATCCTGGCTACCACAGTGAAACTCCATCTCTACTAAAAATACAAAAAATTAGCCAGGTGTGGTGGCGGGCGCCTGTAGTCTCTGCTACTAAGGAGGCTGAGGCAGGAGAATGGTGTGAACCCGGGAGGTGGACGTTGCAGTGAGCCGAGATCGCGCCACTGCACTCCAGCCTGGGCAACAGGGCAAGACTCTGTCTCAAAAAAAAAAAAGAAAGAAAGAAAGAAGAGGCCAGGCGCAGTGGCTCATGCCTGTAATCCCAGCACTTTGGGAGGCTGAGGCGGGTGGATCACAAGGTCAGGAGATCAAGATCATCCTGGCTAACACGGTGAAACCCCATCTCTACTAAAACTACAAAAACAATTAGCCAGGTGTGGTGGCACGCGCCTGTAGTCCCAGCTCTCGGGAACCTGAGGCAAGAGAATCACTTGAACCTGGGAGGTGGAGGTTGCAGTTAGCTGACATTGTGCCACTGCACTCCAGCCTAGGTGACAGAGCGAGACTCCCATCTCTACAAAAAAAAAAAGAAAAGAAAAGAAAAGAAAAGAATCCCTAAGTCTTACTCAAAAAAGAAACTATAAAATTAATGTTTCTTTTTTCAAATTTCAATGTCTAGCCTATTTTTTTTGTTATTCATTATCTTTTATTGTGGTAAAAGACACATAACATATTCACTGTTTAAGTGTAGTTTGTAGTGTTAAGTATATTCACATTATTGTTAATCAGATCTACAGAACTTTTTCATCTTGCAAATCTGAAACTCCATACCCATTAAAAAATGACTCCCCATTTTTCCGTCCTCTCAGCTTACTCTTTTACTAAAGAAAATCATACAGAAAAAGGCAAAAGGAGTAACTGTATTTATACTCAGTTATTTTTTCATTACTGCTAGTGACAAACTACCCATTAGTAAAACTAAGAAAGGGAACTTGAACATTTTCTACGAGTATCCAAACCTCATAATCATTACAAATTACAAAAAAATCTTTAACAGTCTCTCAAACACTAAAATAAATTTGTATGCATTTTTATTGTAATTATAAAACCAAAATTTTTCTGAAATTTGACTCTGATTGCTTTATACTTCCTGAAATTACCTCTGCAACATCAAAATTTATTTAAAGCAAAGTACTGTCACCTTTAATACACTACTGGGATGAAAACATAAAAGCGTATTCTAAAGCCAAAAACAAACTTTTAAAGAAATATACTAGCTATTATATACAAAATTATCAAAATATGAGTACAGATACATAACAAATTCTTGTTGAAGTTGAAAAAAGTTGGTTACTAATATTAACAGTTCACCAGTTACTTTTTATTATGGCCTCTGAACCTTGAATTACCTTCAATAATGAGTTACGGTTCAAAGCAGTGGGTTTTTCTGAATTGGATGACTAAGGAACATTTTATAATACAGATTTAGCATTTATTGAAAAAAATTACTCTCTTCCTTTTTCTTCCATCCTTTGTTCATTTTTATAGATAATTCTAACAGAATACAAATGTTCTGTGTAACAGATAAAATATGAACCATGAAAAACAGCCAGGGGAAAGAATACATAAAAATAAGGAGCAATAGTGAAAAAATCTACAGTAAAACAGAAACTTTTATTTCAAAATTTTAACAGGAACACTTTTCTCCTTCAGTAGGAGTCCCTCAGCTAAGGAAATTAATATACTGAAGCTAAAATACAAGATTCAATAAAACACTGACCTTAAACTAGATCTACTTAGCTGAAATTATATGAAATCAACCTAACATAATGCAGATCTCTTTAATATACAAATATGAGGTTGCTAACCTATTAACAAGAGAAAATGTTGCTTGAGGTCTTCTATTTGTTTGCTCATTTTTTGTTTGTTTTGTGATTGCCATCTACATCCTTCCTAGGCCTATGTGGGACCAAGAAGATTTTTGGCATAGCTGGGCAAAACAGAGAAATGCCATTCCAATTTTCCACCAGATTAAAAAAGAAAATTTACAACTCGCACATGACAACATTTCCAAGTATCCCTTGTTAAATCGTTCCTACTTCAATCCCCGATGGCATGCCAGGGCTGCTTTATTCCGAGGGACTCCTTACACATTGTGCACTTAGAATGGAAAAGATAAGAAAGGATAAGATATGAAGCCATCAGAAATTCAGAAGAGTCAGTCACTTTTGGCAAACATCATAGGGTTAACAGAGTTCAGCTTGATTAGGAGAGTATAATCTCTGAACAACATTCCCTAGCGGCTTTCTCTGCCTCCCTAGTGTCTCCTTGTTTCCAAAAATACAGAGGTCCTTGGAGAGGTTAAGTGTTATATCAGAACTAATTCTCTCGAGGCAGTTTGCTGACCTTGACAATCTCCAGAGTTTCCTTCCCCCCTTTTGACTCCTAGCATACTGCTCCTTTCATCTTTCCCTTCTATCTTTGCTGAAACCTTGAGAAGTAGTCATTTATAAAGAAGAGTTATTTAGCTTTCAGAGTCGAGGCCTCCAGGCTTCAGCAGCAGCTATGGAGAATTATACTTCAGAAAGTCAGTTTTAAGGTACATCCTTTCCACTGGCTCCATCTGAATGACCTTACCCACCTAGGTCTTCATGGCAGTGTTACCAATTCCCAAGAGTCTAGGAACAAGAAAAGTTCAAGGTGTCCACTCTACTGCCTTCAGAGTAGATCATACATTTGTGAAATGAATATGGATTGCATATTAATTATACTTAACTAGGTATAATGACATTTTGTTATATAAGAAAATGTCCATAATGTTTTAAGAGTTGTATACCCAGAAGTAAGTAGGAGTAAAATGACATGATGTCTGAGATCTGCTGAGCAGCTTAAAATACTTCAGCGACAAGAAGAAAAAAAGAAGATAGATGAGGCAAGTGCTACAAAATCTTTTTTTTTAATTTTATTGAGACAAGGTCTCGCTATGTCGTCAGGCTGGAGTGCAGTGGTTATTCATAGGCATGATCACAGTGCACTACAGCCTTGAGCTCCTGGGCTCAAGCAATCCACTGGTCTCAGTCTCCCAAGTAGCTGGGACTACAAGGGCATGCCATCACACCTGGCAAAAATTTTTGTTGTATTAATTTATTTTTTATTAAAGAGACAAGCTCTCAAGCTGGTCTTGAACTCCTGGGCTCAGGCAATCCTCTTGCCTCAGCCTCCCAAAGTGCTGGGATTATAGGCATGAGCCACCATGCCTGGTCTAGCAAAATCTTAATAATTACTAACTTTATATATATGTGGAATCATTCTTCTACTCTTATGTATGTTTGAAGTCTTTCACAACAAAAGAAGTTTTAACTTCCCATTACCCATTTAAAAACAATATTATTTCCGGAGGATGTAAGTGTCACTATTTTAAAACTACTTGTATTGTACATACAATATTTTTGCTTTTCACCATTTTGATTTCTGGAAAAGATTTCCTCCTGGCCAGGTTATTTAAAATGGACTCTCCAACTTATTATCAACAGTTTTACCAGAATCCAGCGAGTCTAGTCCTGTATATCAACACACGTACTTAATAAATAAGATACCAGCTTCCATTAAAAATAAATCAGCATAAAAATAATTTAGGCAAGAAGAAAGCCAAGACAACATTTAACTTCCAGTTATTTGCCGTACTAGGATTTGTTGATGGCAACTCCTGCTTCCAACTTTTTGACATTACCACCACCGTGATTTTGTTTTCAAACAGAAGAGAAAGGCTCCATTTATTACTACAAAGTTATAAAACAGAAAAGCAAAACTCCAGTGTCCCCTGGTGTACCTGCACCTCACCTCAATCCATCAGCAGAACAGGGGCCTGACAGCCAAAACCAAGCTCAACAGTTGCTAGGTCTCTGATGATTTTCATAGTATATTCTTGATTAGCAGAAGCTCTGGAAAGGCCAGGACAATCAAAACAACCAGTATCAAATGACCTTAGATGCAAAGAATCAAACCCACTGAACGTTCTGCTTACGCCTTTTGTTCCCACACTGTTTACTGATAATCTGATCATATAAACAAGGAAGGTGAGTGTCAGAAATTCCTCTTTATTCACAACTAAGTTTAAATCTAAAACATATGGAAATTTACAATCCTCAAGTCTGAAGAAAAATGAGACAAGTGGCAAGTAAATATGAAGCCATCAGAAATTCAGAAGAGTCAGTCACTTTTGGCATACATCATAGGGTTAATAGAGTTCAGCTTGATTTCCTACTCCTTGTAAGACATATACTATTGTATGATAGTAACAATACTCATAAACGAACAGCTGCTGGTGTCACAAGAACTTTAATGAGTAATTATGTTCAGAAAATTCTGACTGCTAAGAATTGTCTTCTAATTCTTCAAAAAATCATGATCCATGCATGGCATGGAGGATAATTCTTAGTTAACTAAAATAATCCATAAGTCGGCATACAGATTACTTCTTAATCTCTATATTTCTAGCATGTGAAAGATAAAAACCATAGTTTCAGTTTGATCAAATACTTCAAACAGGCCAGGTGCAGTGGCTCACACCAGTAATCCCAGCACTTCAGGAGATCAAAGCAGGTGGACTGCTTGAGGTCAGGAGTTCAAAACCAGCCTGGCCAACATGGCATAACCCTCTCTACTAAAAACACAAAAATCAGTTGGGCGTGGTGGCACATGCCTGTAATCCCAGCTACTCGGGAGGCTGAGGCATAATAATCATTGGAACCCGGGAGGTGGAGGATGCAGTGAGCAGAGGTTGCAGTGAGCCGAGATTGCACCACTGCATTCCAGCTTGGGTGACATAGTGAGACTCTGTCTCAAAAAAACAAAACGAAACAAAACAAAAACAACAACAAAAAAATACTTCTAACAATATAAAATAGAAAAACAGCAAAACTCCAAGAATTTACTATCCAGATTTAATAACTATCAATATTTATTAGCATACAACATTATTTGAGATTTTTAAAGAAGCATTACAAACGTAAACACAGGCTTTTTCTAGTTCCTTGATTCTGCCTTCTCACAAGTCTCTATAATGTTCCATTTTATTCAAAACATTCCCAAATTTCTCACATCCCAGTTCTCACCCCTTTGTTTCACAAACCCATCTTTCTCTATTAGTTCAAGACAAATTTCTTAAAAGAGTCTATACTTCCAACTTCCACTTCCCCTCCTCTTACTTATTCTATAACCTACTAAAACCTAGTTTCTGTCCACTGGTCTCCTATTCAATTCCAAGCCCTCAGAAACCTAAGACTACTTTTCAGACTCCACATTACTTAACCTGTTGGCAACACTTTCAAGCCCTCAGAAACCTAAGACTACTTTTCAGACTCCACATTACTTAACCTGTTGGCAACACTTTTTTTTTTTGAGACAGGGTCTCACTCTGTCACCCAGGCCGGAGTGAAGTGGCTCCAACTTGGCTCACTGCAACCTCAGCCTCCTGGGTTCAAGTGATTCTCGTGCCTCAGCCTCCCGAGCAGCTGCGACTACAGGCGTGTGCCACCATAACCACCTAGTTTTGTATTTTTAGTAGAGACAGGGTTTCTTCATGTTGGCCAGGCTGGTCTCGGACTCCTGGCCTCAAGCGATCCACCTGCTTTGGCCTCCCAAAGTACTGGGATTACAGATATGAGCCACTGCACCTGGCCACCTGTTGGCAATTTCTGAGTGAGGCTCACAGAGGTGGCTGTCGCCCAGCCTGAAGGTCCTCAGAATTGCAAATTACCATATTTAGATAATGGAAATCTATTGCTGGGACTTCAGCCCCAGAATTCTGGGGCAAAAGGCATCTGTAGAACTTAGTGAGCCGGGACCCACCTAGAAGGAAGTAGAGTCAGAAGGAAGAAAATGTACTTTCAGGCTGGGTACAAGAAGCTCACACCTGTAATTCCAGCACTTTGGGAAGCTGAGGTGCAAGGACTGCTTCAGCACAGGAGTTTGAGACCAGCCTGGGCAATATAGTGAGAACTTGTCTCTACCAAAAAAAAAAGAAAGTGCTTTCAACTACAACTTCAGCAAAGGGCAGAATTACTGACCAGAAACCATAGCTCTAAAGATTCTGGAAAATCCCAAAATCATGAGAAAAAGTATATGCTTTCTATTCTATTCACACAGACAAAAAGACTAAAGGAGCTACACCAAAATGTTAACAATGATTAAATCTCTGGATGTTAAGATTATGGATAGTTTTTATATTCTTCATTTTAATATTTATTTTCTACAATGAACATGCATTTTTTTTAACAAGGGTGTGTGTGTGTGTGTGTGTGTGTGTGTGTGTGTGTGTGTGTGTGTGTGTTTAAGCAAAAGGCCTGGCCTAACCTAAATGCCTGTCTCTCAGTGTAACAAAAGGTGTTGCTAGGGAGATACAGCTCTACAGAATACCGCAGAAAACCTGCAGGGAACGAGTGGGTGTTGGCAGCTTTAAAGAGGAAAGAAAAGCAGGCTGGGTGCACAGGAAAGGAGAGCTCTCACACCAGTCTGGCCTAATATAACCCAAGAAGTGCCTGGTGTTTCCCCTGGGCCTTCCAGTCAACCACCAGGTCCTTTTTATTCTCCCTTTAATGTACCACAAAGGTCTCACCACTGCTCTGTATCTCACGCTACTTTGACTCCACCAGGCACCCTGATGGTGTCTTCAGTTCCGACTCACTGACTTTCAATTCCACCTCCACATGGCTACTAGTGTCAAAACTGAAAATACGGTGGGCACCTGAAAATATTTCAATACTATTTAGAGTACAGTGTACTCTAAACCCTGAAATGTATACGATCCTCTACTTACCTTTACCAGCTGGACTGCCCAGCCCAGACACCTGGCTCCAGTTAAACTCAATACCCATAGTTCCCTGAACATCCCATGCTCTGGCTCTGTGCCTCTGTGCACACTCTTCGCTCTGCCTAGAATATGCTTCCTCACCTTATCAACCTGGCAGACTCCTACTCATCCTTTGTGCCTAGCTCAAAGGAGATATATAAAGCACTCCTAGTCAGCTGGCTGCTCCCTCTTCTGTAGGCCTTATTCATTTTCTACATAGTATCTTACAGCACTTCTTACCCTACTGGAATTATTGCTAAAATATCTGTCTACCCTACCAAACCATGGGATATTTAAGTCCTGAAACTACATATCCACATGCATCCGGAATAATTAGACACAGCAGACATTCAATAAATATTTGATGAACTAACAAATGTGTTTATTTTTACTATATTTTTAATAGATATCTCAGAAATAAATTTTAGGATCTAGAAACAGGTACTAACTGATACTGGTGACCTCTGAATGAAACCAATTCAAAGTTCGAGACCTAACTGAAAAGAAAGTAATGATTAAGACAAATATATACGGGGAAAATGGTAAGATTTCTGTCATCTTAACAGCTAAGGACATCAGAACTGTATCAATTTCGAATTAGCAACCCTCTCAAATCATACTTTGAGGATTACATATTCAGGAAGGGTTTTTGTTTTTCCTTCCATAGTGGTGGTGGCAATGGAGATGGGGCACTGCTGAATGTCTGTTAAAATGCAAGGCTAATTACAACACGTATCTTTTCTTCACAATCAAATAAGCAAGAATGGCTGATAACCAGGGAACATGGAAAATTTAAGATCAATGGCAAGAAAACAGAATCTGCACCTAATTCTCATTTCCATATATTTTGACTTTCAACGGTGCCTGCCTATTGCCTACCTGAGCTAAAGCAGGGATTGAATTTTGGCCAGTCTGAGTCTGCACATGAGCAGACTTGCTCTCTGTCAAAGAAGCTGTTATACTTCCATCATGCTGGGATTCAACTGTTTCCATGGTCATTTGTCTGAAAAGACAATAAAAAGGAAGACAAATTAAGGCCCTATCTTAAGTATTTGGAAATACAGGTTGAACATCCCTAATCCAAAAATCCAAAATCTGAAATGCTCCAAAATCTGAAACTTTCTGAGCATTTACATGATGCCACAAAAGGAAAATTCCACATGTGACCTCATGCTATGGCTCAAAACTTTGTATCCTGTACAAAATCATTAAAAATATTGTATAAAATTACCTTTAGACTATAAGGTGTATATGAAACATAAATGAATCTCGTGTCTAGACCTGGCTCTCATCCCCAAGGTAACTCATATGTATATGCGAATATTCTAAAATCCAAAAAATTCCAAATTCTGAAACAATTCTGGTCCCAAGCATTTCAGATAAGGGATACTCAACCTGTACTGTTTTTACCTAGCTTTCTAATAATCATTTCTGACATCCAATTGTACTATCTGGTTTTTGTTTTCTTCAAGAAACAGGTTCAATAGTAGAGTCCTAACTCTCTCATCTTTTCTTTTCTGCTCACTGAATATGAACATTACCAAGGGAGCACTGCAAAATGTCTCATGAAAACTACCTTATTTTAAAACGTATAAAGTCTTCCTGATCATTACTTTAACCCTGCTGTTTAGCATGAATGGCTGGAAAATTAGGTTTTCTATTTTACATGAAAAGTATAAATATTCTATGATTCTTAAGGCCTAATAAACCTGCTTTATGTTATGAGGTAGTGTGAAGGAATTTCCCCATCGTCTAAATTAAATGTATAATAATACAAAAATGTGTCTTGCTTTGTTATCACTAAGTCGTTTCTGATAAACAAGCCCCAATTATTGAAAAAAGAGGACCTAATTTTTCCAGGAAAAACTTCTGATGTGATTTGAAGTTTGTGTATGAATTCAGTTTAAGTTAGTGATTTCTATATGGACTCTTTTTAGAAGGCAAACTATATTATAATAAATTTTATCCTGTTAAAATATAAACAAAATAAACAAAACTAAAATTTAAAAACCTATAGAGGCCGGGCACGGTGGCTCACGTCTGTAATCCCAGCACTTTGGGAGGCTGAGGCGGGCGGATCACCAGGTCAGGAGATCGAGACCATCCTGGCTAACACGGTGAAACCCCGTCTCTACTAAAAATACGAAAAATTAGCCGGGCGCCACCGTGGTAGGCGCCTGTAGTCCCAGCTACTCGGGAGGCTGAGGCAGGAGAATGGCGTGAACCCAGGAGGCAGAGCTTGCAGTGAGCCGAGATTGCGCCAGTGGACTCCAGCCTGGGCGACAGAGCGAGACTCCGTCTTAAAAAAAAAAAAAAAAAAAAAAAAAAACCCAAAAAACTTATAGAAACTACTCCCTGCTGTTACACATCTTTTCAGCTGTCAATAATACAATGTTTCTTTTTCACCTTAGTCTAACTATACATCCAAAAAGTATATAGACCACTTAGATCTTTGAATTAAAACATCCAAGTTGTTTTTCCAGATTTAATTAGTTACCAGATTCTACAGATCCTTCATCTACTGTCTTTGACTTCCTACTGCCTTTTGCATTCCAGTAGCCGTTACCCAAATCCAATCCTTCCATGCTCAAACCTGTCTGCTATCATCTATACTACAGTTATTTTAATACTTATAACTGACCAGGACAATTTAGAGCAATTATACCAAAATACAAACGTCGAGCCTACCATAGAAAAATGTCTTTCCCTTAATATTGCCTAATCCTTTATCTCTTTTCTTATAACTTCCCAGAGTGGCCTCTCCAATTCTAGGTAATTATAGGTCATCATCACACATGAAGTGTTAATTCCTACTGTTATACTTTTGGTTATGTGAGCAGTTTCCAAAGAAAATACCTCAGGACATTAGTTCTGCAGGTTCTAAAAAGGCATTATCTGGGGAAAAAGGGTAGGGAAAATGCTTTGTCAAAACGTTTTAAAGATTAAAAGGGTTTCTTTCCCACAGAACATCTCAAAAGCTTCAATCTGCTAGTGTGTCTTGAGAAGGGTGAAGGGCACAGGTCCAACAGACAGCATTTTCTAAAAGTATCTGACTACCAAACAAACCCTTTTCCCACAAAGCATGCCCTAGCAGGAGTATTTTGGAAACCACCTGGGAAATGTTGTCTTGTGCTATTTTTTACACCTTTGAAAGGCAAAACCTTTCTTAAGATTCTGCAACAACTTGGGTCTCAACTCAAAAATTATATGCCGAAAGGCCTTCCCCAGTAAACTATATTTCATTCTAGAAACATTCATTTAGCATAGTCTACATGGCAGGCCCTGAAAATACAAAAGCAGATAAGTCATGGCCCTTGCCCTGATGGAATCCATTAACTACATGGTTGTTGGTTTCTCAAATTATGGTCCTTGGACAACTCGCATCAGAATTAACGAGAAGTATTTGTTGTAAAAAATGCAGAAGCTTAGGCTCAACCCCAAACCTAGTGAATCAAACTTTCTTGAGAATTTAACTTCTTATATGCAAACAATTCCAATATGTACTAAAATTTGAGAAACACAGTTTATTGGCAGGTCAGTAATTAAAGTAAATCACAAGTAAAGTAATTTCTTTTTTTTTTTTTTTTTTTTTTTGAGGCAGAGTCTCACTCTGTCAACCCAGGCTGGAGTGCAGAGGCATCTCGGCTCACTGCAACCTCTGCCTCCCAGGTTCCAGCAGTTCTCTGGCCTTAGCCTCCCACGTAGCTGGGATTACTGACGCATGCCCCCATGCCCAGCTATTTTGTATTTTTAGAAGAGACGGGGTTTCGCCATGTTGGCCACGCTGGTCTTCAACTCCTGACCTCAGGTGATCTGCCTGCCTTGGCCTCCCAAAGTGCTGGGATTACTAGGCGTGAGCCATTGCAACTGGCCGTAATTTCTTGAATCATGTGATATATGTGATCCATGAAATGCTCTGGAAAACATAAGAGAATGACCAAGTCTGCCAGAGAATGTGGTCATATGAGTCGTATATTGAAGGGTGAGTAGGATTTCACCAGGTAGAAAGGACAGGTCGACTATGAGAGGGAGGAAAGTACAGAGGATATCTGGGAAACAGAATAGGTGATTGGAGTAGAAAATCTGGGTGAGGGAAAGGGGGATAATTAGATTTAGTGGGGAAGAGACAGAGTAGGACTGGTACAAATAGGGCTGGAAAGGCTGCATGGAATTAAATTAGGAATAATACCTTTTTTTTTTTTTTTTTTTTGAGACAGTGTCTTGCTCTGTCACCCAGGCTGGAGTGCAGTGGCGCGATCTGGACTCACTGCAACCTCCGCCTCCTGGGTTCAAGCGATTCTCCCGCCTCAGCCTCTCAAGTATCTGGGATTACAGGCACGCGCCACCACACCCGGCTAATTTTTTTTATTTTTAGTAGACACGGGGTTTAACCATGTTGGCCAGGCTGGTCTCCAACTCCTGGCCTCAAGTGATCAGCCCGCTTCAGTCTCCCAAAGTGCTAGGATTACAGGCATGGCCACCATGCCCAGCCTGGAAGTTACAACTCAATAACTGATATTTATAATAACTATCCTGAGTCATGAAAAAAAGGCTAATTATGTTCAGTATACTTTAAGGACAGAGGGGTACACACTGTAGAATCCAAGAAGTCTCCCATCAAAAAAAAAAAAAGTTTTAATGATTAAAAAGATAAACTATTCAGGCCTCAATTTTTGAGATATGATAAAAGACAGATTTCAAAATGTTTTATACATGAAAATGTCTTGATAACGTACCATCTCATGCAATCATCTTAACTGGTCCATTTTTCTCTGGGGGCATTTCCCAGAGAGTTCAGTCCTTTGCCCTTTTCCCTTTGTCAATACTACAGAATTTTCCAATACTATGAATACTATGGTTTCTTCAATCCTATATGCAGATGGCTCCCAAATCTGTATTTACACACACCTCCCTCCTACTGAGCATCTCAACCTGGGGTTTTCATGGACACCTGACCCCTCTCTTTTATTTCTTCTTTTAGTCAAGAGTATCATCATCCATTCAGGCTCCAAAGCTAGAATCGTGTGTCTATATATAATCAGTCAGAATGAGATCAACCACAAAAAGCAACCCCACAAAGCTAAACATCAGTCAGGATACCATGAGGCGTTGAGCCTTAGGGAGAAAGGCAGAGATGGAAGGTCAGCAGCCATCCCAACTCCTCCTCCTTACCATAATTTAGCACTGGGCACTGTCCACTGTAACCTCCCATCACCACACTGGACAAAGCAGTTGAGCTGCTGTTCCACACAGTTGCTGCTATCCACTCTGAAGACAATAAATCACAGACAATGGGCCTTTTCCTAAGCCACAACTAAACTTCAATGCCCCTGCACCCATGCCAGAATCACACTCAAATCACTAAGATATAAGCTCCTTCCATATTTCATCTTCACTCTCATAACTAGTGCTTCCTTTCCCTCCATAATACAATCCCTCACTCCTGTTCTCCTTCCAAATTCCAGCAATATGCTATCTGGAACTCCCAAAGCCTCTCTGCTGTCCTCTCAAGAGAGTACTGCTCATCTTCCCACACCCAATCAAGGTCAGCATGTTGACTGGCCATCTGCTTTGTTCCCCACTGTTGCTTCCCACCTGTACCTCCTTTACTCCCTCGTAAAAACCCTTGTTCAACTGAGGCTCAAGGTCATCAGGTGTACCATCCTGAACCCATCCATAAGATAATCATCTACTCACCTCCAGGATGTAAACTGAAGACTCTGGCCCCTGATGTAAAAGCTTTCCTCTTCACCATTCTGTCTATGTTCAACACTCAAAAGAAGACCTATCCCTTACCCAGATGCCTCAGATCAATGACTTACTTTATGCCACTTCAGCTATCTACTGGAGTGTCTGGCCACACCCTGGACATTGCCAATGTGCAAATTGGTCCAGCTCTGAAAAAATTAATTCCAACATTCCACTCTGCCTACAACATCCTATCCTCCCATCTTACCCTCTCCCTTGACCACTCCCATCACACTTGTTATTCCAACACACTGAGATCTCCACACCACTTTCTCTCTGCCCATCTGCCTCCCCCTTTCTTCACTTCCCACCCTATTCAGCTAACATGGCTTCTCATTTTAATTACTGTTTCCCAGCCCGGCACGGTGGCTCACGTCTGTAATCCCAGCACTTTGGGAGGCCAAGGCAGGCAGATCACGAGGTCAAGAGTTAAAGACCAGCCTGGCCAACATGGTGAAACCCCGTCTCTACTAAAAATACAAAAATTAGCCAGGTGTGGTGGCAGGCGCCTGTAATCCCAGCTACTTGGGAGGTGGAGGCAGGAGAATTGCTTGAACCTGGGAGTTGGAGGTTGCAGTAAGCCAAGATTGTGCCATTGCTGTATATTCTTAGTAAGTACCAATCTTGGATAAAACCAACTCTTCATCTCCTCTATGCCTGCACCAAGGCAGATGAACAATACTGAATGAAATTATAAGACAGAATAAGCTATTGAGGCCAAGCACAGGGGCTCACGCCTGTAATCCCAACACTCTGGGGGGCCAAGGCAGAAGGATCACATGAGCCTAGGAGTTTGAGACCAGACTGGGCAACATAGTGAGACCCCGTCTCCACATAGAAAACAAAAAAGTTAGCTGGGCGTAGTGATGGGCACCTGTAGTCCCAGCTACTCAGGAGGGTGAGATGGAAGGATCACTTGAGCTCAGGAGGTCAAGACTGCAGTGCGCCATAATCGTGCCACTGCACTCCAGCCTGGGTGACAGAGCAAGACCCCATCTCTAAAAATATAAATATAGCTATTAAATTCTTGGTTTTCAACCTCAAATGGGCGGCAAACTGATGGAGTTTGCCTCCTTGGCTTACTACTCTCCCATTCTCAACAACTGTTTCAAATGTTCTCCCTCTTCTCAATCCCTGCGTTTCTATACTGACTGCATTCAATGAAAGCCCTTGCCTCCTGTCTCTAATGAGAACTCCATCAACTTCCCACAACCAAATCAACAAAGCTATTGACATCTACACTCACCATGTTCCCTTGCCTCCTGCCTCCTCCCTACTCTTAAAATACCTGTATCTGTTGTTTGGAGCCCATGCCCCAGGGGATTATACTATCAATTATTCTCTCCCCCTCTAACAGTTTTTTCCTGTAAAGACTTAAACACATTCACGTCTCTCCCATCTCACAACTTATACACATAGCCACAAATCCACTGGATCAGAAATCTCTCGAGCTATTCCCTTGAACCTCTCTTCCCCTTCTCACTGCTGAAATATTTGAAAGAATTGCCAACACTACTATCTCCGTTACTTCACATCCCACATACTCCTAGATACCCCCAAGTTTAGAGAGGTTTCTACCTCTAAAACGTCTCTAGAAATGGTAACTAATCTCTGTCACTAAATCCAACGTACATTTTAAGTCCTACCTTTTGTTTGATCCCTCAGCAGCATTCAAACCGTTGACAACATCTTCCTTCTTGAACACTGTCTCAGCGTTCTGATACTACATTTTCCTCTTCTCATCTGATTCGCTGACAATTCCTCCACAAGCTCCCCTGACAATTCCTTCTCTTCCTCAATGTTAATCTTCAACATGGCATGTCTTCGGGACTCTGCTTAGCTTTCTTGCCTCACTCTCAAATCTCTCCCTACTTCATATGGTCTGTTTCTCTGGATTCAAGTGCCAGATTTAAACCCATGACTCTAGGCCAGACGTCTCTTCTCAATTCCAAAATCCAATATGCAAATCCCTGTTTAACATCTCCAAACACATGTCCTGCAGGAACCTCAAAATCAGTGGGTCCAGAACTAAACTCCTCTTCTTCCTCCACAAACTTTCTACCCGAGTTCCCTATCTCAGGAAATGGGACCCCATCATCCAACGAGTTGTTCAAGCCAGAAACCCCTGAAACTCCCTCTCTGTCATTCCACACAGCATCATCACCAGGTATGATGATTCTACCTTCTAAAGAACAATTAAGTCTCCTTCTCTACCTTTCCACAGCCACCACTCTAACTCCTGGCTCCAATCCATGCCAATAGTTATGTTTCTAAAACATGTATTTCTGCTTAAAATACTTCTTTGCTTAAAACTCTTCAGTAGCTTCCTATTGACTACAGGATAAAATCCAAACTTCTAATTCTCATAACTATAACCATCATTTATTGAGAGTTTACCATGTGGTAAGTGCCTGGTAGTTTTGATTAACAACTCTATAAGATCACTATCATCAGTTCTTCCAGCCTGGGCAACAGAGTGAGACTGTCTCAAAAAATAAAAAATAATTAGTTCTTCTTTTAGAAATAAGGAAAAGGAGACTCAGGGAGGTTAAGAATTTGATCTTACCATGAACGTATTAAGTGGCATAGCCAGGTTTTCAACCAAGGTCTTTTTCCAAAGTCCATACACTCCATTACTAAACCACACTGCCATTCAATCTCTTTCACAATGTGACCCATTTTAGTCCTACAGCCTTATCTCCAGTCCCTCTACTCTTTCCAACACGCTGCATGCCAGCCTCCTAATCAGACATTTTTTCAAGTACATATCTTACTCTCCCAGTTTTAATCTTTTACATCTAATCTCCCCTCTTCCTGAAATGCCCTTTACCCTTCTTTGTCCAACTGGCAAATTCTCACTAGTCTGTCAAGGCCTGGTTCGAGGACACCAACTTTCAAAGGCCTATTCTAATAGCCATGGGCAGAATTAGTTATTCTCTTTTGAGTTCCCAAAGCATTTACAAGTCTGTTATAACACTTGTGTAGCATATAATACATGTATTCACACACCAGCGTGAGCAACTCAGGGACAGGGATCCCATCTTATAGATTTCCATGCATTCCCAGTGCCTAGTACAGTATATGCTAAATAAACCAATTAATCAATTATCCTGGAAGACTGTGCAACTGTCAGGTGTTATTATAATAATAAAAATAACGTTCAGAGAGATTAAGGGACTTTTACAGGGAACATAATAGGTAGCATGATGAGGGATGAAAAAGAGGTGTTGTGACTGTGACTCCAGGGTTCCTTCCACAGCCAGTGCCCTGCGAATTACAGTTTGGACAACATTTTACGATGATGATGTGTTTTGGAGTATGCTGCAATTGTTGTCGCAATCTCACTCAGATATGCTTTCTCTTTCATACCAAATGTATGGACTGTAATTTTATTCCATTTGTATTCTGCCAGAGTACCTAGCACGGTGTTCAGTTCATGCCGTTTAGTACAAGTTTGATACTAAAATTATTTTTTTGAAGGTAAAAATCATCTACAAAAAAGGTCAACACTAGCAATTTAAAATAGATATGCTATTTCAAGCCAGTTTATTCTGCAGATTTATATCCAAATCTGCAGATTTATGCCCTCCAGTACAACCTCCTAAACCCACTAAAACCCAACTCCTATACAGGACTCAGTGCAGAAGATTCAACTAACATTTCAGTGCTCAACATGGGTCAAGCACTGTACCAGGCATTTTTCAGGCACTATCTCAGCAGAAATGCAGGACCCCAAACTCAGCTGTAAATGATGTACATACAACATTAACATCTATAAATCAGCCACAGCTGCTCCAGATAGAATTTATAGAGTCCATTATAATCTTACATTATTCACTATATAATTTATAGCTAAATACATTAAAATTGAAGAGATGTCTCATAGAACATATTTTCCCAAATCTCACCTTCTGTATTAAACATAGTTGTGATAATATTAAATAAACATAGTTGTACTAAAACTAATAGTCTTTAATTAACTATGTAGTATTTTAATCTTAAACAATAATCCTTTTTAGAGAGAAAAGAACCAATGGGCAATTATGAATTACAAAATAATTAAAAATAAAAACATGTAAGGATAAAACAATAAAAACGAAAACAAACAAGTCCACTAAGCACTATAAATTAACAACAAGCAAAATACTGGCAAATATTTGGTTCCACAATTCTAAAAAACAGGTAAAAATTTGCTAAAATGGTGGCTGGGCATGGTGGCTCATGCCTGTAATCCCAGCACTTTGGGAGGGCTAGGCAGGTGGATCACCTGAGGTCAGGAGTTTGAGGCCAGCTTGGTCAATATGGTGAAACTCCATCTCTACTAATAATACAAAAATTAGCTGGGTGTGGCGGCACGCACCTATAATCCCAGCTACTCGGAGGCTGAGGCACAAGAATCACTTGAACCTTGGAGACAGAGGTTGCAGTGAGCCAAGATTGTGCCACTACAATCCAGCCTGGACACAGTGACACTGTGTCTCAAAAAAAAAAAAAATTGCTAAAATGGAGATATTTAAATTTACAAACAACTAATAATAGCAGGATTATTTTCTTTTGAAGTTAAATATTTCTCTGAAATCTCCTTTATATTATTTAGCAAACTTTGATAGAAAAGCAAATATTATCCCAACCTGTTTTGAATATACTGGGATCCAAATTAATAAAATATTAATATATCTATTGTTTTTTTAAAAAATAGGACCCTCCATTAAAACAATTTTTTTTCTAAGAGACAGGATCTTGCTATGTTACCCAGGCTGGTCTTCTTCCCTTTTCTCTTTTTTTTTCCCCAGGCTGGTCTTTAACACCTGGCCTCAAGCAATTCTCCTACCTTGGCCTCTCAAAGTGCTGGGATTACAGATTAAGCCACTGCACCCGGCCTAAAAAAAATTTTTTTTAGTAATAAATTGTTTTAATATAAAATTAAAAAAATTAGCCGGGTATGGTGGCACCCTGTAATCCCAGCTACTCAGGTGGCTGAGGCAGGAGAATCCCTTGAACCTGGGAGGCAGAGGTTGCACTGAGCCAAGATTGTGCCATTGCACACCAGCCTGGGTAACAGTGAGACTCTGTCTCCAAAAAAAAAAAAAAAAAAATTCTAAAATTTTAGTTGTATCCAATTTTCAAAGACAAATTACATTGCAGAGGAAGTGCACTACCCTTGAAAAAATTTTTCATCTCTTCTAAAAATAGAATCCAATTGGAAAAGGAAGTTATTAAAGTTGTTTCTATTATTTTAAATAACTTTACAAAAAGTGGAAAATCAATTTTCTCTTTAGGACTACATCCAACTAACGAAACAGAATGTCTCTGAAAGTAATCAAAAGAAAACTTGAAAAATTCTATTTGGATATTTTTAAAACGTTGGTAGAGACTTTCTTCTGTTTTATAAGGTTAAGTACAAGTATGGCCGAAAGGCCGGGAGGAAGAATAAAACCCTGGGGATTCTTCGAATTCTACAATTCCACTTAACTATCGACATCCTCATATTGGTCTACTTTCTAAACGAAAAGACTAGTACTTAGCATAAGTCAACTGACATACCGACACATCTCCTACAGTGCCCAGCATGGTACACAGTAGATGGTGCCTTAAGTGAATGGCTGAATAATTTGAGTATATATTATAATAGAATATATATACATACATACATGTATGTGTACATCTATATATCAATTTATTCATCATGAACTTTAAGCTAAGTAGAATTTTCAAAAGAACAGAAAAACGTACATCTACCTACCTTGGATTTGTCTTAATATATTTTTTCCTTGCACATTTGCTCATTGTTAAGATATTTGTAATCAATGCTTTCCTCCTTTCCTGTTTTCTTTATTTATCCTGCAGTAAAATTATAATGTTGAATTGGGAGATCGTAACATTTCACTTCAAAAACTCTCAAATTAAATTTTATTTAAATTAAAACCTCTCAAAACAAGGCCAGGAAGAATATTCTAATTTCTATAAAACTAAAAATAAAAAATAACTCCCCCCCACCAAAAAAAACCAAAAGACTAGAAAGCTAAAAACAGCCCTGTACGGTTTTTTGTCAATCTTACTTCTACTGTATTTTTCTTATCTTCCTAGGGAAAAAAATTGACAAAACTTAAATGATAAACTATTTTTCTGATTATTTTCTACTGAAGAGAAAGCAGTGCTATCTAAATCATCTAATACTAAGTATAGCTCATAGGTATCAGCTCTATTTTTAAGAAGTTAATGATCACTTAATAAAATTAATGAATTTATTATTTCCTTATATTTCACTCCAATGCAAAAAAGTTTTCATTTACCTTAAATTCCAACTTGGGTTTTTGTTAAAAAATTAAACTCCAAACAAAATAAGTTTATTCAAAACGTCCTTCTGATAGCCTTCAATCCATTAAAAAACCTAGTTTAGACACTGTAGCAATTAAACTCTCTTTATTTTTTACTAATATCTTTAAAAATATATATTTGACATGTGGAAAGAAGTAAAACTGGCAAAGAAAAAGACAAAAGAACATTTGAGCCAGACATGGTGGCTCACACCTGTAATCCCAGCACTGCGGGAGGCTGAGGTAGCAGGTTTGCTTGAATCCAGGAGTTTGAGACAAGCCTTGGCAACACAGTGAGACCTTGTCTCTACAAGAAAACTGACCAGGTATGGTGGCACAGGCCTGGACTCCCAGCTACTCAGGAGGCTGAGGTGGGAGAATCACTTGAGCGCGGAAAGTTGAGGCTGCAATGGGCCATGTTTGCACCTCTGTACTCCAGCCTAGGTGACAGAGCAAGACCATTCACAGACCTAAACTCTTTTGAGACAGAGTCCCAAAAAAAAAAAAAAAAAAAACTGAGAGTCCTTAATTTCTTTTAGAGCTGGAGAAAACAATCGTGCTCATCCCTAAGTAACCTCTAGATACCTCTGCCAGCAACAGCAGTGCTTAGACAGACACATTGCTTTCAGAGTTCCCTCCTAAGGGTTCTTCTAAATGATGTCATATAATCCTGGTCAAATTTGGAACTGTAGGCAGCAGGCAGGTTTATCAAACCTCACTAAGGGCACTAAGGCGATGGTTACTACTGCTACCATGTGCCCCCAGCATAGGGACAAGAGACAGTAGGGCATTTGAACAGGCTCCTCACAAGAGGAACAAAAAGCAGAACTGATGCCATTCTGACATCAAACCTCATTGTATGCTACACTAGCATTTTACGTAGGGACATCTTATGCTCCTTAACAACTGTATAACCCATTAGATGCCACCCCCTCATACTAGACACTGGGGCACTGCAGGAGACAGCTCTCCAGGAGCCTGCAATCTAAAGGCGGGGGCAGATATGTCAACAAAATAATAATAGCACTTGAACAATAATGATAATCACAGCACTATATCATAGAAAAAAGGCCAATTTCTGTATTTCACTTGGAAATGTTTTATTTGCTGAATAAGTAATACATTCTTGTGGTTCAAAACTTTAAAACTAGAAAAAGGTATTCAGAGAAGTCCAGGAACAGCCGCCCGCTTCCTCTTCCTAGAGGTAACTAGCACTGAAGAAAGCACCAACTTCCGGCCATGGGAGCCACAAGATACCAAAGAGAAAAACTAGCCTCATACCCGAATAATGACAAGATAAACTTGACCCTGACTCAGGATGATCAGAGACTTACTTCATTCCAACTATTCTCCACAAGGTCACCAATGAACGCTTGCCTGCTTGCCAAATCTAAAAGGATGCTTTCTAGTCCCCATCTTCCTCAATACCCCTACAGCATTTCCCCCTCTATTTGAAACTTTGTCCTCTTTGAATTCTTTATGACATTACTTTCATGCTTTTCTTCCAAATTATCTAGCCTTTTGTTCTATCTTCTTTGTCTCATTTTTTTTTAATGTCTCTCTTTTTTTTTTTTTTTTTTTTTTCCAGAAATAGGTATCACTATGTTGCCCAGGTCTCAAATTCCTAGCTTCAAGCAATCCTCCCACCATAGCCTCCCAAAGTGTTGGGATTACAGGCATGAGCCACTGTACTCAGCTCTCCAGTTATAATTTCTAAGCAGATCTCCTTATACCTAAACACCCAAAGGATACTGATATATCCTGTATACTACCAATCTACCAACTTTCTTTTTTCGGGGGGTGGTGGGCATTCTGGCAAAAACCGGAGAGCCTGCTAGACAAATTCTAAGAGCTGTAACACTTATATACTACCGATTTTCTACAGGAATAATTTTCTACAGGAATAAATTAAAACACATAATAAATTAAAACACTTATATACTACCAATTTTCTACAGGAATAATTTAAAAGTCCCATCTGCCAAGGGACTCTTAAGCTTTAGCTTTTAGAGCAGAAAGGCATATTTTAGATTAGTTTGTTATAGGCAAGTAATAACTTATAAGAAGAAATGAGACCCAAAATTATTTTGCCTGGTTATGGATTTCTCTGCCATATTTTGAAGGCCATCTAACACACTGATAAAAACTTTATTAGGTATGATTACAAAAACAACAGTTGGCATTCACCTTACTTTCACCAGTATGTTGCTCCATTCACCCTGTGGTGCAACAGCTTCAATTAATTTTTCTTTCCTTTTTTTTTTTTTTGAGACTGAGTCTTGCTCTGTCGCCCAGGCTGGAGTGCAGTGGCACCATCTCAGCTCACTGCAAAATCCACGTCCCAGGTTCAAGCAGTTCTCATGCCTCAGCCTCCTGAGTAGCTGGGATTACAGGCGCATGCCACCATGCTCGGCTAATTTTTGTATTTTTAGTAGAGATGGTGTTTCACCATTTTGGCCAGGCTGGTCTCGAACCCCTGACTTCAAGTGATCCGCCTGCCTCGGCCTCCCAAAGTGCTGGGATTACAGGCTTGAGCCATCATGCCAGGCTCAATTTCACTGCTGTCGGTATCCTTCAATATATAGCTTTCTATACAAATGATATTTAAAATATGTTGATTATGCTATAAAGGACATTTTGGGAACAAATGGTGAAATCTGAATATGGGATTATATATTACAGAGAGGGTAATAAAGCAAATGTTGGAAAATGCTCATATAATATAAGCAAACAAATACAATATGCTGATAGAGAAAAGATAGTATTAAATTAACACTTAAAAATGTTGAGGCCAGGCGCTGTGGCTCACCCCTGTAATCCCAGCACTCTGGAAGGCTGAGGCGGGCAGATCGCCTGAGGTCAAGAGTTCAAGACCAGTCTGGCCAACATGGCGAAACCCTGTCTCTACTAAAAATACAAAAAGTAGCCAGGCGTGGTGGCATGCGCCTGTAATCCCAGCTCCTTGGGAGGGTGAGGCAGGAGAACTGCTTGAACCCAAGAGGCAGAGGTTGCAGTGAGCCAAGATCGCGCCCCTGCACTCCAGCCTGGGCAACAGAGCGAGACTCTCATTTAAAAAAGAAAAAATTACAAAAATGAGCCAGCATGGTGATGTGCACCTATAATCCCAGCTACTCTGGAGGCTGAGGCAAGAGAATCACTTGAACTCAGGAGGCGGAAATTGCAGTGAGCCGAGATAGCACCATTGCACTCCAGCCAGGGCAACAGAGCTGTCTTGAAAAAAAAAAAAAAACAAAAAACTTTTACCTGCTGTGGTTAAATTAATACCTTAATGTAACTTTTCTGGAAAAACTAGGTATATATAAGAATTAAACTTCTTGGGCAAGTTTACTAGAATACCAAAGTTTACTTAACCAATTTCCAGCTCTCCATATTAACAGTGTTCTCCACTCCTGTGAAGCCTACAGTATAGCTAATGCCCACCACAGTTCTCTAGTGTGCCCAGGCACTTATGTTCACTCCAACAGGGAGGGGTGCTTACCAAGAGTTAGTTGTGTTTGTCACCAAACCTGATTGTGCCAGCCACACTTGTTGCAATTTTGTAATTTTGTTAAACTGTACATTAGATGAAATGACTAAGTAGATTAAATGATTCAAAAAGAGAACTGTTTCTCTGAAGACTAAGTTGAATGCTTTGGAAAGACAATAAACACAGTTTTGCTTTTTCTGCTTTAAAACAAACTGCTTTTGGACAGGCGCCATGGCTCACGCCTGTAATCCCAGCATTTTCGGAGGCCAAGTTGAGTGGATTACATGAGGTCAGGAGTTCGAGACCAGCCTGGCCAACATGGTAAAACCCTATCTCTGCAAAAAATACAGAAATTAGCCAGGCACGGTGGCAGGCACCTGTAATCCCAGCTACTTGGGAGGCTGAGGCAGGAGAATCTGGGAGGCGAAGGCTGCAGTGAGCCGAGATTGCTCCATTGCACTCCAACCTGGGTGACACAGTGAGACTCTGTCTCAAAAAAAAAAAAAAAAATCTGCTTTTGGACTAGATATTACAATTGGAGATAACTATGACTTACGGGAAATATTAAATTAAGAATTCTTTATAAGACACTTGCCAAACAATCTAAGTTCTTACTCCACTTTCAAAAACCCAAAAATGTAAACTGTAAATTATGCATTATTGAGATGGTTTCTAAAAGAAAGGCTAAAAAAGAAAAAGAATAAGAAAACCTGAAAGCACTGCAACTAGCATACTCAAAAGAAAAAGAAAAGAATGTGGAACAAAAGGTATCATACCTTTTACAGAAGCAGGAAGAGAAAGAGAACAGAGAAATACAATCTGTTTATTTGGTTCTGTGATGAAGCAAGGTTTTAGTTCTTTGCAAAAGTAGATATCCATAGGTTAACTGTAATTTAAGTAGCAAGAGCAATAAAGTTTGAAAGATAAAGGAGAATATGAAGCTCATATTGTAAAGTTGGTCCTTCTCAACCAAGTCGATTAAAAAATTAAGAGAAGGTGGGACTAGTTATAAGAGAAATAATTCCAAACAGCCATATAGCTGCAATTGACGGGGATGAGACTATGGTTATGCATTTTAGGGGAAGATGAGTACAGGAAAAACAATGGGAGAAAGCAGTACCATGAAATTACACCATTGGTCTTATACTCTTTATGAAGCAAAGTAACAGTAACTTTCAAAAAATAATCTTTACGCTTTCATGTAAAAACAGAATAGCCAAGAGGGATACTCGTAAATAAATATTCCAAACACTTGTAAATGTCTTTAATATTTCAAACATGAATTATACATAAATTCACGAGGCTCTCTAATATAGATTCACGGCTACTCCAATTTAATTGCCTGAGACACCTGTTATTATTTAAGTAATCTTAACTCTTTACTAAAATCACTAAAGGACTAGCTATTCAGTAAGTGTCTCTTTTTCAATTCATTTCCCACATGCTGCCTGCTTTTGGCCATTTCACAGTAAATGAACTACAGAATGGGCTGCTGAGGAGGAAATGAAAAGTGAAATTCAAATAATCATGGCCTGTCTCCATCCTTTCAAACACCTCCCTCCCCCGCCACCACCACTTCATGTGAAACCAATTTTTTTTTCTTTTTTTTTTTTTTTTGAGACTCAAGTCTCGCTCTATCACCCAGGATGGAGTGCAGTAGCACGATCTCGGCTCACTGCAACCTCCAACTCCCGGGTTCAAGCGATTCTCCTGCCTCAGTCTCCTGAGTAGCTGGGATTACACGCGCGAGCCACCATGCCCAGCTAATTTTTGTATTTTTAGTAGAGACGGGGTTTCACCATGTTTGGTCAGGCTGGTCTCCTGATTTGCCCGCCTCGGCCTCCCAAAGCACTGGGATTACAGGCGTGAGCCACCGCACCCGGCCAATGTGAAACCAAATTTTTAAACTTTTGAAGGAGTTACTTGCTTGACTAGAATCACTGTAAGGTTGTTTTGTTTTGTTTTCAATAGCATGCTTCTTTACTGCACATTAAGTACATCTGAAAACACATATCTACGTATTAAGTATAAATGTATTAACTACTAGATAGTAAATCTGACAAAGGAGATAAACTACCTGAATTAGCTTAAGATCAGAAAAAAGAATTTTACCATTATTTTACTTACCTAGATTGGTCCTATCTTACACATCTGAACAAAACCTGTATCTTTCTAAGTGCAGAAACATGCCTAATTTTACTCCTCCAGAAATTTTAAGAGTAAAAACATTCCAAGCACCCATATTCAGTAATGTGGGTCTTTATGTGTGATACAGTTGTCATAATTCCAAAGTGGATACTTTCACCATAATCAGTGCTAAGATATAAATTCCAGTTAAAAACATTTCTAAGCCAAAAAAAAATCATTTTTTGTGCTATCAATAAAAAAATTGAGATTAAGAATATAAACAAAACTATCTGCTATTTTGCTATTCTAAGTTGGATGATTTAAGTCTGCTATGTTTAAAAAAACACACAAAAAAAAACCTTTACTAAGATAACTTTAAAGACACTGAGTTTATTTTGTGAAATTCTCAGGGAAAATATTAGCATCACATTAGCTCCACTCTTAAACGTTCACAGGATTTTATTAGTATCTTGATATTTAAATGGCCTGGTTATACTACTGTTTAGAAAACATGCACAAAGATGTTTCTCATTTGTGGAGATCTGAGAGGCTTCAAAAAAGTCTGACAAGAGGATGAGTTGCTAGTAAGGTTTTCTTAGAGGTAAGCATCCTTCCTGACCAACGAGATGGTTATTTAAGCAGTCTTTAAGCAAAACTACCATATAGTTTTATAGCCTATGCATTTCCTCTACTTATAAAAACTACTTCACACACACGTTGCCAGTAATTTCCTCTATCACTCCTAGGAAGGCCTGTCATGAAATGTGCAAATAGATATCATTTTACTTTGTAAACCTTGCTATAACTGAATTAGTTATGCTTCACTTAATAATGGGGATACATTCTTAGAAATATTAGGCAACTTCATTCTGCGAACATTGTAAACTGCTCTTAAACAAACCTAGATGGCACAACCGACTACACACCTATGCCAAATGGGATAGCCTGTTGCTCCTAGGCTACAAAACCTGTACAGCATGTTACTGTACTATATACTGCAGACGATTAGAACACAGTGGAATGTATTTGTGTGTCTAAACATACCTAAACATAGAAAAGGTAATACTCTGCCCTCTGACATTAGGACAGCTAGGACATAACTAGGTAACAGGAATTCTTCAGCTCCATTATAATCTTATGGGATATATGTGGTCCATCATTGAACAAAACATCATTATTCAGTGCAGTAAGACTTAAGGCATTTCCATAAGTAGTATCAAGAAAAATTTCCACTAATGATATCCTTAGGTTTTCTTCTTTGTTCTTGCTTATTCTCTACTGGATATACAGTATCAGAAAATGAAAACCTATGAGTAAAAGCATTTATTCTTAAGAACAGCACAGTCTTTATTGTGGAGTTCCCATTGCAAAAGACATTTAAAATGTATTGTCTAAAAGGAGATTATTAACATAATTATTTAAAATGTTCATTTCTACCTATTGTGTAATGAGATACATTTTTCCAAAAAAAATTTTTTTTTTTTTTTTTTTTTTTGAGACTGAGTTTGGCTCTTGTTGCCCAGGCTGGAATGCAATGGCTTGATCTTGGCTCACTGCACCCTCCGCCTCCGGGGTTCAAGCAATTCTCCAGTCTCAGCCTCCCAAGTAGCCACAATTACAGGCATGGGCCACCATGCCCGGCTAATTTTGTATTTTTAGTAGAGACGGGGTTTCTTCATGTTGGTTAGGCTGGTCTTGAACTCCTGACCTCAGGCGATCCGCCTGCCTCAGCCTCCCAAAATGCTGGGATTACAGGCGTGAGCCACCATGCCCGGCCTAAACTGGATTTTTAAGTTCCTGTGTTGATAATATCAAAACTGTATTCAATGTACAATAATAACTATTTTCAAAGCTGACTTTTACATATGGAATCCATCCATTTACTTAAGTAGAAACAATAAAATTCGGTATTTCAGGCTTATTTCCTTATCAATCAATGTTGGTAAGGAAATATAAAAATATCAATGGTTGTAAAACTGCTCTAAAAAATAACGTCTCTCAATCGTTCAGCTATTAAGTGTTTGCACTGTTCAGTTTTATTTTAAGAAGTCTATCTAAAAGGAACAGGACATTTGAGAGCTTTTCAGTAAGAACATCCACTTAAACAATAAACCTAGCTCAATCTTCTGGCCCAATACTTAATTTGCAGGGAATACAACTTGGGAGAAAAAGGATCAGAAATATATGTCTATGTTGGTAAAGATTCAGTCAGGATTCCTTATATATGTTAATAATTCAAAACTCTTCCCTACTTTTCATGAAATGGTCATAACCCTAAGCAAGATTTTGTATTTTGATTAGGCAGTGACTCACCTGAGTAGGAAACTGGAATACAGCCTATTAACTATGGATTCCAGAGTTTAAAATTCAGGAAGAAGAAGTAAATTTCATTAACTTTCAGGGACAATGCAAAAACAAAAAGACTAAAAATAAAAATGTCCTATGTTTACGCATTCAATAAAAATTTATTCATATACTGTCACCAAAATATGTACACAAAACATCACCGTAATTACAACTTCGCAATCACCAAAATGATTCCATATCCATCACCAATTCACTGGGAAAGTAAGTGTTATATTCATCTATTTACAGATTCGCCAAAGTTGTGTGAATACTGACAATGCTTTAAGTGTTTACTCATTCAGGATCAAAACCATTTTAATATATTTGTTAAAGCTGTGTTGGGATCAATACATAGTTCTTTAAACATCAGTTTTAATACTTAGCATTTATTGGCCAAAACATATTGTGTGCAATTTGCCTTCCTTTGGGAAAAAAATTACTTTAGATTGAAAGACTTTAAGACTACTATGACTTAGGAAGGGAAAGTTTATCCAAAAAAAGAATCAAGACTAGGAAAAAAAGGCCGGGAGCGGTGGCTCATGCCTGTAATCCCAGCACTTTGGGAGGCCGACGCGGGCGGATCACGAGGTCAGGAGATCGAGACCATCCTGGCTAACACTGTGAAACCCCGTTTCTACTAAAAATACAAAAAATTAGCCAGGCGTGGTGGCGGGCGCCTGTAGTCCCAGCTACTCAGGAGGCTGAGGCAGGAGAATGGCGTGAACCCAGGAGGCGGAGCTTGCAGTGAGCTGAGAGCGGACCACTGCACTCCAGCCTGGGCGACAGAGCGAGACCCCGTCTCAAAAAAAAAAAAAAAAAGACTAGGAAAAAAACGTGGCGCTCAAAGCAAAAAACAAAAAAACAACAAATAAAAAACAGCGTGGTTTATTCATGTAATCTGATGCAATGTTCACAGCGGACCTCTCACTGTTCAATCTAGATCTTTGTTTCAAGGGAAAGGTACACCCTCATCTGCCCGGCAAATTAAGTAGAAAGGAAACTGAGTCACGTACGTAAGCCACAGTGTTAAAGGAGCTCTTTCAATTTCAGTGACACTTTGAGACTGGCCCTGTAAGTCCCAATTTCTTAAAATGTGATTACAAACTCACCGCTGCTTCACTGAGCAGCATGCAGGAAACCCCTAAGTGATTTCAAACTCAGGTATCTGATATACAAATAAAACGCAACAGGATCAAGAAACATGCTGAGGCCAGGCGCGGCGGCTCACGCCTGTAATCCCAGCACTTTGGGAGGCCGAGGTGGGTGGAAGGTCAGGAGTTCGAGACCAGCCTGACCAACATGGTAAAACCCCATCTCTACTAAAAATACAAAAATTAGCAGGCGTGGTGGCGCATGCCTGTAATCCCAGCTACTCGGGAGGCTGAGGCAAGAGAATCGCTTGAACCCAGGAGGCAGAGGCTGCAGTGAGCCGAGATCATGCCCCTGCATTCCAGCCTGGGTAACAGCAAGACTCCGTCTCAAAAAAAAAAAGTATGTTTAATAATGTGTTTATTCCCCAGATTCAACAGGCTCTGGAAACCTTACCAGATGGCCCTAAAAAGGCAAGACTCAGGCAGAAGGGAAAATGCGCCTTCCGAGAGCGGTCGCGGCTCTGCCCTTCCCACTCCGGAGACTGCCCGCGCCCGGGACCGAATGACTCAGCTGCGAGGCCCTCCGGCCCAGGTTTTGGGGGAAAACGGGCTGCGTCCGCTTTCGTCTAAACTGCGCTCGTAAAGTGGGGCAGAGGCGCTGGGGGCACTCAAATCCGAGGTCCTTACTTCTGGATTCCTTTTCCTTTTCCGAGTTAAACCGCTCCCCTGAGCCGCACGGCTCTCTCAGGGAGGATTTTCCAACTCGTCCCAAGTTCGCGAGGAGGCAGGCGGGTCCCGGGGCAGCTGAGCGCACGAAGCGGGCGTGGGGCGGCGAGCCGGCGGCCTCGGGGGCGCCGAGCGAGGGGCCGCGTCAGGTGAACTCGCGGCTGCCCCGCCAGTCCTTGGCCCGGCCCCGGGGTCCCGGCCCGCCGCCCACGGCTCCGCTCGGCCTCTGCTGCTCCACCGCACCCGGCTCCGCTCCGCCTCCTGCCTCCACCTCCACCTCCTGCGCCGCGTCGCCCGCTGCTGGGTCTCGGGGCCGGAGCCGACGCACCACTTACCCGCCGCAAAGGGATTTACGTAGCGGACCTCGTCACTGATTACGGACGCGAGGAGGTGGAGACGGCGAGCCCGACCGCCGCTCAGCAGCGGCGCCGCCGCCCAGCAACCCGGAGCCGGCAGCGGCCCCACGTAGTCCTCACGTCAGCTGTGATGCGGTAGCCGCGGCCTCCCTGCCGACCCCGGACCAAAAGTAGCGCTGCAGCCGACCGAACCGCGTCCTCCCGCCCCGTCCTCCCCTCCCCCACGCCGGGACGGCCTCCCGGGGGAGGCCCCGAGGAAAAAAATCCAGGCTCGAACTCCGCCCCCTGCCGGCCGCCAGCAGGAGTGAAGCGCCACAATCCAACAATGAAATGGAACCGGGGAGGGGCGGCGGGAAGGTGCGGGTCAGGGGGCGGGGCCTAGGGATAGGGAGAAGGAAGGTCAGGGGGCGGGGCCAAGAGGAGGAACTAGCCTGGAGGTGGGGCGGAAGGTAGGGGCGGGGGCAAGGCTGGAAACCGGAAGCTGCCCGTGCCGCGCCGCGCGTGCGCCAGAAATCCAATGACTTGTCAGCCAGAGTAACGGCTGTTGTCAGGTCTTCAGGGTCTCGAGGTCGGTTTCTTCCTAACGCCGCCAACCCCAAGCTAAGGTCCGCGAGCGTCTCACCTCTGTCCAGGCTGGGCTGCAGTGGCGTGGTCTCGGCTCTCTGCAACCTCTATCTCCCCAGGCTCAAGCGATCCTCCGGCCTCAGCCTCCTGAGTAGCTGGGACTGCAGGCGTGCTTCTTCTGACTTCTAAAAGCTATCTACATACCTTGACTAGTGGCCCTTTTCCTCCATATTCACAGCCAGTCACAGCTGGTTGAGTCCTTCTCCAAAAGAAGCTTGAGCTCCTGAGACAATTCACCTGCTTCTTAGGGTCATTTATTGCAGTTTATCCCAGTATTTGACTGGAAATGGTCCGCATGCTGGGCCCGCTGGCTCGGGCCTGTAATCCCAACACTTCGGGAGGCCAAGGTGGGAGGATCGCTTGAGCCCAGGAGACCAGCCTAGGGAACACAGTGAGACTTCATCTCTTTTTTTTTTTTTAGATTAGAAAGGTCGGCCGGGGGCTCACGCCTGTAATCCCAGCATTTTGGGAGGCAGACATGGGCAGATCACCTGAGGTCAGGAGCAGCCTGGCCAACATGGTGAAACCCCATCTCTACTAAAAATACAAAAATTAGCTAGGAGTGGTGGCAGACGCCTGTAGTCCCAGCTAGTTGGGAGGCTGAGGCAGGAGAATCGCTTGAACCTGGGAGGTCAAGGCTGCAGTGAGCTGAGATCGTTCCACTGCACTCCAGTCTGGGTGACAGAGCGAGGCTCCATCTCAAAAATAAAAAAAGTAATGGGATATCAGGAATAAAGAATAGCAGCATGGTTATAGAGTACAGTAGGTCCTCACTTAACGATAGGTTCTTAGAAATCATGGCTTTAAGCCAAACAACTTACAGCAGGTCCACAAAAAAATTTTCATTCAGTGTTGTTTTCATTTCGTTATAATATTGATGATAACAAAAATCGGTTTCATTGTACGTTGTTTCACTGAAAACCAGTTTCTAAGAAGCTATTGACAATGTTAAGTGAGGATTTATTATTTCATATCAGTTACTGTAGTGTCAGAGTGTTTTCATAATTTTCACTGAGCAGGACTTAATCTAAATCCAATCTGAACCTTTGTTCAAATCTAATTTTCGTAGGTCAAAGGGAATGTATCCACAACAATTGTCTCTGTAACAGGAGTTCATATGAATCAAAAAGAATCAAAGGAATGGCAATTTCTTATTTGCAAAGTATTTGCTCTACGGTTTCCTTTCTTGCCAGTATTTTACTCCCATATGTATGTAGTCTTAATTATAAAGTTCAGAAAGCACAAACCATATTTTTTTGTTCATCTGTTTTTTTACAAAGATCAATACTGGAGGTGAGATACACATACTTACAAGCCCATCAGTTCATGGCCTCTGCTATACCCTTGCTGTAAGATGTAATAGACTTAAAAACCATGCAGTTGGATCTGGGTTTAAATGTATGCTTGTTAGCTGTGGGCAAGTGTCATATCCTCTTAGGGGAAGCATAAGGTTTTTAAATGGGAAGAAAAATAGTACCTACCTGTTAGGATTATTGTAGATTTTAAAAAATATCTGCCATAAGATAAATACTTAAAAACCTACTCATGTTTACGTTAGTCCAGTGTCTAGCTTTTGGGGCTCCTCACCTAGGTGATAGTTAATTCTCTGTTGGGGAGGGACAACTAGGTCACCTACTTTTCTGAGAAAATACGGGCTGTCAGTCACACCCTTATATTCCCTCCTCACTTCAAAATATCTTAAACTTTCCCTCCCTTTCTGGGTCGGGAGGAGCACCTCTTTTTCCTCTCCGAATCCAACTGTAAGTTAGATGTCATTTCTTTCCCATATCAGATCTTGCTCAATTACCAAGAGTCATACCTACAGCCTTTTTCGTCCTCTTGGCTCCTTTCCCTACAAATGTGTTAGTATCGTGCCTCTTGAAAACTGTTGGCACTGCTAGCCCTATAAGGAAGGCCACAGAGTTGCCAATTCCGGGTTGCACATTTACATTTCATTTTTTGCCCATTTGCTTACTGTTCCATCCCTTGCCATCCCCTCACCTTCAGATTTCTCAAGAGAAGAAGGCAAGGCAGGGGTTGTATTCACTTCTTCACCACCCATTTGTTTGTTATTTCCTGCCAAATTTTTGCCCTCTTCCGTCTCTTTTTTTTTTAATTTAATTTTTATTTTTATATGTAGACATGGAGTCTCTTGTCCAGGCTAGTCTGGAACTCCTGGGCTTAAGCAATCCTTCCACCTTAGCCTCTGAAAGTGCTGGGATTATAGGCATGAGCCATTGCACTTGTCTGTCGCCTTTCTGATGACTAAATCTGACCACTTTTTCTCATTTTTCATTCTACTTGACCTATTTTCCTCATCAGATACTACCAATGACTACTGCCTTATTTTTTAAATGTATTTACTTAGAGGCAGAGTCTCGCTCTGTCACCCAGGTTAGAGTACAGTGGTGCAATCATAGCTCATTCAGCTTCAAGTACCTAGTCTAAAGCGATCCTCCCACCTCGGCTTCCCAAAGTGTTGGGATTACAGGCATAAGCCTGCCACTTTCTTAACATAGTCTCCCTCCTGAATTTTCATGATACTTGGCTCTCATGGTTTCACTCATCTTTGTCTCCCTAATGTAGACAGTTACTAATTTTCTGTCCTTGGACATCATCTTCTATACTGTCCTCAAACAGTATTTTCTTTAGTTATCTAATCATACCCAATTTTTTTGAAAGATAATTCTAAAATTTATACCCAAAGCTTCCAACTTCATTCATTAGCACCAGGTCACATTTCCAAACACCTGACAGTTCTCACTTACATGGCCCATGAGCATTTCCAACTCATAGGTTCAAAACTACATGTCTTGTCTTCTTCCCCTTTCATACCTGAATCTTGATTTTTTATTGTTGTTTTAGCAATGTTAATGGCACTTTTCAGCTCCTTGTCATCCTGCCTCTACACCTTGAAACGATTTTGGTCATTCTTCTACTCATGTCATTCAGGAGCCACATAGAAAATATTTTGAAGTGCCTGCTATGTTCCAGGCCCTATGCTAAATGCTAAGTCCTGTTGCTTTTGCCTGTAGAAACTTGCATCCATCCCTTTTTTTTTTATTCCCACTATTACCCATCTGGTACTTCCATTATAGTTCATCCTAAGTATTTCTGTCTGATTCATTTTCCTTAGATACAGCTCTGGTGATGTGATTTCTCTTAGAAAATCTACAGTGACTAGGAGGGACTGAAACTTAAGGAACAGAAGTGAAAGGAGACTGTGAATTATCTTTGGTGGCCTCTTGAATTGTGTACTGCAAGAATGCTTTATATATTTTAAAAATAAATGACATTTTAATTGAAGCAGAAACACCAGTGAGATGTTATTAGCTGACAGAGTGTAACTAAGTTTGGCATGAAGTCCTTTGTTTTGTTTTGTTTTGTTTTTTGTTATGTTTTGCTTGTTTGTAGATCGGATCTCACTCTGTCACCCTGGCTGGAGTGCAGTGGTGCCGTCACAGCTCACTGCAGTCTTGACCTCCCAGGCTCAAGCAATCCTCCCACCTCAGCCTCCTGAGTAGCTAGGACTACAGGTGTGCACCACCATGCCTGGCTAATTTTTTTAATTTTTTTATATAGATGGGTTCTCTAAAATGGGGATATTGGCCAGGCACAGTGGCCCACGCCTATAATTCTAGCACATTGGGAGGCTGAGGTGAGCAGATCACTTGAGGTGAGGAGTTTGAGAACAAACAGCCTGGCTAATATGGCAAAACCCCATCTCTACTAAAAATACAAAAATAAGCTGGGCATGGTGGCGCATGCCTGTAATCCCAGCTACTTAAGAGCCCGAGGCATGAGAACCACTTGAACCCAGGGGGTGGAGGTTGCAGTGAGCCAAGATTGTGCCACTGCACTCCAGCCTGGGCCATGGAGCAAGACTCTAGCTCAAAAAAATAAATAAATAAAATAAAATAAAATAAGGATATTATTACTACCTGCCTCACAAGTTACATGAATTAAATTAATACATGTAAAGTATATAGAACATTGTGCCTGGCACAAAATAAGCATTAAATAAATGTAAACTATAATTATTATTTTATGACTTGGCCAAGTTTGTTTGTTGACTTGTGTGAAATCTGAGAACTTAGAAGTCAAAATAAACCCCTTTGTTTTATAAATTAGAAAGTAGAGGCTGAGAGGTTTCAAAACGTCCTTTGGCTAGTAGATAGTAATATTAGGACTATAACCCTGAAGTTGTAACTTTTAACCCTGTACTCTTTCTACTAGACCACAGATCTCAAGATTTAGCATTTTTCAAATGACTATCCTATTTTATTTTACTAATTTAATACAGAGAAAAACTAGAAAATTGATTCACCTTAAAAGCATTTCTATGCAGGCCGTTTCTATTCAAACTTTAGGATTTGAGACTTACAAAGATAGTGTGCCCAATTTAAATATATGAGAAAGGTAAAAACAAGTAAGTATAATATGTGCTTGATTTATGATGTCTTTGATTTGCCATTTGGCAAAAAATGTTTCATTCTATTAGAGAGTTAACAGTTCTGTGTTCCAACATGGGAAATACCATTGTGTATGTGTGTTTACGTGCTTTTGGTTTTTGAGTTTGGTAAACTTAAACCTCTAAATCTGATGTGCTGTGTACTCAGGAAACTACTTAAAACTATCACTAAAGGATATTATAATAAAAACCCAAGCTCCTGAATTATTTAAAACTATAAGATTGCAGTCGTTAAACTAAACTAATTTTTATTTTTTTTTTTTTTTTTGAGACAGGGTCTTACTCTGTCACCTAGGCTGGAGTACAGTAGTGCGATCATGGTTCACTGTAGCCTCGACCTCCCGGGCTCAAGCAATCCTCCCACCTCAGCTGGCTAAGTAGCTGGAACTACAGACATGTGCCACCATGCCTCATTAAGGGAGAAGAAAGGCATGAGGAAAAGAGGAAGATTGTTATTGTCAATATATTTCATATTGGAAAAGGGCTCCATGCCACATTTTTGTTCTGTGGCCTTAGCGCCTCTCTCAGCCTAGTTTTCTTTAGCTGTAGAACAGGGATCCTAGTACTGCATAAAGTGTTTGTGAAGAAGAATACATTAGCTAATAACATAAAGGTTTTAATACAGTGCATATCATACAGCCTGGCCAACATGGCGAAACCCCATCTCTACTAAAAATACAAAAAATCAGCTGGGCGTGATGGTGTGCCTATAGTTGCTGCTACTTGGGAGGCTGAGGCAGGAGAATCAATTGAGCCTGTGAGGCGGGGGTTGCAGTGAGCTGAGATCGCGCCACAGCACTCCAGCCTGGGCGACAGAGTGAGTGAGACTCCATCCCAAAAAAATAAATAAATAAAGCCTATCTTCCGGCCAGAATATAAACTCCATGGATGGCATTTGTCTCAGTTAACACTCTTTCTCTAATAGCTCCTGAATTGCCTGCTAGAATCGCCTATAGGAAGACATGACATTATGGGGAATGCGTTAAGTAGCTCCCAACATGGTCATGTGCTCACACTAGGACTAAGATACTGTTATTAAATAAATCATGGAAAAATGAACTTAGAAAGGGATATGAAGGATTAGCCAGTAAGTCTCTATAAAACATAAGGGAATTATATCCATATTACCTTGTATATAAAATGCCTTATTTTTCAGCATTCTTTTTTTTGTTGTTTTTTTGAGACAGGATCTCTTACTCTATGGCCCAGGCTGGATTGCAGTGGCATGATCTTGGCTCGCTGCAGTCTCAACCTCCTGGGCTCAAGCAGTCCTCCCACTACAGCCTCCCGAGTAGCTGGGACTACGGGTGTGCATCACCATGCCAGGCTAATTTTTGTATTTTTCGTAGAGGGGGTTTCCACCATGTCACCCAGGCTGGTCTCGAACTCCTGAGCTCAAGCAATCTGCCTGCCTTGGCCTCTCAAATTGCTGAGATTTCACACGCATGAGCCCAGCCATTTTTCAGCACATTCTTTAGGCAATTTCCTTTCAGCATTTTAGAGTAGTAAGTACTCTAAGTAGAATTTACCAAGTTCTTGGTCTTCATAAATTGACAACCTCTTATTTTGTAGGTTATAGTGCCATCATGTGGATACTTTGTTTTCTTCAAATAAAATGTAACCTTTTTATAACAGAGACTAGAAAACCCAGCCATCCCAACACCCAGGTATGACAATTTATATTTTATGTTATTTATTTATTGAGAAAGGTCTCCCTCTGTCACCCAGGCTGGAGTGCAGTGGTGCAATCTCAGTTTACTGCAACCTCCACCTCCCAGGCTCAAGCGATCCTCCAACTCAGCCTCCTTAGTAGCTGAAATCATAAGCATGAGCCACTGTGCCCAGCCTGGCATGACAATTAATTTGGTATTTGTGTCTAAGCCTTTCTGTGTACAGATTCACTCAGGGACTTCTATATCTGAGTTTTTAGTATACAAAATTTGGAAATGATCATTTAAATGATAAAATAAATCTGAATACCATAGCTTGATAATACATGCAGTCCCCATAGATGATCAGTTTTCTCTCTTTCTGGATACTAGGCTGTGCAAAGAAATTGGGGCCAAACGTTTTTTTGCCATGTTCTGAAAAGGTAAGAATAAGAAATAAATATTAATGTGTGGAGCCAAAAGAGTAACCTCAGACTGGCTTAGGAGAGCAATATAGTCTGAGGAAAAGAGTTTCAAAAAATAACCTCCCTGAGCTGGGCAAGGTGGCCTGTGCCTATAATCTCAACACAGGTTGAGGTAGGAGGCCGAAGTGGGATGACTGCTTGAAGCCAGGAGTTCGAGATCAGCCTGGGCAACATAGTGAAATCCCATCTTTACCAAAAAAAAGAAAAATGAGCCAGATGTGGTAGCATGTCTGTAGTCCCAGCTAGGCGGAAGGCTGAGGCAGGAGGATCCCTTGGGTCTAGGAGTTTGCACCACTGGACTGTAACCTGGATAACAGAGTGAGACCCTGTCTCTATAAATAAATAAATAAATAAATAAATAAATAAATAAATAAATAAATAAAATTAATTTTAAAACCTCCCTAAAAATTATAGTATACCTAGATATGAGTACCAAAATATTTGTTTTAAAATCTGGGTGTGTTGATTTTCACAGAGAGCTAAAATTAGTCCATAACCCACTTAATATTAACTGACATCCACCAGAGATAAACATGGTAAAATTATATGGCTCAAGCAACTCCACAGTGCAAATGGAGATCCACAGAAATAGAGAGTTGGACCTTTAGAATTCTTTTTCTAACTTTGTTTAGTATTTACCTCCTTTTTAAGATAAAATAACTGAACCAATGAAAACAGGTACTTTGAAGCTGAAACTGAGCCTTACCTCCTCCAAGATTGAGAATGTGGTTGAAAATGTCCCTTGAATTTCCCAGTTACACAATTATTTAACAAACTTTGAATGTTATTTGTTCGGCTGCTATGTGTAGGTGAAGAAAATGTGAGCCAGAGAGACTCCATCCAATGTTAGATAAAAGGAACACGCAAGGAGCATTGGAAAACATCAACCTTTAAGGAGTAGGTCAGAAAAAAAGAACCAGCCAAGACATTTGGAAGTGTGGTGTGTGAGTGTGGATTGGCCAGCCTGTGCCTGGGGACCCCATTGTCCCCCTATTCTTTCCCTTTACCTCTCCATCAGTAGCAGTGGCTGGAGTAGAGGAATTGTGAAATGATCTGGACATGCCTGAAATGGGAAAACAGGGAATGCTTTAACTGGATCATTATCCTGGAAGCACTTTGACATGAGATATACCTTTTTCCCAAGTCCTAAACTCTTGTGGAGCAGCACAAACCAACATTGAGGCTTTTCTCCCTTTCCCTCAGGTAGACATGATCGCCAAGGCAGCTGATTGTCCCAAGGAATAAGTATGAGCAATGAGCACAGAGGGAAAATCATGAAACATCTGAGGACCATGAGAACTGCTAAAACAATACGTAGAACTAGCTATACCAGAGAAAGTCAAGTGAATGGATCAGACAATAAGAATTGAAAATAAGCTTAATAGAGCTTCAGAGAAAGAAGGGAGAATGTTGGAAACACAAAGCACAAACAAGCATTTGTGAATTGGATGTTGACAAATATTAATGAAATAACTCAATGGATGGGTTGAATATAGCTGGACAGTTCACTCATGAACCGGAAGATTAGAGCAAGGAAGGAACTAAGAAATGGAAAGCATGAAAGGAGAGTTAAGAAATGTGGAAGGTAGAAGCATAAATATTTTTCTAATGGAAATTCCAGAAGGGGAAAAAAAGAACATGTGAAAGAATTATTGCTGAGAATTTCCCAGAATTGAAGACATACTTTAGAATGAAAAAGGCCAACTCTAACTTTGGGATTTCTAGCTTCAGAGAAATGAAAATTTAGAATGACCAAGGGGAGTGCACAGGATTTTTTGGGCAGTGAAACTATTCTGCATGATACTATAATGGTGGATGCATGCTATTACACATTTGTCAAAACCCATTGAATGTACATCACTGAGAATGAAGCCTAATGTATGCACTTTGGATGATTATGATGTGTCAATGTAGGTTCATCAGTTCTAACAAGTAGAACATGCTGGTGCAGGATGTTGATAGGGAGGCTGTGCATATATGGGGGAGGGGATGAAAGGAACTGTGTACTTTCTGCTCGTTTTTGCTGTGCACCTAAAATTGTTCTGAAAAAAATCAAGTCTATTAAGAAAACAAAGACAGTTTTTTAAAGCATAAGAGCATACTTGTTATAAAAATACATGTAATGCAGTGTAATTTTAGAATTCAAGGTCACATATTTCTGTAACACTTTTATTCTTTCATGCCTACAACTTTCATGGAATGGTCCAGTCAAATAGGTTCCACATAATAGGAACCTTCAGTAATACACCACTCACATGTAGCAGAAGGACTTTAAAACAGTATATTCCCAACTCTTCTATTCATTGTGCCAATGTTGCCATATATTTCACTTTTACAAATGCTGTAAACATACAATACTTGTGCTATTTTTGCTTTCGATAGTTGCCTTTTACAGCAGTTAAAAAAAAAAAAAAAGCCAGTTGCAGTGACTCACGCCTGTAATTCCAACACTTTGTGAGGCTGAGGCAGGAGAATTGCTTGAGCTCAGGAGTTCAAGACCAGACTGGGAAACATAGTGAGACCTTGTCTCTACAAAAAATAAAATGCCAGGCATGGTGGCACTCATCTATAGTCCCAATACTCGAGAGCTGAGGTGGGAGGATTGAGCCTGTGAGATAGACTAGGCTGCAGTGAGCCAAGATCATACCACTGCACTCCAGCCTGAGCAACAGAGTTGAGTGCTCTGCCAGTCCACACCAGCCTTCGTGAATTCCGCAATTCTTCTAGCTAAACATATACCAGTATCTGGTTGTGTCTGTCCCAAGTAAGCTAGTGCCCTTCTCTTCCTGCAGGCATCTGTTGCTTCTTAGATTTTGGACCAGTTTTTTGTCCTGGGAACTCAACTCTTCGATAAATTCAAAAATACTCTGTAATTTGAAGGAAGTTTACCTTTTTTTTCATTGTAAGGGTGGAAGAAATGTCTCTTCTGGATGTTTATATCCAAAACAAGCTGGAAATCAGCCCTGGCTAACTTTTTTTTTTTTTTTGAGACGGAATCTCACCCTGTCGCCCAGGCTGGAGTGCAGTGGCACAGTCTCGACTCACTGCAACCTCTACCTCCCAGGTTTAAGCGATTCTCCCACCTCAGCCTCCCGGGTAGCTGGGACTACAGGCGTGCGCCACCACGCCCAGCTATTCTTTTGTATTTTTAGTAGAGATGGGTTTTCACCAGGATGGTCTCAATCTCTTGACCTTGTGATCTGCCTGCATTGGCCTCCCAAAATGCTGGGATTACAGGCTTGAGCCACCATGCCCAGCCAGAGCATCTAATATTTACTGAGTACTGAACATTTACTAAATACTTGACATAATGTTTTTTAAATCCCCCAAAAGTCATATTCTTACATCATAAATAAGGAAAATTTCAGATTGAAAGGATTCAAAGAGGGTTAAACGAGATCACAAAAAAAAGCCACAGCTGGGTACATTACTGTGAAATTAAACATCATCAGAGAGAAACAATAGATATAGATCTTTTCAGCTTATCTATTTCTTACTAAAAAAGAGTAAGTTTTGTAGTTTATGCCTTTCAGAGAATTTCTCTATTTTGTCTCCATTGTCAAATTTATTGTCATAAAATTGTTCATAATTTTTTTTTTGAGATGGAGTCTGGCTCCGTCGCCCAGGCTGGAGTGCAGTGGCATGATCTCAGCTTGCTACACAACCTCCACCTCCCAGGTTCAAGGAATTCTTGTGCCTCAGCCTCCGGAGTAGCTGGGATTACAGGCGCCTGCCACCACACCTGGCTAATTTTTGTATTTTTAGTAGAGACAGAGTTTCACCATGTTGGCCAGCCTAGTCTCAAACTCCTGACCTCAGGTTATCTGCCCACCTCGGCCTCCCAAAGTGCTGGGATTACAGGTGTGAACCGCTGTGCCCGGCCCATAATATTTTTTTTTATCCTTTAATGTCTATCAGATCTGTAGTGATATCATCTTTCAAGCCAAATCTTGGTAATTTTTATCTTTTCTCTTTCCCTGTTTCAGTTTTTATCAATTTTATTGCTCTCTTCAAAGAATCAACATTTATTTATTATTTTATTATATTTTTTGAGACCAGGTCTCACTTTGTCATGCAGGCTGGAGTGCAGTGGCGCAATCTCGGCTCACTTCAGCCTCAGCCTCCCAGGTTCAACCCATCCTTCTGCCTCAGTCCCCCTAGTAGCTAGAACTACAAGTGTGTGCCACACCCAGCTAATTTTTGTATTTTTTTGTAGTGATGGGGGTGTCACTATGTTGCCCAGGCAGGTCTCAAACTCGTGGGCTCAAGTGATCCTCATGCCTTGGCCTCCCAAAGTGCTGAGTTTACAGGTGTGAGCCACCACACCCAGCCAGAACCAACATTTAGATTAATTAATTTATCTCCCTTGTTAATATTTTCTTTTGAGATGGAGTATTGCTCTGTCACCCAGGCTAGAGTGTAGTGGCGCGATCTCAGCTCACTGCAACCTCTGCCTCCCAGGTTCAAGCGATTTTCCTGCCTCAGCCTCCCGAGTAGCTGGGATTACAGGCGCCTGCCAGCATGCCTGGCTAAATTTTTGTGTTTTAGTAGAGACGGGGTTTCATTATGTTTGCCAGGCTGGTCTTGAATTCCTAACCTCGCTATCCGCCCGCCTCCGCCTCCCAAAGTGCTGGGATTACAGGTGTGAGCCACTGCACCTGGCCTTGTTTTCTCTTTGTGCTCCATTTTATTTTTATTTTATTTTTTAGACAGAATCTTGCTGTGTTGCCCAGGCTGGCATGCAGTAGCATGACCTCGGCTCACTGCAACCTCTGCTTCCTGGGTTCAAGAGAATCTCCTGCCTCCTGGGTTCAAGTGATTCTCCTGCCTCAGCCTCCCGAGTAGTTGGGATTAAAGGCGCACATCATCACATCCAGCTAATTTTTGTATTTTTAGTAGAGATGGGGTTTTGCCATATCGGCCAGGCTGGTCTCGAACTTCTGACCTCAGGTGATCTGCCCACCTCGGCCTCCCAAAGTGCTGGGATTACAGGCTTGAGCCACTGCACCCAGCTTCTTTGTGCTCCATTTTAGATAGTTTCTATATTGGTGTCGTCAAATTCATTGATGTTTTCTTCTGCAGCATCTGATCTTTAAATTCCATCCAATGTATTTTTTATTTCAGACCTTGCATTTTCATTTCTGGAAGTTCTATTTGGGACTTTAAAAATATTTTCTCTCTCCTCACCATGCTCATGTTTTCCTCTACTTTTGTGAACATATAGTGTATATTTATAAAATCTATTTTTAAAAACTTGTCTGCGGGCCAGGCGCGGTGGCTCATGCCTGTAATCCCAGCACTTTGGGAGGCCGAGGCGGACAGATCATGAAGTCAGGAGTTCGAGACCAGCCTGGCCAACATAGCGAAACCCTGTCTCTACTAAAAATACAAAAATTAGCCAGGTGTGGTGGCGGGCGCCTGTAATCCCAGCTACTCGGGAGGCTGAGGCAGGAGAATCGCTGGAACCTGGGAGGCAGAAGTTGCAGTAAGCTAAGATTGTGCCATAGCACTCCAGCCTGGGTGACAAGAGCAAGACTGTCTCAAAAAAACAAAAAACAACAACAAAAACACTTGAATGCAGCTGGGGGCGGTGCCTCACACCTGTAATCCCAGCACTTGAGGAGGCCGAGGTAGGGAGAATCACTTGAGGTCGGGAGTTCCAGACTATCCTGGCCAACATGGGGAAACACTGTCTCTACTAAAAGAAAAAGAAAAAATACGGGGCCAGGTGCGGTGGCTCACACTTGTAATCCCAGCACTTTGGGAGGCCGAGGCAGGCGGATCACGAGGTCAGGAGATCGAGACCATCCTGGCTAACACAGTGAAACCCCGTCTCAACTAAAGATACCAAAAAAAAAAAACCCAAAAATTAGCCAGGTGTGGTGGCGGGCACCTGTAGTCCCAGCTACTCGGGAGGCTGAGGCAGGAGAATGGCGTGAATCCAGGAGATGGAGCTTGCAGTGAGCTGAGATCATGCCACTGCACTCCAGCCTGAGCGACAGAGTGAGACTCTGTCTCAAAAAATAAATAAATATAATAATAATAATTTAAAAAATAACAAAAAATACAAAAATTAGCTGGGTGTGGTGGGCGCCTGTAATCCCAGCTTCTCAGGGGCCTGATGCAGGAGAATCACTTGAACCTGGGAGGGAGAGGTTGCAGCAAGCTGAGATCGTGCCACTGCATTCCAGCCTGGGTGACAGAGCGAAACTCCGTCTCAAAAAAATAAAAAAGAAAAACTTGTCTGCTAGATTCATCATATCTATTATTTCTGAGTTTGTTCCTATTGATTGATTTTTCTATTTTTCTCCTGATTATGAATTATATTTTGTTGTTTCTTTGCATTCTTGGTAATTTTTCGTAGATGCCAGATGTTGTGAATTTCACATTGCTAGTTACTGGATCTTGCGGAATTTTTTTTTTTTTTTTTTTTTTTTTTTTTTTTGAGGCAGAGTCTTGCTCTTGTCACCCAGGCTGGAGTGCAGTAGCGTGATATCGGCTCACTGCAACCTCCACCTCCCAGGTTCAAGCAATTCTACTGCCCCAGCCTCCCGAGTAGCTGGGATTACAGGCACATACCACTACGCCTGGCTAGTTTTTTTGTATTTTTAGTAGAGACAGGATTTCACCATGTTGGCCAGGCTGGTCACGAACTCCTGACTTCAGGTGATCCACCCACCTCGGGCTCCCAAAATGCTGGGATTACAGAAGTGAGCCACCGCACCTGGCCGCTGAATTCTTTTTTTTTTTTTTTTTTTTTTTGAGATGGAGTCTTGCTCTGTCTCCAGGCTTGAGTGCAGTGGCTCGGTCTCAGCTCACTGCTATCTCCACCTCCCGGATTCAAGCCATTCTCCTGCCTCAACCTCCAGAGTAGCTGAGATTACACATGCCGGCCAGCCAATTTTTGTATTTTTAGTAGAGACTGGGTTTCATCATGTTGGCCAGGATGGTCTCCATCTCCTGACCTTGTGATCTGCCTGCCTTGGCCTCCCAAAGTACTGGGATTACAGACGTGAGCCACCACGCCTGGCCTGAATTCTTTTATGTAGTGTGCAGTTAAGTACTTGAAATCAGTTAGATCCTTTTAAAATTTTATTTTAAGATTATTGGTGTAAGTAAAGAACGGCCTTTAATCTTGATCTATTTTGATTTCACAACTCAGGCAACAACCTTTTGAAGATTCTGCCTCATGCCCTGTATAATACTGTGACTTTTGAGAACATGAATAATTTATTTCCAGCCCTGTGTGAGGTCTAGGATTTTTTTCTGTCTACTCCTTTCCAGAGATTATTTCTCTGGCCCCAGTCATGTTCTTCTCGTGCATGCACAGCCCAAAACTCAGCCATAGACTTGAGGAAACTCATTTTCCAAGTCTCTAGACCTCTCTCTATAGAGCTCTGTCTTCTCTTGCAGTCTGTCCTGAAAATTCTAGTGGCCTCTGTGAACTCTGGTATCTATCTCCTCAACTTAGCCAGAGAGCCATGCTCTGTCTGGGTTCCCTTTACCTGCACTGGAGCCTGAAAACTCCCTCCAGACAGTAAGCTGGCTCAATTGTAGGAGTCACCTCTGTTTTCCCTTTGCTCGGGGATCACAGTCCTGCACTGCCCATTATCTACCATCTGAAAACCATTGTTTTATGTACTCTGTCTGGTTTTCTAGTTGTTTTAGGCAGAAGGATAAATCCAGTTCTGGTCTTTCCATCTTCGCTGAAAGCAGAGTTCCAGCAGACGAGAGTTCAACAAATTTTTGTAAGACTAAAAGAATGATAGTTAATAGTAGACATAGGGTGCAGAAGGGAAGACCAGTGAGAAGCAATTTGATTTACTTTGAAGAACCTCTAAGAGTCCTGGTAAAAGTAGGTACCAGAAAATAGGAGCTGAAATAGGATTTGGTTGTGAGTTTATACAAGGAGTAATGAGGCCTTCAGGTTCTTCTCTACACATAGACCCTTGTACAGTTGAGCAGTGACTCCTCTTCTACCACACTCCCAATCTCTGGACAGTAGGCTATGAGTTTGTGCTGTGTAGGAATTGAATCAGAGACCATGAAAAGTTTTTTGGAAATTAATAGCAATATATCAGGCTGGAGTGCAATGATGCGATCTCAGCTCACTGCAACCTCTGCCTCCCAGAGTCAAGTGATTCTCCTGCCTCAGCCTCCCTGGTAGCTGGGATTGCAGGCACATGCCACACCACGCCCAGCTAATTTTTTCACTTTTAGTAGAGACCAGTTTTCACCATGTTGGCCAGGCTGGTCTGGAACTCCTGACCTCAAGTGATCCACCCGTCTCGGCATCCCAAAGTGTTGGTATTACAGGCGTGAGCCACCACGCCTGGCCTGAATGTCTAATATGTTTTAGACATAATATGTTCAAATTAGAATTATTGGCTGGGTGCAATGGCTTACACCTGTAATCCCAGCATTTTGGGAGACCAAGGCAGAGGATGGCTTGAGGCCAGGAGTTTGAGACCAGCCTGGGCAACATAGTGAGACTCCATCTCTATAAAAAGAATGAATAGAAAATCTTAGTTAGGCGTGGTGGTGCACACCTGTAGTTCCAACTACTTGGGAAGCTAGGACAGGAGAAGTACTTGAGGCCAGGAGTTTGAGGCTGCAGTGAGCCACAATTGTACCACTGCACTCCAGTTGGGCAACAGAACCAGAACCCGAATCAAAAAAAAAAAAAATCTTCTCATAAGAGAAGAGTGATTCTTAAAGAATCATTTAATCTCATAATTCTTGTTCTCCCTGTAAACTTGCTTCTCCATTTTCTCTGTTTCAGCAAATGGCAACCAAGTTGCTCAGGCCAAAAACTGATGATAATCCCTGAGTCATTTATTTTTAGCACTTAGAAGCAGCAAACCCATGCATGCTACTTTTAAAATAATTATCTAATCCAACAACTCCTAATCTAAAAATCCTAATCCAAGCCACTGGCATCTCTTGCTGAGATACTGCAGTAGTATCCTAACTGATCTTGCTACTTCCATTCTTGACTTCTGTTATGGGCTGTTATGTGTCTCTCCCAAATTCACTTCTCTAAGTCTCAACCTCTAGTACCTCAGAATGTAACCATATCCGGAGATTAGGTCATTAAAGATATGATTAAGTTAAAATGAGGCCATCGGGATAGGACCTTAATCCCATATGACTGGTGTAATTATAAGAGGGGGATACGAGGGATGCATGCACACAGAGACAAATGTGTGAAGAGGCAGCAACCAAGAGGGTGGCAATCTGCAAGCCAAGGAGAGAGGCCTGCAACAGACTCCTCCCTTAGGCCCTCAGAGGAAACCAACCCTACCAGCATCTTGATCTTGGACTCCCAGCCTCCAGAACTGTGACAAAATTAATTTCTGTTTATTTTATTTTATTTTTTTAGACAAGGTCTCACTCTGTCACCCAGGCTGGAGTGCAGTGGTGTGATCTTAGCTCACTGCAACCTCCACCTCCCAGGTACAATCAATTCTCCCATCTCAGACTCCAGAGTATCTGGGACTATAGGCGTGCACCACCACACCCAGCTAATTTTTGTATTTTTTTGGTAGAGACAGGTTTCACCATGTTGGCCAGGCTGGTCTCGAATTCCTGACCTCAAGTGATTCACCTGCCTTGGCCTCCCGAAATGCTGGGATTATAGGCATGAGCCACTGTGCCTGGATAAATTTCTATTCTTTAATCCACCCAGTCTGTGGCATTTTGTTATAGCAGCCCTAGCCAACAATTATACCTCCTTGTTCCTATAGCAGTATGGCTATTTCATTTGTTGTTTTGTTTTGTTTCTGAGACAGAATCTTGCTGTGTTGCAATGGCACAATCAGGCTCACTGCAGCCTTGACCTCCCAGGCTCAAGTGATCCTCCTAACTCAGCCTCCCGAGTAGCTGAGACCACAGGTGTGCAACACCACACCCAGCTAATTTTTCAATTATTGTCTGGAGATAGGGTCTCACTATGTTGCCCAGGCTGCTCTTGAACTCCTGGCCTGAAGCAATCCTCCTGCCTCAGCCTTCCAAAGTTCTGAGATTACAGGTGTGAGCCACCATGCCTGGCCCACTATGGATATTTTAATTATGGCAAACCAGATTGTATCATTATTCATGCTTAAAAACCTCCAGTGACTTCCATGTGGTTGAAATAAAATCGAGCTTCTCTATCAAAGTTGATAAAGTCCTACAAGATTTGGCTTTGGTCTTCCTTTTCATTATGCACTGATCACACTGGCTTTCATTTTATTTCACAAACACACCTAACTCATCCATCCTTCAGGCTTTTTCACTTGCTGCTCCCACTGTTTGGAAATCTTGTTCTGCAAATGTTTGTGGGGCTGGCCTCTCCTTGCCGTGTAAACGCAAATGTCACCTCAGAAAATCCTTGCCTAATGGCCTTAGCTAATGTAGTATCCCCCATCACTTTATTCAATTATACTGTTTTTCTTTACAGTATTAATTACTAGACAAAATTATCTTTGTCATTCATTTACCTGATTTTTATCTGTCTCTGCTCACTGGAATGTAAGTTTATTGAGAAAAGGACCCTACAAATATTGTGCCCAGCACCTAGAACATTGCATGGCACATAATATATATGAAATAATGATGTAATCAATCAAGGAATGAAAGATTGATGGATGCATAAATGTATAATTCTGCCTGGTTGAAATGACGGTCAGGTTTTTTGTTGTGTTTTGTTTTGTTTTTGAGACAGGGTCTCACTCTGTCTCCCAGGCTAAACATTTTTTAAATGTTTCTTAAAAACCTAACCATTTCTGCTAGGTGCGAACATGGCTCACTGGAGCCTCAACCTCCAGGCTCAAGCAATCCTCTTACCTCAGCCTCCCAAGTAGCTGGAACTATAGGTGTGCACCACCACACCTGGCTAACTTTTGTATTTTTTGTAGAGATAGAGTTTTGCCATCCTGCCCAGGCTGCTCTCCAACTCCTGAGCGCAGGTGGTCCACCCACTTCGGCCTCCCAAAGTGCTGGGATTACAGGCATGATCCACTGTCCCTAGCAGAAATGGCTAGGTTTTTAAAAAACATTAATTCAGCAAACATCAGATTTCTGTATGACAGCTAACAATTTATGAGGAGATCCAGGAAGTCCCATGGAGAGGTCCACAGGGACTGCATGGAACTGAGGTCTCCTGCCAACAGTAATGTAAGTGGGTTTGGTAGCAGGATCCCCCAACCACAGTCAAGCCTTCAGATGGCTGTAGCCCAGGCCAATACTTTGACTGAAATCTCATGAGAAACCCTGAAAAAGAACTATTCAGCTAAGCCACTCCCAAATCTGACCCAAAGAATCCATGCACAGCTAATACATTCCCAAATCTGGAAACAGGTATTATCTTTGATAACTTCCTCCTACCTCAATTCCAATATCAAAGACATTTAAATATCTCCCAAATTTTTCATTTCTCCCTGTCTTTCCCACAACTATTCTAGTCCAAATAACTGTGTTTTTTTTCTTTTTTTCCTTTTTTTTTTTTTGAGTCAGGGTCTAACTGTCGCCCAGGCTAGAGTATAGTGGTGTGATCTTGGCTCACTGCAGCCTCAACCTCCTGGGCTCAGGTGATCCTCCCACCTTAGCCTCCCAAGTAGCTGGGACTACAGGCACACACCACAACACCCCACTAATTTTTTCTATTTTTTTGAAGAGACAGGATCTCATCATGTCACCCAGGCTGGTCTGGAGCTCCTGGGCTCAAGCAATCCTCCCACCTTAGCCCAGAGTGCTGGGATTACAGGCATGAGCCACTGTGCCTGGCCCAAACTACTGTCACTTCTCACTTAGGCAGGTGCAATAGCCTCTTAACTGATCAGCCTGCATCCATTCTGGCCTCTTGTTAATCCATTTTCCATTCACAAAAGGCGAAGATGTTATTTTTCCAACATGAAAACCTCACAAACTCTTCCCTTGCCTAAATAATTGCAATGAATTCAGATAAGTGCCACATTAGCAATAATCCCAGAGAGTACAAGTACACAGAAAAGGAGCAATTAACTTAGGAAGAGTAGGAACCAGGTCTTCTACTTTTTTTTTTTTTTTTTTTTTTTTTTTTTGAGATGGAGTCTCGCTCTGTTGCCCAGGCTGGAGTGCAGTGGCGCGATCTAGGCTCACTGCAAGCTCCTCCTCCCAGGTTCATGCCAGTCTCCTGCCTCAGCCTCCCGAGTTGCTGGGACCACAAGCGCCTGCCACCACGCCTGGCTAATTTTTTGTATTTTTAGTAGAGGCAGGGTTTCACCATGTTAGCCAGGATGGTCTCCATCTCCTGACCTCGTGATTCACCCGCCTCGGCCTCCCTAAGTGCTGGGATTACAGGCATGAGCCACCGCGCCAGGCCCAAGTCTTCTACTTTTTAAAATTAATAAATGTTAAATTGATGATACATAAACATGGCACAAAATTCACATGACATTAAAGATACAACAACATTAAAGGACACATTTCTGTGTCCCTACTTCTCTAGTTCTCCCCAGAGGCAACACTTAGGCATTTATCTTTTTGGAGGTATTTTATGTATATTTGTTTATTGACAATTATGAAAAACACTTGAAGTAATAAACTGCCCTTTTCTCTAAAATCTTGACCTTCAGCCTACTTTCAAAACCACCACCTATAATTCTTTTTCAGATCATAATCACTCTGCTTTCAAAACCAGGTTAAGGGCAGCTGGGCGCGGTGGCTCATGCCTGTAATCCCAGCACTTTGGGAGGCCAAGGTGGGTGGATCACGAGGTCAGGAGATCAAGACCATCCTGGCTAACACAGTGAAACCCCGTCTCTACTGAAAATACAAAAAATTAGCCGGGCACGGTGGTGGGCGCATGTAGTCCCAGCTACTCGGGAGGCTGAGGCAGGAGAATGGTGTGAACCCGGGAGGTGGAGCTTGCAGTGAGCTGAGATCATGCCACTGCACTCTACTCTGGGTGACAGAGTGAAACTCTGCCTCAAAACAAAAAAACAAACAAACAAAAAAACAACAAAAAAAAACAGGTTAAGGGCAATGCAGACATAATTTATCCTTTTTCCTTATTGCTAACAGGAGTTATAATGATAACATCAGACACACTGGCATAAAGTAAACTGCCCTTTTCTTTAAAATCTTAGCCTTCAGCCTACTTTCAAAGTCATCACCTGTAATCCTTTTTCAGATCATAACCACTCTGCTTTCAAAACCAGGTAAGGGCAATGCAGACATAATTTATCCTTTTTCTAACAGGAGTTATAATAACATCAGAAACACTATCTTTCCACTTGGGCTGCCATAACAAAATGCCATAGACTGGGTGGCTTATAAACAACAAACATTTGGCCCGGTGTGGTGGCTCACACCTGTAATCCCAGCACTTTGGGAGGCCGAGGTGGGCGGATCATGAGGTCAGGAGATTGAGACCATCCTGGCTAACACGGTGAAACCTCATCTCTAAAAAAAAGAAAAAAAAAGAAAAAAAAAAATTAGCCGGGCGTGGTGGCCGGCGCCTCTAGTCACAGCTACTCGGGACGCTGAGGCAGGAGAATGGCGTGAACCTGAGAGGCGGAGCTTGCAGTGACCGGAGATCGCGCCACTGCACTCCAGCCTGGGCTACAGAGTGAGACTCCTTCTCAAACAAACAAAAAAAAACCCACAAAAAAAAAAACAAAAAACACATTTATTTTTTATAGGAGGCTAAGTCCAAGATCAAGGTGTGTCTGGTGAAGGCCCCTCTGTGGATCACAGATGGTCGTCCTCTTGCTATGTCCTCACATGACTGAAGAAGTGAGGGAGCTCTCTGGGAACTCTTTTGTAAAGGCACTAATCCCATTCAGAAGACCTCCACCCTGATGACGTAACACCTCCCAAAGCCCTGTACTACAAAAACCATCATATTGGGGATTAGGTTTCAACATACGAATTTTGGGGGAACGCATTTTTTCTATAGCACCTACACATTTTTGTTTAATCTCCAACCCTCTAAATTTTTATCTGTTACTTCAGTGATTGTTGGAAATATATGCTGTTCTCATCCTTCCTAGCTATCTATGTGTAAAGTACATTGTCATCATACCAATATGTCATTTGCTGTGTGTTTTTCTCCTAAAGTTTATCGATGTTTGTTGACTTTTTTTTTTTTTTTTCAGGACATTGCCTCTTTCAGGAGCCAGGTTCATGGCTTTTAGTAAAGCTTCTGTTGAACATTAATTATATTCCCTTTATTGTATGTAATTAGTTTTGGGTTTTTTTCTTTTTTTTTTTTGAGACAGAGTCTCGCTCTGTCGCCCAGGCTGGAGTGCAATGGCGTGATCTCGGCTCACTGCAACCTCTGCCTCCCGGGGTCAAGTGATTCTCCTGCCTTAGCCTCCTGAGGAGCTGGGACTACAGGCGCCCGCCACCACACCCGGCAAATTTTTTTGTATTTTTTTAGTAGAGACGGGTTTCCACTGTGTTAGCCAGGATGGTCTCCCTCCCAAAGTGCGGGATTACTGGCGTGAGCCACCGCACCCGGCCCAATTACTTAGTTTTTTGTTTTTTGTTTTTTGAAACGGTGTCTCTCCCTGTCGCCCAGGCTGGAGTGCAGTGGCGCCATCTCGGCTCACTGCAAGCTCCGCCTCCCGGGTTCACGCCATTCTCCTGCCTCAGCCTCCAGAGTAGCTGGGACTACAGGCGCCGGCCACCACGCCCGGCTAATTTTTTTCTATTTTTGGTAGAGACGGGGTTTCACGGTGTTAACCAGGATGGTCTCGATTTCCTGACCTCGTGATCCGCCCGCCTCGGCCTCCCAAAGTGCTGGGATTACAGGCATGAGCCACCGCGCCCAGCCAATTACTTAGTTTTTTAAAACCTAAATCCAAGCCATCACATTCAATCCCTATTGAATGTCGTGTTGTTTGTTTCAACACATTTCTCAAGCCTGAATATATCTTTAAGAGTCTTTGGGCTGGGCACGGTGGCTCACGCCTGTAATCCCAGCACATTGGGAGGCCCAGGCGGGTGGATCATCTGAGGTCGGGAATTCGAGACCAGCCTGACCAACATGGAGAAACTCCGTTTCTACTTAAGATACAAAATTAGCTGGGTGTGGTGGCAGGTGCCTGTAATCCCAGCTACTCAGGAGGCTGAGGCAAAAGAATCGCTTGAACCCAGGAGGCGGAGGTTGTAGTGAGCTGAGATTGTGACATTGCACTGCAGCCTGGGCAACAAGAGCAAGACTGTCCCCCCCCCAGAAAAGTCTTTGATTCTTCGTTTAGTAGGACTGTTCATGTTAAAAAAATATATATTGGATTCCATGGTTACTTATACATTTAATTAATTTGCCATTAATTTATTGAGTGCCTGTATTTGCACATTACTATGGTTTCCTAAAATTTACCCTATGCTTAACACAACTAAAAATTGGAAAAGAAGCCCAGCAATTCCACCTCCTTCCCTACACCAAGGTTCTAGGCAATCAAAATAAATAGAGGGGAGGAGAGAAAAGGGAAGGAGACCAGGAAGTCAAGGGGTTAACCTTAATGGGAAGAGTAATGTCTGGGGCCATCTTCCCAGGCTACAGTGCAATGGCGAGATCTTGGTTCACTGCAGCCTTGAACTCCTGGGCTCAAGCCATCCTCCCACCTCAGCCTCCAGAGTAACTAAGACTACAAATGCACTACACCATGTCTAGCTAATTTTTGTATTTTTCTAAAGACAGGGTTTCTCCATGTCACCCAGGCTGGTCTCCAACTCCTGAGCTCAAGCAATCCACCTTCCTCGGCATCCGTAAGTGCTGGGATTACAGGTGTGAGCCACTACGCCCAGCCTCTGGTGTCATCTTATGGACCCTGCATGTATGTGTGAAATCGTGTGTGTGCGCACATGTGTATGCTTATCTCAATAACAGTGTTTTTGTACAGCTAATGGACTATGTTTAACGTTTTCCAGATGTTGGAGACAGAAATGAGTTATCACAAAGCTAAAGAAGCTTAAATTTCATTTCCCAAGGCCCTATGCCAGGCACTAGCGTTTTTTATTTGCATTTTTACATTCTTTTTTTTTTTTAAGTGGATCCCCTCAATTCCAAGATCTATCCCTTGGAGAGGTTACATTTTATTGTAAACCTTTAGATTATATCTAGAGGAGAAAGAATAAATGAGAGGCAGAGTATGAAAGCAATATTAGTTCATACTGACTGGGGAAAATCCTGCATCGGTGAAAACATTTTGAGCAGCCAGGTATGGTGGCCCATGCCTATAATCCCAGCACTTTAGGAGGCTGAGGTGGGCAGATCACTTGAGGTCAGGTGTTCGAGACCAGCCTGGGCTACATACTTAAACCTCGTCTCTATTAAAAATACAAAAAATTAGGCCGGGCGCGGTGGCTCACGCCTGTAATCCCAGCACTTTGGGAGGCCGAGACGGGCGGATCACGAGGTCAGGAGATCGAGACCATCCTGGCTGACACGGTGAAACCCCGTCTCTACTAAAAATACAAAAATTAGCCAGGCATGGTGGCGCGCGCCTGTAGTCCCAGCTACTCGGGAGGCTGAGGCAGGAGAATGGCGTGAACCCGGGAGGCGGAGCTTGCAGTGAGTCGAGATCGTGCCACTGCGCTCCAGCCTGGGCGACAGAGCGAAACTCCGTCTCAAAAAAAAATAAAAAAAAAAAAAAAAAAAAAAAATTAGCTTGGCCTGGTGGCGGGCGCCTGTGTCCCAGCTACTCAGGAGGCTGAAGTGGGAGGATCCCTTGAGCCCAGGAGTTTGAAGCTCCAGTGAGTTGTGATCACACCACTGCAGTGCAGCCTGGGCAACAGAGCAAGACTCTGTCTCAAAAACAAAAAAAAATTTTTTTGAGTCAAGTAGATTTGGGATGGAGTTACCTTGAAAGTGCATAGGTTTCTGGATTAGACAATTTACAAATATCTAACAGATTGGACACAATGAAAACATTAAATTAGAGAGCTCTTCATACTAATGTTATAACTAGCCCTTCCCCATAATAGACAGGCAGCATTGTTCAACTTCGATTTTAATAATTGGAGTATTGTGGCTGGAACTAACATTGTCACCTAGGTTGTTTCTTCTTAAAATTTTTTTTTTTTTTTTCTGAGACAGAGTCTCACTCTATTGCCCAGGCTGGAGTGCAGTGGTGTGATCTCAGCTCATTGCAACTTCCGCCCCCCAGGTTCAAGCGATTCTCCTGCCTCAGCCTCCCGAGTAGCCGGGATTACAGGCGCCTGCCACTGCACCCGGCTAATTTTTGCATTTTTAGTAGAGACAAGGTTTCACCACCTTGGCCAGGCTGGTCTTGAACTCCTGACCTCATGATCCACCCGCCTCGGTCTCTCAAAGTGCTGGGATTACAGGTATGAGCCACGGTGCCAGGCCTTTAAATTTATTTATTTTTTATTATTTTTTTGAGACAGAGTCTAGCTCTGTTGCTCAGGCTGGAGTGCAGTGGAACAGTCTCAGCTCACTGTAACCTCTGCCTCCCAGGTTCCAGTGATTCTCATGCCTCAGCCTCCCAAGTAGCTGGAATTACAGGCATGTGCTACCATGCCTGGCTAATTTTTGTATTTCTAGTGGAGACAGGATTTCACTATGTTGGCCAGGCTGGTCTTGAACTCCTGGCCTCAAGTTATCCACCTGCCTTGGCTTCCCGAAGTGTTGGGATTGCAGGTGTGAGTCACAGCACCCAGCCTGTTTCTTATTTTATTTTGTTTTTATTTTTATTAATGTTATTATTATTGTTTTTTGAGATGGAGTCTCGCTCTGTCACCCAGGCTGGAGTGGCACAATCTCAGCTCACTGTAACCTCTGCCTCCCGGGTTCAAGCGATTCTCCTGCCTCAGCCTTTCAAGTAGCTGGGATTACAGGCATGTGCCACCACGCTTGGCTAATTTTTGTATTTTTGGTAGAGATGGGGTTTCACCTTATTGGCCAGGCTGGTCTCGAACTCTCTACTTCAGGTGATTGGCCTGCCTGGCAATGGCTCACACCTGTAATCCCAGCATTTTGGGAGGCTGTTTCTTATTTTATTAGTCAAGTGCAGACACTAAATAACTTAGGTATGTTACAGCTACAACACAGATATCCTGTTTTTCATGCTCTGTTAGTTCTACTCCCTCTAATTAGAAACCATTCCCCTTTGGTGCACTAGAATTAGAGCAGGGAGCCGAGCACAAGCTGTACTGCTACAAATGTCAATAGCAACTGCTCTAGTTCTGGGTGAAATACATCTTCTAATTATGCTTTTGATACTGGAGTAGAATTGAATGATACAAAAGATTAGTTTGGAACTGAAGAGTTACAAGAGTTGATTCAGAAGAAACGAGTGCTTGTGTGTGTGGTCACTGAGCTGTGAGAGGACCTAGCATCCCACTTGTAACTCTTCAGTTCAAAACTAATCTTGGTCTCAGGGGTTCTACAGCAGGAATTAGTAGGCATGAATCTATTGTGTTGACACTTCCATCACTTAAGTCTTCATTGTAGCTTCCAGTAAAACAGGAATAATAATGGACCCTAAAAATCAAAGCAACTGTTTTGATGTGAGTTAATCTGGTGATATTAAAACAGATTCCTGTGTATGGCTAGATGTTGGTACTAATGAGGTCAATGTGTGGTCTCCACATTTTCTACAATGGTAGACCCGTTGTCTCCATGCTGAAAGCAACTGGTTCTGTAGTTTTGAGCTGTCCCACAATTATAAGCCACTATTGCCAGCGGCATCAGGTGAATGTCTGTTGATGGCTTAATACCTCTCACCTTTATTAGAGATTTTTAGTTGAGCTAAATTAAATGCCCAACTGGCTATGAGACTCTTCCAGATAGAAGGCTGGAAACCTCATGATCTGATCTGAATAAGGTTCCTGTATTCCCACAACCCAGAAGACCTCTCCTCTAATTCCCTCTCCCTTTTCTCACTCCTAGGATAGAGGCACTCTCCATTCCTGATTGTTCCAAGGCTCAAGTGGTCAGAAATGACTGGGAAGAAGGGAGAAAAACTCAGGTGGCAAAGGACATGGACGAAAACCCATGGCGACATGGAAAGAAAACCCTGTGATATAGAGAGGAAAAGCACAGGACAGCTTATTGGGGAGAATGGAACTCTTCTGTATCCTGATTGCGGTGATGGCCACGCATGGCTGTAAGTGGGTTGAAATGGATAGAAGGTACACCCCTCTCCCCTGTCAATTTTTACTGTAGGGTCTTTTTTTTTTTTTTTTTTTTTTTTTGAGATGGACTCTGTCTCCCAGGTTGGAGTGCAGTGGTGCTATCTTGACTCACTGCAACCTCTGCCTCCTGGGTTCAAGCGATTCTCCTGCTTCAGCCTCCCGAGTAGCTGGGATTACAGGTATGCACCACCATGCCCAGTTAATTTTTCTATTTTTAGTAGAGACGAGGTTTCGCCATGTTGGCCAGGCTGGTCTTAAATTCCTGACCTCAAGTGATCCGCCTGCCTCGGCCTCCCAAAGTGCTGGGATTACAGGCATGAGCCACCACGCCTGGCCTGGGTCATTTAAAAATAAAAATAAAACCAGAAAAACAGAAAATAAAGTATAAAACAGTGCAATAGGGGCCATGCCTCCAATCTTTTCTAATAAGAGAAATGTGATGAGGATGTAGTCTTCAAGTGAGTAACTTGTTACATGTAGTGCAGGTTATAAAAGGCCCAGCAGATTTATCCTTTTTTATTTCTAGCGGAATGTTTGGTGCATACTCTGATCTAAGAGTTCATATTGTGAATGTTTTTTCTTTGTTTTATTTCTAATAGCAAAAGATGTCTTTTTGGAAGCAAGATGTTGCTAACCTTTTTTTAGGTTGGTGTTATGCCAGACTATTTTATTTTATATAATATTTTATTAAATATTAAATGACTGTACAAGACCGGGCACAGTAGCTCATGCCTATAATTCCAGCACTTTGGGAGGCCAAGACAGGAGGATTGCTTGAGACCAGGAGTTTCAGACCAGCCTGGGCAACATAGCAAGACTCTGTCTCTAGAAAACAAAAAAAGAAAACAAAAACCCCACTACACAATTCTTAGTATATTAGTCTTATTCACTTGCCCACAGAGATCTAGTCAAGTAAACCATAAGGTTAATAAAAGTCCATTTTTTTCTTTTTTTCTTTTGGCTTACTTAACACATATTTTATTTATTGGAAAAGGCATTGACACTTAGCTCAGATTCTTAACCTTGCCATCCATATCTAAGTAAGCTATTTTATTTTTTTATTTTATTTTGGGTGGAGTCTTGCTCTGTCGCCCAGGCTGCAACCTCTGCCTCTCAGGTTCAAGCGATTCTCGTGCCTCAGCCTCCCAAGTAGCTAGGATCATAGGCATGCACCACCACACACAGCTAATTTTTATTTTATTTTTTTATTTTTAGTAGAGACGGGCTTTCACCACGTTGACTAAGCTAGTCTTGAACTCGTGACCTCAGGTGATCCACCTGCCTCAGCCTCGCTAAGTCTAAGTATGCTATTTTAGAAATCTGGTTGTATAATCTTGGGTAGTTTCTACTTCTAACACTGATGTTGAGCAAACCCAGTATTCAGGAACCACTTGGTACAAGTTAATTTTTTTTTTTTTTTTTTTTTTAGACGGAGTCTCACTTTGTCGCCAGGCTGGAGTGCAGCCATGCTATCAAGGCTCACTGCAATCTCCGCCTCCCAGGTTCAAGTGATTCCCCTGCCTCAGTCTCCCGAGTAGCTGGGACTACAGGCGCGTAACACCATGCCCAGCTAATTTTTTTGTATTTTAGAAGAACAGGTTTTAACCATGTTGGCCAGGATGGTCTGGATCTCCTGACCTCGTGATCTGCCCTCCTCGGCCTCCCAAAGTGCTGGGATTAAAGGCATGAGCCAATGCACCCAGCCCAAGTTAATATTATTGATCAACCACCTTCCTTAGCCCAGGAACTACGTCTTTTAGTCCATTTGTTCTTTCTGTGAATTAGCTTCCCTCCAGACTTACCACATTTGACTTGTTCGCTTTCTTTGTTCCTATCTTCTCAAATGAGATGGCCTATATTACTTATTTAATTTATTTATTTCGAGACAGAGTCTTGCTTTGTTGCCCAGGCTGGAGTGCAATGATGCAATCTCAACTCACTACAACCTCTGCCTCCTAGGTTCAAGCAATTCTCCTGCGTCAGCCTCCCAAGTAACTGGGATTACAGGCGCCTGCCACCGTGCCCAGCTAATTTTTTGGTTTTTTTTAGTAGAGATGGGGTTTCGCCATGTTGGCCAGGTTGGTCTCGAACTCCTGACCTCAGGTGATCCACCCGTGTTGGCTTCCCAAAGTGCTGGGATTACAGGCATGAGCCACTGTGCCCCGCCTGCTTATTTTTATTAAGTTACAAGTTCTTCCATCTTCTTTGTCATCATCCTTATCTGGGTGGGTCACAATTCATATTTTGCTCTTGGTAACACACATTTTTTTTTTCTTGGTAGAAATAGGTCTTGTCTTGAACTCCTGACCTCAAGCAATCCTCTTGCCTTGGCTTCCTAAAGTGCTGGTATTACAGGTGTAAGCCACCGTGCCTGGGGTATTTTTAATATGATGTAACAGTTCAGAAAAATGTCATCTCCCCTTCTTTCACATGTCATGTATAAGTCCTTGCAATCCATTACCCAGATTTACTCTGTATTCCCAATTTTGAGAAATCATAAATGCATCATCTATCTCAAATAGTGAGTTATCTATCTCAAATAGTGGGCTTTTCCTCAAAATGAGTTCTTTTTCAGTGCAGCTTTTAGCTTATTAAATTACCTGTCTAAAAGTGACTGCAAAGAAATATAAAGGATCCACTGGTAATTTCTTTTTATTAAAAAAGAATACTTTTTATATTTCCTTTTAAAATAGCTTTCAACCAGAATTGTCTAGGAGAGGCAAAGATATAACCTGTTCATCTGGTACCACTATCACCCACAGAATATGATATGAGTTCTGAGCTTTTCCGATTAAAGACCTTGTACTTTTGTTCTTTTATTTATTTATTTAATTTTATTTAATTAATTAATTTTTTTGAGTCAGAGTCTTGGTCTGTCACCCAGGCTGGAGTGCAGTGGCATGATTGTGGCTCACTGCAACCTCTGCCTCCTGGGCTCAAGTGATTCTCATGTCTCAGCCTCCCCAGTAGCTGGGACTACAGGCATGCACCACCAAGCCTGGCTAATTTTTGTATTTTTGGTAAAGATGGGGTCTTGCTGTATTGCCCAGGGTAGTCTCAAACTCCTGACCTCAAGTGATCCACCCACCATGGACTCCCAAAGTGTCAATTGCAGGCGTGAGCCACTGTGCCCAGCAGGAATTTGTCTAATATTCTTCTCATGATAGACTGGGCTTAGGGGTTTGGGGAGGATGATCACAGAGGTAAAGTGCCATTCTCAGCACATCATGCCAAGGGTACATTGTTAATACTGGGCTTGATCACCTGACTGAAGGGTATTTGTCAGATTGCACCACTGTAAGTTCTTTTTTTTTTTTTTTTTTTGAGACAGGGGGTCTTGCTCTGTTGCCCAAGCTGGAGGGCAATGGTGCGATCACAGTTCACTGCAATCTCAATCTCCTGAACTCAAGCAATCCTTCCACCTCAGCCTCCCCAGGCTGGTCTTGCACTTCTGGCCTCAAGCAATCCTCCCTCCTTGAGGTGTACTGAGCCAGCTTAAGGGTACAGCTAGGAAAAATCCAAGGCACAGATGCATCTGGCTGCTTTTTCCAAAGAGGTTCGCAGGAAGTTCAGTATTTATACATTTTTCTTAAATCAAGGGGGTGGCAGTGAGCAAATAGTTACCTACTTGTGACACTTTAGTTGGTGCTCAGTAAATCTACAGTTTACATAAGATAAGGTAAACCTTTGAAGAAAAGGGGCATGAGGCTGGGCACGGTGGCTCACGCCTGTAATCCTAGCACTTTGGGAGGTTGAGGTGGACGGGTCATGTGGAGACAGGAGTTCGAGACCAGCCTGGCCAACATGGTGAAACCCCGTCTCTACGAAAAATACAAAAAATAGCCGAGTATGGTGGAAGGCGTCTGTAATCCCAGCTACTTGGGAAGCTGAGGCAGGAGAATCACTTGAAGCCAGGAGGCAGAGGTTGCAGTGAGCTGAGATTGCACCACTGCACTCCAGCCTGGGCAACAGAGTGAAACTCCATCTCAAAAAAAAAAAAAAAAAAGTGGACCTGAAGCTACATCTTTCTACTACTAAAAACCTAACACGAGCAATTTAGTTTCAGCAAACAACACCATCTGTCTCTCAGTTGGCTCCTGTGCCCCTTTGAAATACTCTTATGGAAGCAGATTTTGTTTTGTTTTGTTTTTTAGTACTTCCTTACTTTCTTAACCTATACAGTTTTGTTTATTTGTTTGTTTAAAGATAGGGTCTGGCTCTGTTACCCAGTCTGTAGTGCAGTGGCATAATCACAGCTCACTGCAAACATGACCTCCTGGACTCAAGTGATCCTCCCATTTCAGCCTCCAGAGTAGCTGGGACTACAGGCATGCACCACCATACCCAGCTGCTATTTTGTTGTATTTATTTTTCATAGAGACAGGGTTTTGCTCTGTTGCCCAGGCTGGTCTTGAACTCCTGGCCTCAAGTAACCCTTCTATCCCCATCTTCCAAAGTGCTGGGATTACAGGCATGAGCCACTGTACCCGGCCATCACGTCAGCCACTTCTTTAAAGAGACTCGCACTTTTGTAAGCTCAAAATAGCTGTTTTGTTTTGTTTTTTTCTTTTCTGAGACAGAGCCTTACTCTGTTGCCCATGCTGGAGTGGCAAGATCTCAACTCACTGAAACCTCTGCCTCTGAGGTTCAAGTGATTCTCCTGCCTCAGCCTCCTGAGTAGCTGGGATTACAGGCACACACCACCAGCCCAGGCTTATTTTTGTATTTTTAGTAGAGATAGGGTCTGACCATATTGGCCAGGCTGGTCTCAAGGTCCTGGCCTCGAGCAATCCACCCGCCTCGGACTCCGAAAGTGCTGGGATTACAGGCTAAGCCATCACGCCCAGCCTCAAAATAGCTCCTTAATGAGCCACTCCAAACGTTAAAACTGTTGTACAGTATCTAGGGGTATCCCAAAATAAAAGGTAGAAAAATGTTTAATACATGACATAACTGGCCGGGCTTGGTGGCTCACGCCTGTAATCTCAACTCTTTGGGAGGCTGAGGCGGGTGGATCACTTGAGGTCAGGAGTTCAAGACCAGCCTGGCCAATATGGTGAAACCTTGTCTCTACTAAAAATACAAAAAAATTCGCTGGGTGTATTGGCATGTGCCTGTAGTTCCAGCTACTCGGGAGTCTGAGGCATGAGAATGGCTTGAACCGGGGAGGCGGAGGTTGCAGTGAGCAGAGATCACACCACTGCACTCCAGCCCGGGCAACGGAGGGAGACTCTGTCTCAAAAATATATATACACACACACACAAAATAATTATTTGCATTTTCATAAAGATCAAAATCAGAGAAGTACAAATAGCTGACTACAAAATAGCATATATATTATATGTTCTGATACGTATAAAAATATATTTAATCATATTCATAGAAATAAATTGTGAGTTATGTACATCAACCCAAACATGATTCTCTATTTCTGTAATAGAGGTAGTTTTTACAAAAAGCATGTATTTCTTTCTTTCTTTTTTTTTTTTTTTGAGATGGAGTCTTGCTCTATTGTCAGGCTGGAGTGCAGTGGCATGATCTCGGTTCACTGCAATCTCCACCTTGTGAATTCAAGTGATTCTCCTGCCTCAGCCTCCTGAGTAGCTGGGATTTCAGGCATGCAGCACTATGCCCAGCTAATTTTTGTATTTTTTTAGTAGAGACAAGGTTTTACCATATTGGCCAGGCTGGTCTCGAAGTGATCCACCTTACCTCAAGTGATCCACCAGCCTCAGCCTCCCAAAGTGCTGGGATTACAAGTGTGAGCCATTGTGCCCCGCCAACATTACTTTTGAAGTCAGAAACAATTATAAAGGAATTAAATAAACATACAAGGCCAAAACACAGTTTTGTAAAATGTAGCATTAGCTAAAAAGTAAAACAAGGAAAGCAATCATAGATGAACTAGGATTTGAGGTTTGTTTGGGGAGTAAGGACCAACTAATGCTAAAAGTGGTAACTTAAAGGGTTACCCAGAAAGAATTTTTTTTTCTGGAAAAGAAGTAATTTCACTTTGATATTAAGGGCTTGGATGCTAATAACTATTTTACGAATATTATTTCCCTACTGTAGAGTTTGGGTAAACTGTCAAGAGGTGGGGGCAATCTCTGGAATTTAGAAATAAAGGGGGCTGTTATAGTGATTCATGGTTGGCACCCTTCACGCTCGATCACATTTCCAACCAGAGTTAAGAGGAACATGATGAGAGTGAAGGAATTTCATGAGTTAGAGCAGTGGTTCTCAAACTTTTCAGTTTCTTTACACGCTTAAAAATTACTCTAGCTGGGTGCAGTGGCTCCCGCCTGTAATCCCAGCACTTTGGGAGGCCCAGGCGGGCAAATCACCTGAGGTCAGGAGTTCAAGACCAGCCTGACCAACATGGTGAAACCCCATCTCTACTAAAAATACAAAATTAGCTGGGCGTGGTGGCACGTGCTTGTAATCTCAGCTACTCGGGAGGCTGAGGCAGGAGAATAGCTTGAACCTGGGAGGCGGAGGTTGCAGTGAGCCAAGATCGCACCATTGCACTCCAGCCTGGGCAACAAGAGCGAAACTCCATCTCAAAAAAAAAAAAAATTATCGAGGACTTAGAAGAGCTTATGTTCATGTGGGTTATATCTATTGTATTATGCCATTCTTGTATTGTTATAATGAAATACCTGAGACTGTGTAATTGATGAAATAAAGAGGTTTAATTGGCTCATGGTTCTGCAGGCTGTACAAGAAGCACGATCCTGGCATCTGCTCAGTGTCTAGGGAGGCCTCAGGAAACTATCTATCTATAAATAGTTATTGTATTAGAAATTTAAAGGATAAAAATTTTTAAATTACTGATTAATTTTAAAAATAATAAACCAAACACATTTAACATAAATTGCATGCTTTTATGAAAAATAACCATATTTTCCAAAATAAAAAAAATTTGATCAGAGGAAAAGGATTGCTTTTGTATTTTTGCAACTCTCTAAATATTTGATTTAATAGAAGATAGCTAGGTTCTCTATGGTTGAAATATATGAAGAAACTCAGGCCTTTGAAAGAAAATTAAATAGTCTTTTTGGATAATTATGGATATTCTTCTTTGATACTATAGTGAAATTCAACAAGTGGTAATTTCTTCTTCTTTTCTTTTCTTTTTTTTTTTTTTTTTTTTTTGAGAGAAGGTCTGCCTTTATTGCCCAGGCTGGGTGCAGTATGGCGTGATCTTGGCTCACTGCAACATCTGCCTCCCAGGTTCAAGTGATTCTCCCACCTCAGCCTCCCAAGAAGCTGTGACTACCAGCACACACCACCATGCCTGGCTAAATTTTGTATTTTTTGTAGAGATGGGGTTTTGCTATATTGTCCAGGCTGATCTCAAATTCCTACACTCAAGAGATCTGCCCACCTCAGCCTCCCAAAGTGCTGGGAGGCATGAGCCACCAAGTCTGTCAATTGTTCTTTCAAGTAAAAATGGCCTTCCATTGTAATGGCCAGATGGGTTCTTCTTGGCTACTGCACAGACAAAATTCACCGAGACCAAGGTATTGCAGTAGAGAAAGTGTTTAATTGACCCAAGGCCAGTCACATAGGAGAACTGGAGTTATCACTCAAATCAGTCTCCCCCTGGGTTGGAGGTTGGGGTTTTTATGGACAATTTGGTGAGCAGGGGACTAGAGAATGGGTTCTGCTGATGGGTTGGGGATGGAATCATAGGGGTGTGGAAAACAGTCCTTGAGTGCTGAGCCTGCCTCTGGGTGGGGCCATAGGACCAGTTCTGAGTCATGAGTCACGAGTCCAGGTGGGGTCAGTCTGAAAAATATCTCAAAAAGCAATCTAAAGTTGTACAATACTGATGTTATTTATAGGAGCAACTGGGGAAGTCACAAATCTTGTGACCTCTGGCCACATGACCCCTGAGCAGTAAGGGAGTATATTAATAGAAATATGCCTACACTTTAGCAAAGTTCACACCCCTCCCATAATCCTATTCTTGCTGCTTTTCATTAGTCTTCCAAAGGTGGTTTTTCATCCCTAAGCAAGAGCAGGGGTAGTTTTAGGGAGGAACTTAGCTTTCAAGTTAAACCATAAACTAACTTCCTCCCCAAATTAAGTTGGCCTATGCCCAGGAATGACCAGGAACACCTTGGAGGTCAGAAGCAAGATTAAATCAATGAGGTCAGATTCCTCTTACTATCATGTTTTGCAAAGGCAGTTTCACCATGAAAAATGCAGGTAGTTCAGCCTGTAAGTCAACCACACAAGTGCTTTTCTTCAAGACAGCCATCCCACTTTGGCATGCAGAAGTGCATGTGTACTTCCCATTTCTTCACACAGAGTATTAGAAAGACTTGTATTCAAGGGCCAAAATTTAATAAAATTAATGCTTCCGCTTCATCCAGGATATTCCTAAATCAATAGCCTTAAAAACTGGGAATGTATGGCAGTGAAGAATACAGCGATCCAATGACCACCCGGACAGGTTGGTGGCACTGTCTTGATCCCTGCTAAGGCATCAATAGTGTCCGTATTCCTTTGCACCATCAGTACAAAAACAAACTCAGTCAAAAAGACAGAGGAGGCCAGGCATGGTGGCTCACTCCTGTAATCCCAGAACTTTTGGGAGGCTGAGGTGGGCAGATCGCTTGAGCTCAGGAGTTCCAGAGGAGCCTGGGCAACATAGTGAGACCCCATGTCTACCAAAAATACAAAAATTAGCTGGGTGTGGTGGCGCACGCGCCTGTAGTCACAGCTGCTTCGGAAACTGAGATGGTACACTCGCTTGAGCCCAGGAGTTTGAGGCCGCAGTGAGCTATGATCAGGCCACTGCACTCCTGCACTCCAGCCTCAGCGACAGAGGGAGACCCTGTGTCAAAAACAAAAACAAAACAAAACAAAAAGCAGGGGGGGCCTGACACGGTGGCTCAGGCCTGTAATCCTAGCACTTTGGGAGGCTGAGGTGGGTGGATTGCCTGAGCTCAGGAGTTCAAGACCAGCCTGGGCAATGTGGTGACATGGTGAAACCCTGTCTCTACAAAATACAAAAAATTAGCCGGGTGTGGTGGCGGGCTTCTGTAATACCAGCTACTCGGGAAGCTGAGACAGGAGAATCACTTGAACCCGGGAGGTGCAGGTTGCAGTGAGCTGAGATTGTGCCGCCACTGCATTCCAGCCTGGGTGACAGAGCAAGACTCTGTATCCAAAAAAAAAAAGGACCAGACATATTGCATTGTTAACAAACTAGTTGTTAACCTTATGACCTCTGTAAAGGTCTCAGGGATTTCCAGAGGTCTGGGGACCACACTTTGAGAATCACTAGATTAAAAGGGGGAAAACATGGGAGGAAAAAAAGGTCACATAATGGAAACATACTGTTGGATTGAATTTCGTATATAAAAACCCTTTACTGAAATAAAGAGTAGAGACTTCAAGTACCAAGAGAAGCAGATTAGAAGAGGAGGAAGGCTCTAGGGACTGATCAGGTCTGGAGGCAGGGTTTTAAATGGGCCTTGAAGGGTTCGTGCAGTTTGGAAGGAAGGGATGGGAGGGAAAAGCTTGCTGAATCGTATAAATGAACAAGACCCTGATGGTGAGCTCTTGAGGATATGAAAGGCAAAAAGCACTAAGGCCGGGCTTTTGTTCCTCTGTGGCCCTGCATATATGAGGAGGTGATGAGTAATTCTATATTTTTATCAGCTTTACCGTTTAAAACTCCAAGGGAGGAAAACCCTTCAAACTGATAGGCTTGGGGCTTGGTGAAGGTGGGGTATTAGTGAAAAAGATGTGAAGTTTCTTTATCGAAAATACATGTATGTCCAAGAAATTCTCTGTAGATAAAAACTAACAAGAAAAAGAGTTTGTCAGAGAGGAAAAGTAGTTTTGCTAATTTATTTTTGATCATTTGCAAAGCCCATGGAAGTGTGTGGCAAGAGGATTGTGGTGTCTTAGGATATTCACATAGGTCTGAAACAAGGAAAACATACTTCTGTTGAAAGCACCATTCCAACATATTGTTATTAGCAGTCCCTGAACTAACGGGTAGTGGGTGGGTACTGTGTCCATCAGCTCAGCGAACCGCAATTGCCTCATTGACAGCAAGCCCAGCAAGGAATCACTTGGAATATTAATTTCCGTGGCCTTTCGCAATCACACGAAGCTTGGCTCCCTGCGCTTGCCGTAACGCGGCCTGTACCATTGCTTTCCGGGTGGCGGGGGGGATTTGGCAGCAGCGGAAGAAGGAGACCGGAGGGTGTGTGTTGGGCAAAGCCGGAGGCAGAGGAGGACGATTGTTTTACGGATCCCGTGATCGGCCCGTCCTTCTCCCCTTTCCCCCCCTCCCTACCGCCCCTGTCCCGCCGGGGAGCGGCGGCGGCCTTGGACTTTGCTGTCTTTCCTCGCGGAGACAGGTGAGTGTCGGCGCGCGGGCTCCCCGGGCTTCGCTCCCCACCCCCCGCGTCTCCGGGGCCGGTGGCGGCGGCCGGCCGGGGAGGCGGCCTCGGCGCACAGTAATGGCAGCGCTGTGAGCAGGGGAACGCGAGCTGACAGCCGCCGCCGCCGCCGCCTCCGCCCACCTTCCTCGCCGGGGCTTCGTCTTTCACTCCTTCGGGCTGCCTCCCCCTCCCCTTGTCCCCTGCCCCTTGCCCTGCTTCTGCAGAAGGTAACCCCGCTGAGGGTCGGGGAGCCGGGCTGCAGGCGCCGGGAAACTTCCCTTCCCGGTTAATGGGTGGCGGGGCTGGGGCGGAGGAGAGGAGTTGGGGGCGACGAGGTGTGGGGAGAGGGATGAAAGGGGGAGGCCCGGGAAGATGGTATCCTGTAAGTGACCTCGGCTCCCCAGAGCGCTGACCCGTAAGCCCTGCCACCCCCTGGACTGGATCCCGGGCCTCCCCAACCCGATCTTGGCCGCCTCTCCCGCGGCCCCATTTTCCTTCGAAGGAGGGAAGGTGAGAGTGCGTGTATTCTTCTACATATTTACGTGCTCACACGAATACACAACTCTGTGTGTTTGTGTGTGTGTGTGGGGGGGGGCATCTCATGCATCCTTACCCCGAGTGTTTTCACTTTTGTTTCCGCAGACTGCAAAGATTGATAGCTTTGGGGAGGAGTATCCTACGTGCATGCTAGACTTCTTGTCTCAACCCTTAGGGTCTGGTGAAATAAGATCCTCACACGCTTTCTAGCACTTGCTTACCCTCTAGAGAGTCTGGACCATTCCCTACCATTACGTGCATGCAAATAAAACATCTGTGAATTGCAGACTGTTATTAATGTTAAGTCCACATCTTTGCCCCATGGATTAATATTAACAGTTGAAGGCCAGTACCCTGGGCGTTTAAATTTTGAAGATAAGATGCAAAATATTAACGTTCGCTATAGATTGTGACTGTTCAACATAAACGTCTTTGAACTAGACCTGGCCAAGCCTACCTTCGTAGTAAAGTATCGGAAATAATCACTTTGATCTGATTGACAACTGACTACATAATAATCGCTTAAAAACATTCAAAACACTGTTGCCTACCCTTTAGAATCTTACATTCCTTTTCAAGACAGACACATGAACAAATGAGCTATACTTTGCTTCTTTTGCCCTTATACAGTATCTGGAAGATCCTTCCAAAAGAGTCGCGTGAGATAAGAGAAGTACACAGTTTTTTTGTTTTGAGATGGAGTTTTGCTCTTGTCACCCAGGCTGGAGTGCAGTGGTGCGATCTCGGCTCACTGCAACCTCCGCCTCCCGGGTTCAAGCAATTCTTCTGCCTTAGCCTTCCATGTAGCTGGGATTACTGGCATGCGCCACCATGCCCGGCTAATTTTGTATTTTTAGTGGAGATGGGGTTTCACCATGTTGGCCAGGCTGGTCTTGAACTCCTGACCTCAGGTGATTCGCCTGCTTAGGCCTCCCAAAGTGCTGGGATTACAGGCCTGAGCTACTGCGCCCAGCCCACAGTGTTTTGAATTACTTGTTTTTTTCAATTGCTGTTTATGAGTTGGGGGAACATTTCTACAATGTGCATGCACATAGCGTGGGAAAAATTCCTTTTCAATTGCTTTTTGAGTATTTGGATGTTCTCCTGCATCTGAAATACTCTTCATTCTCCATCCTTGCTGGTGGCTTTCAGTGTTCTATAAATGTGAAGATTATCCATGTCTTTTACCCTCACCAGTTTGTCACTAGATTAAACGTTATGGACCTTCTTTAAAGTCATTTTTGCGTTGTCTGGCAGTTGACAGATATTTATTAAGCACCTGGTTTATTTGTCAAGCAGGGCTGCAGGCATTAAGGTTACAAGGGTAAACAAGACACATTACATTTCTTTTTTTTTTTTTTTTTTTTTTGAGGCGGAGTCTCGCTCTGTCACCAGGCTGAAGTGCGGTGGCACGATCTGGGCTCACTGCAACCTCCCAGTTCAAGCAATTCTCCTGCCTCAGCCTCCTGAGTAGCTGGCACTACAGGCGCACGTCACCACGCCCAGCTAATTTTTGTATTTTTAGTAGAGACTGGGTTTCAACATGTTGGCCAGGGTGGTCTTGATCTCTTGACCTCATGATCCGCCCTCCTCAGCCTCCCAGAGTGCTGGGATTATAGGCGTGAGCCACCACACCTGTCCAACCCATTAAATTTCTATCCTCTTGGAGTGTCACTTCTGGCTTGGGATGGAGAGACAGACAGTATATAAGAAATAATCTCAGAGAATAAGTGCTGTGTGGGAAATAAGGTAAGGAGTTGTGGTAGTGATTGGGAGATTACTTCAGATACTGTAACCAGAAAAGAACTTCCTGAGGTGAAGTTTGAAATTCTGAGGGAACAGTTTTCCTATTTTAGGGAGGAACAAATGGAAAAACCCTGAGGTGCTATCAAACTTGGATTGAACAAACTGAAATTGGCTTAAGGTGGACCCTAGTAAGAGATTAAAGGTGGGTCCTAGCCAGGGGCTGGATCATGTTGGCTTTGTTCTTAGATACATTAAAAGGCTTTTGGAACTCTTCTAAACTGAGAGGTCTGATTGAGAATCAGACTGTTGATTGGAGAAGAGAGACACAAGGAGACCAGTGAGAAGAGCAGTGGCTGTGGAGGGTTAAGGTACAAGTGAAAACGTTTTGAGATTTATTTTGGAGTTGAAGATACTTATTGAAATTGTCATGTTTTGGATGAGCATGCAGTTGGGATGGGTCAATTCTGGGTTTTTGGCTTCTGCTGGAGGATGATGATGCTGTGTACTGAGATGAAGAAGAGGTTGGGGGAAGCAGGCTGTTGTATGGGATGGGGTTGGATTGGACATGTTAAGTTGGATTTCGTTGTTCAAGTGGAGGTGAGAAGTAGGTGATTGGAAATAAGTGTGGAACTTAGAGGTTAAGGAGTGATTCAGCCATCCAACGAGGGCTTCTCAAGCACCAGCTTTAAACCAGATGTGTGGATATAGTGGTTAAAAAATTTCTGGCTTCATGGAACTTAAGTTCTAGTGAAGAGAGGAAAATGGATATGGAGAGTCATCAGCATTTATTTATTGGTATACTAATGTTTTGAACAAAAACTGTATTCACATGGCTCAAAATTTAAGATGTTAGTCTGGGCAACATGGTGAGACCCCATGTCTACAAAAAATAATTTAAAAAACATTAGCCAGGCGTGGTGGCGCACGCCTGTAGTACCCGCTGTTGGGAAGCTGAGGCCAGATGACCAGGTTGGAAGTGGCAGTGATCTGTGATTGCACCACTGCACTCCAGCCTGAGTGACAGAGTGAGACCCTGTCTCTAAAACAAACAGAAAACCAAAATATAAAATTGTCAGTAGGGAATAGAATGAAAATCTCCCTCCACTTCTTGTACCCTTGTCATCCAGCTTTCCTTGGAGCCAAACATTGTTAGCTGTTTCTTAGATCTCCTTGGAAAAAAATATTTGTGGACATATAAGCAAATATTGTTCCCACTTTGCAGAAACAGTAGTACACTTTACTTTGACATTTGTATTTTTTAGAGTGTTAAATAGTAGTTAAGTTATGAAATAGGATGAGAACACAGAGAATGTAGAAAGAGGATAAAACTGTGGAGTACTGCAGCATTTTCTGATTTGGTCCCTGCCCTTGTTAAGTTCATTTATTTATTTATTTATTTATTTTGAGATGGTGTTCGCTCTGTCACCCAGGCTGGAGTTTGTATTTTTAGTAGAGATGGGGCTTCACCATGTTGGCCAGGCTGGTCTCGTTAAGTTTTTGACCTACAGGTGTGGAGTTGTTTAAAAAGCTGTTTCCGGCCACGTACGGTGGCTCAGGCCTGTAATCCCAGCACTTTGGGAGGTTGAGGTGGGTGGATCACTTGAGCCCAGCAGCTTGAGACCAGCTTGGGCAACATGGCGAACCCTGTCTGTACAAAAAATACAGAAATTAGCCAGGTGTGGTGGTGCAGGCCTGTAATCCCAGCTGCTAGGGAGGTTGAGGTGAGAGGATTACTTGAACCCAGGAGGTGGAGGCTGCAGTGAGCCACTATACTCCAGCCTGGGTGACAGAACTAAGAGAGTTTCATTGTGTTGCCCAGGCTGGTCTCGAACTCCTGGGCTCAAACAATTCTCCCACCTCAGCCTCCCTAAGTGTTAGGATTACAGGCGTGATCCACTGTGCCCGGCCTTGTTTCTTGTTTCTTTTTTTTTTTTGAGACAGAGTCTCTCAGTCTGGAGTGCAGGGGCTCAATCTCAGCCCACTGCAGCCTCCACTTCCCGAGCTGGGACTACAGGCGCCCTCCACCACTCTCAGCTAATTTTTGTATTTTTAGTAGAGACAAGGTTTCACTATGTTGGCCAGGCTGCTTGTTTCTTTATTTTTATCTTTTTCAACTTTCATTTTAGATTCAGGAGGTACACACGTAGGTTTGTTACCCGGGTATATTGTGTGATGCTGAGGTTTAGGATACAATGATCCCGTCACTCAGGTGCTGAACATAGTACCCAACCGTTTTTCAACCCTTATGCCCTTCCTCCCTCGCTGTAAAAAGCTGTTTCTTTTTGTGAGACTTTACAAAAGTTTGCACTGTTTGTTTTGTGTTCTACCTTATCTGCCTGTTCTTTGTGTATTCTGGAAAAATGTCTGGCTGTGATTGAAAGCAATGTTTCATATGCACTATCAGTTTTTTTTTTTTTTTTTTTTTTGAGACAGAGTCTGGCTGTGTCTCTGGTTCCCGGGTTCACACCATTCTGCCTCAGCCTCCCGAGTAGCTGGGACTACAGGCGCCTGCCACCATGCCCGGCTAATTTTTTGTATTTTTCATAGAGATGGAGTTTCACCGTGTTAGCCAGGATGGTCTTGATCTCCTGACCTTGTGGTCCGCCTTCCTCAGTGTCCCAAAGTGCTGGGATTACAGGTGTGAGCCACACCGCGCCTGGCCCTAACAGTTATTTTTATTTTTATTTTTTTTTGGGACGGTGTCTCGCTTTGTCGCCCAGGCTGGAGCGCAGTGGCGCGATCTCAGCTCACTGCAAGCTCTGCCTCCTGGGTCTACGCCATTCTCCTGCCTCAGTCTCCAAAGTAGCTGGGACTACAGGCAGCCGCCACCATGCCTGGCTAATTTTTTGTATTTTTTTAGTAGAGACGGGGTTTCACTGTGTTAGCCAGGATGGTCTCAATCTCCTGACCTTGTGATCTGCCTGCCTCAGCCTCCCAGAGTGCTGGGATTACAGGTGTGAGCCACCACACCCAGCCAGTTATTTTTTATTATTATTATTTTTTGAGATGGAGTCTCACACTGTCACCCAGGCTGGAGTGCAGTGGCACAATCTCGGCTGACTGCATTCTCCGCCTCTGGCATTTAAGAGACTCTCCTGCCTCAGCTTCCCAAGTAACTGGGATTACAGGCGCCCACCACCACCCCCAGCTAATTTTTTTGTATTTTTAGTAGAGACGGGGTTTCACCATGTTGGCCAGGCTGGTCTTGAACTCCTGACCTCATGATTCACTTGCCTCGGCTTACCAAAGTGCTGGGATTACAAGTGTGAGCCACCAGGCCTGTCCAACTATCAGTTGTTTTTAAGTAAATTGATGACAGGATCAGCCCTAGAATCTTAATATTATGAGGACTTATGACTGGCTCATGTTAAATCTTGGAAAAACAAGCAGCGATTTGGAATGTTATGAGATTTATAACAAGTTATTGATCTATGAGATGTATGACTGAACCCTCTCTCAGTAATCAGTTAATCACAATATCTATTCAGAGTGATTTGGCTCTGTGCCTGGGTTTGAATCTTACTGGTAACGTATCTGTCATATTGCAGTTAGCATAATCTTTGGGTTACCTTTAAGAATGTATAGATTTCTATATCAGTACTTTATATTTGGCTTTTCATTGGGAAAGGCTTATTGGAGACAATCCCTTTGATTCTTAAAAGTTTTGAGACAGTAGTAGTGTTAGGTTAAGATTGTGGTGTTGGATCTGTAGAAACTTCCGGGGTGCCTTGAACCCTGTTGATTTTTCTTTTGGAGGAGGAGAGGTGGAATATTTCCTTTTGCTTTAAGCTTTGTTATTCTGGAGAATTAAAAATTCAGACTGATACTGTGTCTTGTTTGCTTGTTTGAGACAGAGTTTCACTCGTCACCCAAGCTGTAGTGCAGTGGCGCGATCTCAGCTCACTGCAACCTCTGCCTCCTGGGTTCAAGTGATTCTCCTGCCTCAGCCTCCCAAGTAGCTGGGACTATAGGTGTCTGCCACCACACCTGACTAATTTTTATATTTTTAGTAGAGATAGGGTTTTGCCATGTTGACCAGGCTGGTCTTGAACTCCTGACCTCAAGAGATCCGCCCTCTTTGGCCTTCCAAGGTGCTGGGATTACAGGTGTGAGCCACTGTGCCTGGCCTCTTTTATATAGTTTAACATTATAAATAATGTTAGTTACATCTATTAATTCAGTGACTTAGTCTTTCTCTATTGTAGGTTGCTTTTCAAAGAATGAAACATGGATTTGCCATATGTAAATTTTTAAAAATATCTCAGCCTTGTTTTAATTCAGTTGAAGGAGAGAAAGTACAGGCTATGCTCCAGGCTGGTTTTGAACTCCTTGGCTCAAGCAGTCCTCTTGCCTTGGTTTCCCAAAGTGTTGGGATTACAGCAGGCATGAGTCACTGTGACCCGCCTATGGTTTATAATCTAATCCTATCATTCATTATTTTGTTGCTCTGATTTGTTCCAGTTTTGACCTTTAGTTTAACTTGTGTCCTTTCGATATGCCCCCACCCTCTTTGTGGGGGGAAAGCACCTTCTATTTTCTGACATCATAGGTGTTCTAGGTTCAACTTGTATTTTTCCTGCTTCAGCCCTGGAATCAATCACTTTTCCAAGGAGGAGCTCTGGTTCCTTTTTTTGGAGAATGATATTTAGAAACCAAGATCTAAGTTCTATGTGTGCCCATTGCCACTGTGGTGTCATTCCTCCTAGGCCCTTCTCAGTGAACAGAGCTAGAAATATATGTATATTCAACCATGCATACACAAACATCTATGTTTATATCTTTTTATCTGCATGTATATGTGTGTTTGTGTATTCAAAACCATGAGTTTGTAAATGATACCTTTGATTACAACTCATTACCACAGGATTAATGCTTGCCTTTCCCCTTTATTTATAACTGCTATTTTCTGACGGTGGGAAATAGAAGATAGCTTTCTTTTTTTCTTTTTCTTTCTTTTTTTTTTTTTTTGAGATGGAGTCTTGCTCTCATGCAGGCTGGAGTGCAGTGGCTCGATCTTGGCTCACTGCAACCTTTGCCTCCTGGGTTCAAGCGATTCTCCTGCCTCAGCCTCCTGAGTAGCTGGGATTACAGGCACCTGCCACCACACCGACTAATTTTTGTATTTTTAGTAGAGATGGGGTTTCACCATGTTGGCCAGGCTGGTCTCAAACTCCTGACCTCAAGTGATCTGCCCGCCTTGGCCTCCCAAACTGCTGGGATTACAAGCATGAGCCACCATGCTCAGCCAAAGATACCTTTGTAATTATGTAAGTGTATAGTTACCAAAATAATGAATAATGTGACATCAAGAGAAAGATCCCCAAGTAGTCCTGAGCCTTCAGAAAAATTTTATCTCAAGATATTTCTCTTTTATTTGATAAAAGTCTGTCTGAACCAAAAATAGTATTTTGTCATCATAGTACCAAGTATTATTTTGATTAGAATGCATCCATTTAAAAATTTTTAGAGAGCATTTTGCAGTGAGATTCAGATACTTCTCTGACATCAGAACTTTGTACCTGTGATCTAGTTTTTAAGCACTTAAAACATACATGACATAAAATTTACCATTTTAACCGTCATTAAGGGTATAGTTTAGTGGTGTTAACTGCATTTACAGTGTCATTGTGACCCTCACCACCATTTCCAAAACCACCATTTCCAAAACTTTTTCGTTACTAGACAGAAACTGTACAACCATTAGGCAGTAGCTCCCCATTTCCCCTTCCCCCAGCATCTGATAACATCTCATCCTTCTTTCTGTCTTTATGAATTTGCCCACATACATACTTTTGTTTAAATAGGACCATAAGATATTTTTCACCTTGTGTCTAGTGTATTTGACTTAGCGTAATATCTTCAAGGTTAATCCTTGTCGTAGCATATATCGGAACTTTTTATTTTGAGAGACAAGGTCTGGCTCTGTTGCCCAGGCTGGAGTGCAGTGGTGTGATCATAACTCACTGCAGGCAAATTTTTTTTTTTTTTCAGTCAAGATGATGTCTTGCTGTGTTCCCAGGCTGGTCTTGAACTCCTGAGCTCAAGTGATCCTCCCACGTTGGCCTCCCAAAATGCTGGGATTACAAACTTGATCCAACTCACTGGCTCTCTTTGGGATTGTAAACAGGAGGTGTCAAGAAAGTTGCTAGAGGGTTAATTGATATGCATCTGCCATAACTGTATCCCCTTTTTAATTATTCTTCCATGCCTGTGTCTTCTATAGCAGTGTCAGGACATAGGCAGGATTTAATGTATTATATAGCAGTCAGCAAATACAGTAGATTGTAGTGGTGCGGTCACATCTTGGGCTCAAGTGATCCTCCCATCCCAGCCTCCCTAGTAGCTGGGACTACAGGTGCATGCCACCACACCTGGCTGATCTGTTTGTATTTTGTACAGGCGGGGTTCACCATGTTGCCCAGGTTGGCTGCGAACTCCTGGGCTCAAGCAGTCTGCCCATCTTGGCCTCGCAAAGTGCTGGGATTGTAGGTATGGGCCACTGCACACAGCCAAAAAATTTGTTCTCAATGTTTTGATAATTTGTGTAAAGGCTGGTTGGTTCTAGCTTTGTCTAGTATTCATACACGATGGGCTTGCCTAGTCATGAAGGACTCAGAAATTCAAATTCTCTAATTTACCTGAGATCGGGGATACATATATGAGAATAGTTTTTTTTAAAAATGTCAGTTTCTTAAATTCGTTGACTAGATTATTGAACAAAAAATGAGAAAGCAAGTGAAAATGGCGTTAAACTTCAAGCTGATAAGAGCGATGTGAAAACTTAAGAAACAAAGTATAGGCTGTGCAGTCTTATGGGAGTCTAAAGTTCATTGCAGAGAGGGGTCTTTTATTCTGGTGCAGTGGGTTTATTTTTGGAAGCAGGTAGCTGCTTTTTTGTGACAAGATCTTGGTCTTTTGGCCCAGGCTGGAGTGTGGTGGTGCCATTGTAGCTTAATGTAACCTTGAAGTCTCCTTTGCTCAAGCCAAGCTCCCACCTTAGCCTCCTGAGTAGCTGGGACTCCCTGCGGGCGCATGTTACCAGAGGGCCCAGCTACTATAATTTTATTTTTTTTTAAAGACCAGGTCTGTCTATGTTGCTAAGGCTGTTTTCAAACTCCCAGGCTCAAGTGATCCTCCCACCTCAGCCTCCCAAAGTACTAGGATTACAGGTGTGAGCCACCACACCTGGGTGCAAATGGCTTCTGTAACTTATTGTATTATGAATACATTCCCTACTCCCCACCGTGTCACCCTTTTTGAGACTTCAAGATGTTTTCCTGCAGTATACATTTTGGCACACACCATATGTCTGTTCACTCTTTTTTCCCCAACTCATTTGTTTTTGTAAAAAACCTACTAGAAATTCTAGGCTGGGTGCGGTGGCACACGCCTGTAATCCTAGTAATTTGGGAGGCCAAGGCTGGTGGAAGCTTGAGCTCAGGAGTTCAAGACCAGCCTGGGCAACATAGTGAAACCCCATCTCTACAAATACAAAAAAGTAGCTCAGTGCAGTGGTGTGTGCCTGTAGTCCCAGCTGCTCAGGAGGCTGAGGCGGGAGGATCACTTGAGCCCAGGAGGTCAAGGCTGCAGTGAACCAGGATCACACCACTGCACTGGGTGACAGAACAAGACCCTGTCTCAAAAATAAATAAATAAATAAATAAATAAATAAATAAATAAATAAATAAAAATAGGAATTCTAAAGCCAGAAAGTCATGATGGAAATGTTGTTTATGGAGTACTTAGAGCTCTGTGGGTCAAACCTTAGTGCAACAAAAAACATTGCACCCTTAACCTCCAAATAAGAAAGGGCATTCTTAGTTACATCCAGTGGCTTGCTCATTTGATACAGCAAGATGAAAATGTTTAGATGCATTCTTGGAGCTTATTTTAATATTAAATGATGGCAACATATTTGGTCATTGTGCACCATTGGCAGCTTTGGGCCCACCTATGGAAATGGAAAATAATGCCAAGTTAATATGGTATTCCACTTCCCTGCCTCCCTTATTCACAGTTTTGTTTTCTGCATTTTAGTTACCCACGGTCAATGGGGTCTGCAAATATTAAATGGAAAATTTCAGAAATAACTCATAATTAAATTCTGTACTGTCCTCAGTAGTGTGATGAAATCTTGCACTGTCCTGCTCAGACGTGAATCATCCCTTTGTCCAGCATCTCTACGCTGTGGATGCCTCCTGCCATTAGTCACTTAGTAGCTGTCTTGATTATCAGATAGACTGTTGCAGTTTTGCAGTATTTGTGTTCAAGTCACCCTGATTTTACTTAGTAAGGGCCCCCAAAGTACAGGAGTAGTGATCCTAGCAATATGGATACACCAGAGAGGCTTCTGCCATAGAGTGCTTCCTTTACACGAAAAGTTGAAAGTTCTCAATGAGGAAAGAAAAAAATAATAGACTGAGATTGCTAAGACCTACTGTAAGCAGGTCTAATAAGAATTTCTTTTTCTTCACAATTATGAAAGAAAAGAAATTGTGAAGAAAGAAATTCTTACTAGTTTTGCTGTCAAATCTCAATCTGTAAAAGTGATAGTTATATCGTGTAATAAGTGCTTAGTTAATTTGGAAAAGGCATTACACTGGTGGGTGGAAGACATGAGCAGAGACAAGTTCCACTTGATGGCAACATACTGTGCCAGAAAGCATTGAGCCTATTTGAAGACTCAGCAAGGGATCCCCAGAGACGAATGACACCAAACCATTTACTCTAAGTCAGGGACTGTAACACATATTCAGGAATACAGAAGGTCAGTAGTAAGTAGCCCAATGCCGACCTTCCGATGCATGTGTCACTCACCTCACTTCATCTCATTACATAGGCATTGTATTGTCTCACACCTTCACAAGAAGGGCGAGTACAGCACAGTGAGATATTCTGAGAGACCATGGTCATGTAACTTTTATTATAGCATATTGTTATAATTGTTATATCTTACTGCTAGTTTTTGTTAATCTCTTACTGTGCTTGATTTATATAATAAACTTTATCATAGGTATGTATGTATATGAAAAAACATAGTTTCGGGCATTCCTGGGGATCTTGAAACGTATCCCCTTGGATAAGGCAGGGGACTGCTGTAAGGCTCTTTATTGGGTCTTCAGTATTTTCTCATTTTATGCATTTGGAAGGAAATCTGCTCTAAGCCTATTGAGTGGCATTTAAAAAACTAATTATGGTGTCTTAACTATCTGAAGTCAACTTAGACCACTCTATTGTATCTTACTGATAATTTTTGGATGCCAAATTTTTATTGGTGCTGCTGATCAGTACTGAAATAAATCGTCATTCAGGAGTTTTGTTCACTATAAAGAGAATCAAAATAGTAAGTGGTTAGCCATTTACATTATTGATAATTATACTTTTAGAAGGTAAGTAAAATACAAAACACCAAAATGCATCTTTTGAGATACTGTAACTTTTACCTGCTGAAATTATCTAAATTGTTTTTTTGCTCCAGCAAGTGAGTTCACAGGAACAAATCTCTTTATATGAAAAATGTCGGGCTGGGTGCAGTAGCTCACGCCTGTAATCCCAGCACTTTGGGAGGTTGAGGCAGGGGGATCACCTGAGGTTGGGAGTTTGAGACCAGCCTGACCAACATGGAGAAACCCCGTCTCTACTAAAAAAAAAAATACAAAATTACACCGGTGTGGTGGCGCAAGCCTGTAATTCCAGCTACTTGGGAGGCTGAGGCAGGAGAATTGCTCACACCTGGGATGTGAAGGTTGTGGTGAGCCGAGATCATGCCATTGCACTCCAGCCTGGGCAACAAGACAGAAACTCCATCTCAAAAAAAAAAAAAAAAATTCACCTGATCTTAACAAACATATATATTTTTTATTTCTGCTATTAGTAATTTAAGTTTTTTAGGGGTGGACATTTTGTCAGGCTATGTTAACACATCACATTTAGGGACAGTACCATGTGTTTTGTGAGCTCTCCTACAACTTTGGAAACCTAAAACTCACAGGAAAGTTAAGATTCTCAGAAGGGAAGGTTAGTAACGGCTTTCAGTTAGAGATGATGTGCTTTCTCCCCTAAATTTATGAAAATATTAATGTTTATGAGGAGTAGGATTTTTAAATTCCTTTATTATGGAAAATTGTAAACACATACAAAAAAAGAATATTGTAATAAATCCCCATGTCCCTTTTATTCATCCTTAACAGTTATCAACTCATGAGCAAGCTGTTTAATTGTGAAGCAGATTTCAGACAGCATATCATTACATCTGTAAATATATATTTTTAATATTATTTTTATTTCTTTTCTTTTTTTTTTTTTGAGACGGAGTTTCACTCTTGTTGCCCAGGCTGGAATGCAATGGCACGATCTCGACTCACCGCAACCCCCGCCTCCTGGGTTCAAGCGATTCTCCTGCCTCAGCCTCCTGAGTAGCTGGGATTATAGGCATGTGCCACCGTGCCCGGCTAATTTTGTATTTTTAGTAGAGACCGGGTTTCTCCATGTTGGTCAGGCTGGTCTTGAACTCGTGACCTCAGGTAATGCGCCTGCCTCGGCCTCCCAAAGTGCTGGGATTACAGGTGTGAGCCACCACATCTGGCCTCATTTTTATTTCTTTTTATTTTATTATTATTATTTTTTGAGACGGAGTCTTGCTCTGTTGTCCAGAGTGGAGTGCAGTGGCATGATCTTGGCTCACCACAACCTCCACCTCTCAGGTTCAAGCGATTCTCCTCCTCAGCCTCTTGAGTAGCTGGGATTATAGGCAGCCACCACCACACCCGGCTAATTTTTGTTTGTTTTTTTTGTTTGTTTGTTTGTTTTTGTTTTTTGTTTTTTTTTTTGAGACGGAGTCTTGCTCTGTTGCCCAGACTGGAGTGCAGTGGCTATTTTGTGGCCCTCTTCATTCACTTAGTAGAATGTTTTTGAGGGTCATCCATGTGATAGTGTGTATCAGTACTTCATTTCCTCGTATTGCCAAATAATAATTTATTGTATGGATATATTGCATTTTAACCATTTATCAGTTGATAGACACTTGAGCTATTTCAAGGGCCTTTATGAATAATACTACAGTGAACATTTGTGTACCAGTTTTTATGTGAATATGTTGTATTTCTCTTGGGAGTTTTATCTCGGCTCATTGCAAGCTCCGCCTCCTGGGTTCACGCCATTCTCCTGCCTCAGCCTCCGGAGTAGCTGGGACTACAGGTGCCCACAACCACACCTGGCTAATTTTTTTTGTATTTTTAGTAGAGATGGGGTTTCACCATGTCAGCCAGCTGATCTCGAACTCCTGACCTCAGGTGATCCACCCACCTTGGCCTCCCGAAGTGTTGGGCTTACAGGCGTGAGCCACCGTGCCTGGCCACAAATATACTTTTAAGAGAAAAAAGCAGATATATAACAATCTGAATAGTATACCATTTATGTAAAACAGATGAAAAAAATACCATGTTTATATTATGTAAAAGGGAGTAACAAATCACATATATGTATAAAATACACCCAGGAACATATAACATTTATTGCCTCATTCAATGGGAGGTGGCAATGAGGTCGTACACGGGAGTGGTGGGAGAGAGATTGAGATTTCAGAATTTTATGCTAAATGACCATATGGATGTATTGATACTTACTTCCACCTCATCCCCGTTAAATTGCTCTAAAATTTTTGGCAGGATTTTATAATTCATTGTTAAATGTATAGCAGCTTTATTGAGATATACGTCACATACCATTCAGTTTACCTATTTGAAATATACAATTTAATGGTTTTTAGTATATTCCCAGAGTTGTGCAACTATCATGACAATCAACTTTAGAGCATTTTCCTCACCCTGTTGGCAGTCATTTCCCATTTTCCCCCCAAGTTCCCTAGTCAACCACTCACATACTTTCTGTCTCTAGATTTGCCTATTCTTGATAATCTATATAAATAGATTCATACGTTATGTGGCTATTTTGTGGCCCTCTTCATTCACTTAGTAGAATGTTTTTGAGGGTCATCCATGTGATAGTGTGTATCAGTACTTCATTTCCTCGTATTGCCAAATAATAATTTATTGTATGGCTATATTGCATTTTAACCATTTATCAGTTGATAGACACTTGAGCTATTTCAAGGGCCTTTATGAATAATACTACAGTGAACATTTGTGTACCAGTTTTTATGTGAATATGTTGTATTTCTCTTGGGAGTTTTATTTCTCTTTATACTTCGGAGTGGAATTGCTGGGTCATATGGTAGCTGCGTTTTATAATTCACTTTTGTAATTATTATTGACAATCATGCATATTTAGAAATTATGCTGTGAGGAAATCAAATCTACAAGTGTTTTCAAATGTAATAAAAATGTTGCAAATATTGTATTAATGTTGACATAATGTTTTCTGGAAACAGGTAATTAAATATAAATTTTTATTTTGCAATTTTTAAAAATGTGGAGCGTGCGTGTGTGTGTGTGTGTGTGTGTGTGTGTGTGTGTGTGTGTGTGTGTGTTTTAGGGCCCATAAGTGGCCCTAGCCACTGGACCTGTGTGTCTAAAACCCCATTGTTGCAAGAGTGGAACTCACAAGGAAACTAAAAGGGACTGTGGTGATTTCAGGAGATTTGGATTTTTGCAGTTAACTTGATGGGACACAATCTGAGTGCGCGTGGGAATCTCGTTAAGGCACAGGAATGAAGAACAAGACTGATAGATTTATGAGTTGTTTGACAGCTTGGGGGGTAGAAATAGTGTGACTGTGGTCCTTTTTCTTCTTTGCCCTGTCTCTTTCACATCCTTGTGTAAACTTTCCCTGAATGTTATTATTAAACATTTTTAAGAAACTTAATTTTCCTAGTTATATGAGCTTTCTGCTGGGCAAGCAGAGAATCTTGACAGACTGTCTCAGCATACCTTCCTGCTATTGGTTTGTCAGTTTTTGGTGTGTTTCACGAGGCTGGTGCTTCTTGCACGTTGGCTTCCAGATTTGCTATCCATCCAAGCATGGATTGTAACTGTATTTTCCTATGGTACCAGAAATCTATCAGTCTCAACAGAGAAGTCAGTGTCAGTCTGATTCCATAAAGCAAAAAAAGTCTGTGCAACTGTTAAACTAATTTACAAGCAGTGTGTATAATATGATTCCATTTTATAAGAGGAGAAAGCGAATGTGAGGGGAGCATCGCTAGCTTTTTGGTACGCAGTTACAGAATTGTCCCCACTCTCAGAAACACTCAGGTAATTACAGTTCAGAGCGATGAAGTACTCTAATAGAGGAAAGTGTGGAGTTCTCAGGTAATACCTATGATAGGACACCTTACCTAGCTTAAATGGTCCAAGAAAGTTTCTTAAAAGCAGATGAAGGCCGGGCACAATGGCTCACACCTATAATCCCAGCACTTTGGGAGGCCAAGGCGGGCGGATCACTTGAGCCTCAGGAGTTCGAGACCAGCCTGGCCAACATGGTGAAACCCTGTCTCTATTAACAATACAAAAATTAGGGTGCGATGGCTCACGCCTGTAATCCCCCAGCTCCTTGAGAGGCTGTGGCAGGTGAATCACTTGAACGTGGGAGGTGGAGGTTGCAGTGCACTCGAGCCTGGGTGACAGAGGGAGACTCTGTCTCAGGAACAAACAAAAAAAAAGCTAGTGGACCAAGGTTAGACTATCAGTGGGAGTTAGGTGGAATGGGTGGAGGGGGCAGCTAAGGAAAAGATAAGCACTTTAGGTAGAGAAAATAGTAAGGGTAAAGGCAAGTGTATGAATCAGGCTGATGTGTTCAGTGATCTCTAAGCAGAGAGAAGTTCCTAGATTATGATGTCACAGTAGGGAGTACCAGGAGGAGAGGAAGCTTGGGTGCCATGTTGCAGTTGAGCCCAAACTGAATGCTGTCTGTAGAAGGAAACAACAAACTTTGTACTTTATGTACAGAGTAACATGGTCAACTTTTTGGCTTAGGTAGGTTATTTTTGTGTCTTTGATAAGGGCAAGATCTGAGATTCTGATCTTGAAGTCAAGAACTTTGTTTTGTCCACTGTATCCTCAGAGCTTGGAATGGTGCCTGGCAAGGAGTAAGTATTCACCAAGCATGTTAGTGAGGTAGCATGGTTGCACACAGCAGCCTAGAGCACCGGCCGCAGCACGGGTCTGAATCCTGATGCCACCATTACATAGCTTTGTGACCTTAAGCAAGTTTCTGAATCACTTGTGACTCAGTTTTCTTATTCAGAAAATGGGGAGAACAGGTCAGGCGCAGTGGCCCATGCCTGTAACCCTAGCACTTTGGGAGGCCAAGGTGGGTGGATCACTTGAGGTCAGGAGTTTGAGACCAGCCTGGCCAACATGGTGAAAAACCCTGTCTCTACTAAAAATAAAAAATTAGCCGGGTGTGGTGGCAGACGCCTGTAATCTCAGCTACTTGGGAGGCTGAGGCTGGAGAATCACTTCAACCCAGGAAGCAGAGGTTGCAGTGAGCCGAGATTGCGCCATTGCACCCCAGCCCAGGCTGACAACAGCGAGACTCCATCTCAAAAAAAAAAAGAAAAAGAAAAAGAAAAAAAAAAAGAAAAGAAAAGAAAATGGGGACAACAGTGGACCTACCTGTCAGAATGTTGGGAGGATTAAACGAGTTTGTACAGGGTACTTAGACTAGTGCTTGGCTTGCAGTATACACAATGTAAATATTAACTGTTACTATTTCTGCTGAGGGCCTGATTCCGGATCATTTGTAGGGCTATACAAGTATGGATGGATTCAGGAAATACTCATGTGCACAGTTGATGATAGGATGTAGTAAACAAGGAAGAGAAGGAGGCATGGTTAATTCCCTTATTTAGAGCTTAGGAAACTCAGTAGGTTCTCCCACCTCCTCCACTCTCACCTTCCCCTCAATTTTGCAGAGTAAAATCGCTGCTAATCCGTTATAGATAGTTCGGGAATGAGTTGAAGGCCAGGAGGTGGAGGCTTTGGAATGTTGAGGAAAGAGGATGTGGTTCAACAAGGCATACCCTCTTTTGGATATTTGGCTTTTCTCTGATTTTTTTCATTCTTTTCCATGGAGTCTATTCCTGGGATTCCTTGAGCTCTCTTCTCATCTGGAAACACAGAAGGGCCTCTCCCAGTCCGTGGCTGGTGGTGCGGCCGCCATCCTACCCGCTCCCTTTGCCCATTCTCTTTATGCATCATTCCCTCCTCCCCATTCTCTGCCTCCCCTTTCCCCTATGATGGGAGACGAGAAAAGATGTTTCATCCTTTTTTGGCCTTGGCTACAGACTAGGTTGGTGTCTTACAGTCCTGCTAATAAGGGGAGACATGAGGGAGGCTGTTAAAACATTTGCCAGAAAAATGTTCCTTTGAGCAATTACATTTAGCTTAGAAAGTTTCTCTTTTAATTTGGGACCCTTTTGTTCCAGAAACCAGCTAATTCCTAAATGCAGTTTGTCTGAGGCAGGAGTCTTTGAACTCCCTTAAAAGCCCATTCTGGGCCAGGTGCAGTGGCTCACGCCTGTAATCCCTGCACTTTGGGAGGCCGAGGTGGGCGGATCACGAGGTCAGGAGATGAAGGCCATCCTGGCTAACATGGTGAAACCCCGTCTCTACTAAAAATACAAAAAATGAGCCGGGCATGGTGGCGGGCGCCTGTAGTCCCAGCTACTCGGGAGGTTCAGGCAGGAGAATCACCTGAACCTGGGAGGTGAAGGTTGCAGTGAGCCGAGATTGCGCCACTGCACTCCAGCCTGGGCAACAGAGTGAGACTCTGTCTCAAAAAAAAAAAAAAGCCCATTAAGTTCACTGGAGCCAGGGATTCCATGCTAGAGCCATGCTTTTCATTAGAACTGGGAGGTAGATACCCCAAGAATCTGGGAAGGAGCCTTAAGCTCTCCACTGCAAACCTGACATTTCTGTGGAATCTTTTTTTTTTAATCTTAAAAGGTCATGTGAATTTTATATTCTACTCCATAATTCATCCCTGTTTGGTTTAATATAAATGTAAATTTCTTCCCTAATCTTATACTGATGCTCCAGGAAGGTAAAGCCTTTCATTTTCTTGTGTCTTCTCATATTCCCTTGCATGCTGCCTCATTCCCCACTTTCAGGAGTGCAAACCACAAGGATTTGGGGCCAAAACCTTTCGGTTGAATGTCCTGCATTATTTCCCATGATGGAAGTTGGCCTTTTGGTTAAGTGGGTCCCCGTTTCTTTCCCTCGCAATATTAAATGAGGACTATAAATCTTTGAAACTATACCCTTGATCATAAATAATTTGTACTAGAAGCTTTCCATTTCCTAGAGCTTGTAATGAATGTAAATAGTCTGTGAAATTTCTTGTCTGGATAGTCATGAAAAGATGGTAGCTAACATTTTGTTGTGTGCCGGGTTCTTTTCTCACTCCTTGCATATATCATGCTATTTAATTATGTAGTGCTTTAAAAACAAATAACTGGCCGGGTGTGATGGTTCATGCCTGTAATCCCAGCACTTTGGGAGGCCAAGGTGGGCGGATCACGAGGTCAGGAGATCAAGACCATCCTGGCTAACACAGTGAAACCCCGTCTCTACTAAAAAAAAATACAAAAAATTAGCTGGGCATGGTGGCGGGTGCCTGTAGTCCCAGCTACTTGGGAGACTGAGGCAGGAGAATGGCGTGAACCTGGGAGGCGGAGCTTGCAGTGAGCCAAGATCACGCCATTGCACTCCAGCCTGGGCGACAGAGCGAGACTCCGTCTCAAAGCAAACAAACAAAAAACAACAACAAAAAAACTAAGCTCATGGAATTATTGCTAACATTGTTATTGTTTTTTAATTGACAGATTTCAACACTACACTTGCACAATGTCTTTGAAACCAAGAGTAGTAGATTTTGATGAAACATGGAACAAACTTTTGACGACAATAAAAGCCGTGGTCATGTTGGAATACGTCGAAAGAGCAACATGGAATGACCGTTTCTCGTATCCTTTTAATGGCAGCTTGATCAATGTTCTAAAATTGATAAATTTGTTGAAAACTGAGAACATGTTCAATGTTATGGAAGAACTTTCCCATGTAACTATTTTCTAATATATTATCATCTACATTTCCAAGTTCATCACCTCTTTTATGGCAATCAGTATTTGATAACCTTTCATTCAACAAGTATTTGTTGAGTACTTAGTATCTGTCAAGGACTACTTTAGGCTTTGGGAATACAGTTGGTGAACAAAAAAAAATTCCTTTCTATTATAAAAATAGAAATAGACACTAAACAGGTAAAAAAAAAAATCTAATGTCATTGCTTTCAAGAAGAGGTCGTGATAAATGAAAGCAGGATAAGGACGTGGGGGAGGCTTGGAGCACCTGTGTGGGTGCTGCTCTTTTAGAATGGGTGGCCAAGGAAGGCCTCCCTGAGGATGGTGACATTAGAGCAGAGACTGGAATGCAGCGAGGGAGCAAGCCATGTGATTTTGGGGGGAAGAGTGTGCTTGCTGGAGAGTGAACAGCAAGTTCAGTGACTGGGGTGGAAGTGTGTTTTTCATTAGATTGCCTACATGTGTGAATTGAGAGTTTTATGTAACAATGCAGATTGGTGATTTCTCTAGGATGCCCTGAAGCCTAGTTTCCTGTGTTCCTCCATGACAGTGATCTGCTAGACCTAACTAGTGCTGCCCTCTCTAGCAATCTTCTGGGGCTACAGAAGGGCTGCCCTCATTATATGGGGCGTACATTCTTTAGAAAAGCTCTGATTTCATAAGATAGTAGTTCAGCTTGTTCTGAATGCCTAATTCAGTTGTTAATATTAAGCTGAATGTGGATGCAAGAAGAGTAAAGTTCTTTAGACCAACAGAAAACCATTTAATTCATTACAACTGCAGTAGGCAGTAAGAAAAGTTTGTTAAGCCAACTATGTTCTGGGCACTGAAGATATGTAAAAGGGTGATGACATTTTGGAAGGCTTCAAAGTTTGAAAAGATCTTTTATATTTTTTATGTTGTTTGATACCTCAAACAAGTCTATCAGATCAGTGGGGCAAAAATAATTACTTGACTGTAACGGATAAGGAAACTGATCTCAGAGGTAAGGGACTTATTTGCCCAGGGTCATACGGGTAGTAATTGATGGACCACAGACTTGAATATAGTATCTTAAAGATCCAATTTCCTATGCTTTCCAGTATATCTAGAGGATAACCAATATAGATTCTGCCTTTGAATTAGATAGCTAATTTTTCTGTGGAACATTATGGATTGATTTGGGGCAAGAATCTTAATAAAAGTTGAAAAAGTGTTGCTACTTGTGTGTTAGTGAGATTGGGCTAGGCAAGTTCATAGGTGCTTTTAAGGATATTTTAGCTAAAACAAGGAGCAGAGAGGGAAGAGGAGTTGGTTATAGATGACTACAAGAAGAGCAAGAAGAGGGAAAATGAACAGGAGGTAAAGAAAAAATAATTAAAATGTGTTCTTCATCATTGTACAGAATCGACAGTGAATTTCTTGGTTTTTAAGTGGTTTTGAAATAGATTACTTCCCTGGAAAGTGACCCCTTCAGTCACTGTTATTTCTCTGATGTTATTTGTTTGGTCCATCTAATATGGTTTAGTTATCCTTTTTTTTTTTTTAATTTTTACTTTTTAGAGACAGGGTCTCACTTTGTCACCCAGGCTGGAGTACAGTGGTGTGACTATAGCTCACTGCAGCCTCAACCTCCTAGGCTCAAGAGATCCTCCTATCTCAGCCTCCTGAGTAGCTGGGACTACAGGCATGTGCTACCACACCTGGCTGATTTTTAAAATTTTTTTGTAGAGGTGAGTTCTCACTATGTTGCCCAGGCTGATCTCGAGCTCCTGGGCTCAATCACTTCTCCCACCTTGGCCTCCCAAAGTGCTAGGATTACAGGTGTGAGCCACCTTGCCCAGCTGGTGGCTGGGCCAGTTATTTTTCACCTGATCATGAATTTTCTCTCACCCCCAAAATAAAAAGTCTGCAAAAATAATGATTAAAGAGTACAGGCCGGGCACGTTGTCTCACGCCTACAATTCAAGCAGTTTGATAGGCTGAGGCAGGCGGATTATGAGGTCAGGAGTTCGAGACCAGCCTGACCAACATGGCGAAACCTCGTCTCTACTAAAAATACAAAAATTAGCTGGGCGTGGTTGTGGGTGCCTGGAATCTCAGCTACTTGGGAGGCTGAGGCAGGAGAATTGCTTAAACCCTGGGAGGCAGAGGTTGCAGTGAGCCAAGATCGGGCCATTGCACTACAGCCTGGGCAATAAGAGCAAGGCTCCGTTTCAAAAATAAATAAATAAAAGACTATGCTACTAATTGTTATAAGGTAAAATTCCATCATTTTCCCTGTTATTTTGCCCAAGAATATAAAGTTCACTTCTGACCCTTAATATCTTAAGTGGAAATTTTAAGGGCCATACAATGTAAATACTTTGAAAAGGAAAAAACAGGTCCCTCCACATTGTTTCAAATATGTGTTATTATTTGAACTTTTAGCATGCATTTATGGGGAGTGTGAATAACACAAATATGGACAAGTTCATAAAATACACCTTTGCACAAATAATTATAATGCAAGCAATTACATTATCAATAGAACATTGAACAATAGAACATTGTCCACATTCACTATAACCCCCACCCGAAACACGTGACCCTCTAAGTTCACAATCCCACCCGTTTCTCTAGGAGCTAACTACTATCTTGATTTTTGTGCCTGTTGTTTTTGTGGTTCTTTTTTTTTATTAGACATAGTGCGTTGTAGTTCTTTTTTTTGTTAGGCATAGTGCAGTGATCTCAGCTCATTGCAGCCTCCACCTCCCAGGTTCAAGTGATTCTCATACCTCAGCCTCCCGAGTGTCTGGGATTAAAAGTGCCCGCCACCATGCCTGGCTAATTTTTGTATTTTTGGTAGAAATGGGGTTTTGCCATGTTGGCCAAGCTGGTCTCGAACCCCTGGGCTCATGTGTTCCATGTGCCTTGGCACTCCTGAAGTGCTGAGATTACAGGTGTGAGCCATTGCACCCAGCCTTTTGTGGTTCGTTTTTTTTTTTTTTTTTGAGACGGAGTCTCGCTCTGTCGCCCAGGCTAGAGTGCAGTGGCTCGATCTCGGCTCACTGCAAGCTCCGCCTCCCGGGTTCATGCCATTCTCCTGCCTCAGCCTCCCGAGTAGCTGGGACTACAGGCGCCCACCACAATGCCCGGCTAATTTTTTTGTATTTTTTTAGTAGAGACAGGGTTTCACCGTGTTAACCAGGATGGTCTCGATCTCCTGACCTCGTGATCCGCCTGCCTCAGCCTCCCAAAGTGCTGGGATTACAGGTATGAGCCACCACGTCCGGCCCTTTTGTGGTTCTTAAATGGTGAATTTTCTTGGACTTTATATAAATAGAATAAACAATAATGGTGAATTTTTTTTTTTTTTTGTGGCAGGGTCTCACTCTGTTGCCCAGGTTGGAGTGCAGTGGTGTGATCTTGGCTCACTGCAGCCTCCCCCTCCTGGGTTTAAGTGATTCTCATGCCTCATCCTCCCGTGTAGCTGGGATTACATGTGCATGACCTGGCTAATTTTTGTATTTTTGGTAGAGATGGGGTTTCACCATGTTGGCCAGGCTAGTCTTGAACTTCTGATCTTAAGTGATTCCCCCCACCTCAGCCTCCTAAAGTTCTGAGATTATAGGTATGAGCCACTGTGACCGGCCAATGGTGAATTCTTTGATTTTTGGACTTTGTATAAATAGAAAGACTGTACCTGGCCCTGTTCTAGTTTACTTTTACTCAAGGTTTTCTCTCTTTTAGTAGCTGTTAGGACAGATTTCCATTCCAGACTCCAGCAGCATAATGTAGACATTTTCCTACTGGAGGAGAAGTGGCATCTAAAGGTTATAGTAAGTCCAAAATGATTGTTAGGGGAGACTTAATATTGCCTTCCCTCAACGTATTTCTTCCAGGTAGGAATATGAGTTCATCCTCCCACCATTTAAACCCAGGCATACTGTTGTCTTCATTTCTTTTTTTTTTTTTTTTTTTGAGATGGAGTTTTGCTCTTGTTGCCCAGGCTGGAGTGCAATAGTGCAATCTTGGCTCACTCCAACCTCCGGGAGGCAATTCTCCTGCCTCAGCCTCCCTAGTATCTGGGATTACAGGCATGCGCTACCACACCTATCATTTCTAGTTTATATTCTATCAGGCATCTCTTTCAAACATAGACCAGTTTTGATGTCATTGAAAAATATTGAGGCAAGTACCTGTATCCTTGACACTTTTCACAAGTGTTAGAAGAAGAAGGTCTTAGTAACCATGGAGATTATGTGTAGTAGCCCATCATTCTTTCTTAGATTTTACAGATGGGAAAAGATTTTATCTATAGTCAGGTGTATTTGGTGCATCAGCAACTGCCTGACCCTATTCTAAATTATATCAGGCTAATTGATATTTGTTCTCATTGATTCACTAGCTGTGCACTTGAAAATTTTCGATTTAATTAGTCATTTTTTATCCTTGTTTGCTAATGCATGATTTCGTAGATACTGCATCTGTATTCTTTCTCATTAGAAATGCCAGCAAATCTGGCGGGGCGCAGTGGCTCACGCCTGTAATCCCAGCACTTGGGAGGTTGAGGCGGGTGGATCACCTGAGGTCAGGAGTTTGAGACCAGCCTGGCCAACATGGTTAAACCCCATCTTTACTAAAAATACAAAAAAATTAGCCAGGCATGGTGGCGCTCAACTGTAATCCCAGCTACTCAGGAGGTAGGCAGGATAATTGCTTGAACCCGGAGGGTGAAGTTTGCAGTGAGCCGAGATCACGCCACCGCACTGCCTGGGCAAAAGAGCGAAACTCCGTCTCAAAAAAAAAAAAAGTCAGCAAATTCTTTTTTACTGTTAATTTTATTATATATTTTTTTTAATTGTCAAATCCTTTTTTGGTTGTCTTACATTTTCATTTTTTTAGGTAACCTTTCCTTTTATTCCCATTGCAAAACTCTCATTGTTTTTGACCCATGGCATAATAGAGTTCATACTGTTAAAACTCAAAATTAAGCCAAGCGTAGGAAACACCTTTTAATAGAGAACATGAAATAAAATAAGTAACTTTGCTGCTGGTTAGGACTGTCTTTTGGTTGCAGCTATGAGCTTTCATTCTGGAACAGCTTAGTTTCTGACTGAGACATTTTTAAACTGGAAAGTTCATAAATAGAGGAGTTTTTGTATTCTGGCTCCCTAAAAAATGACTTAGGAAAAGATAAGTCTAGTGAAAGAATGTTTAAGTTGAAATCTGACCTAGTTATTTTGTGTTTTTTTTCTTTTTTGAGATGGTGTCTCGCTCTGTTGCCAGGCTGGAATGCAGTGGTGTGATCTCGGCTCACTGCAACCTCCGCCTCCTGAGTTTAAGCAATTCTCCTGCCTCAGCCTCCCGAGTAGCTGGCATTACAGGCATGTGCCACCACACCTGGCTAATTTTGTATTTTTAGTAGAGATAGGGTTTCAACATGTTGGCCAGGATGGTCTCAATCTCTTTTTTTAAATTTTTATTTATTTATTTATTTTTGAGATGGAGTCTCGCTCTGTAGCCCAGGCTGGAGTGCAGTGGTGCGATCTTGGCTCACTGCAACCTCCATCTCTCGGGTTCACGCCATTCTCCTGCCTCAGCCTCTTGAGTGGCTGGGACTACAGGCACCTGTCACCACGCCGGCTAATTTTTTTGTGTTTTAGTAGAGATGGGGTTTCACCATGTTAGCCAGGATGGTCTCGATCTCCTGACCTCATGATCTGCCCACCTTGGCCTCCTAAAGTGCTGGGATTACAGGCGTGAGTCATCATGGCTGGCCTCGATCTCTTGACCTGGTGATCTGCCCGCCTTGGCTTCCCAAAGTGCTGGGATTACAGGCATCAGCCATCATGCCCAGCCAACATTTTTTGTCTTTTAAAGTGTCTTGTCTATAATCAAGTCATAACTGAGTGTTGGAGGTTGAAAATCTCATTTTCGTAGGTGTTCTTCATAAGGGCTAAACGTTTCCTGGTTGGTTGGATATTTGAATAGGTTAGAGAAAAAGAACATAGTTAATTGGTTAAAATTATACAGTGATTTGAGACCCAAAACTATGGTGAGTTAAAACATAAACTTTAAAATTTTATTAAGGTGGATTCACTGCATTAAAAAAATATGTATATTCTGAAGGAGTCCAACAGTGCAGAAGTACTGTATATGGAATGAAATGGGAGAGTCTCCCTGTACCACCTCTCTTGTGTAGCTCCTTTCTCCTTAAGCTGGAGATTTGGCACAAATCCTTCCAGTAGATTTTGTTTACATTTACATGCAGTGGATATATTGAGCGGTGGCTCATACCTGTAATCCTAGCACTTTGGGAGGCCGAGGCAGAAGGATTGCCTGAGCCCAAGAGTTTGAGACCAGCCTAGACAACATGGTGAGACCCTGTTTCTACAAAAAAATTTTTTCAAGTAAAAATATAAATAAATAAAGCTTAAAAATATATAAATAGAACTGATAAAAAATTTATAAGTAAGTAAATAAATGTGGAGAGGGCTGCTTGCGCTTTCTGGAGTAAGGATGCTAGGTAAATGGAGCATGTGAGATTGATTTTGCATCTCCTTTCCTTCAGCAGGATTTAATAAATCATCAAGTGCTAGGAACCATGCCTGGGAGCTGGGAGTATGGAGTTGATGAAGAATAGGCTAATGTGGTTGGGAAAAGTATAAATAAATTTTACTGTATAAAAATAAATTTTGTAGAAGAATGTATATGAAGTGTCGGGGGGACATAGAGGAGAAAGAATTTGCATCCTTATTTTTAAGTTAACATTTTTATTTCATAGTATTTCCTAATCTTTCTATTAAACTTTAATACCTGACTTCATCCTGAATCATCAGCCTTATTTCCAGTTTGTATCTGCATCTTTAGTTAGGCTGGTCTCAGGTTGCTCATAGGTCCTTTATCTTCTATATTTGGTTAATGATGGACAGTTTATAAAGTACTTTAACATATATGAATTTATTTGGGTCTTACAGGACCTGTGGAGATGTCAGGGAAAGATTCATTATCTTTACCTTGGAGACACTTGGTGGTGGTCATCGTACTGATAAGATGGCATAGCTTTATCATGGAACAGTCTGGAGTATAACCACCAGGAGGTCCTGACCTCTGTGTTGCTCTGGTGTCATTGTTCCTGTGGACAAATGAGCTGTTACCTCCAAAATGCCTTGTCACAGTAGTTGGAGGCAGCATATGAAACACCTAGTTCCCAGAATCATAATCTAATACCGTGTCTGGCCCCAAAGTTATAAATGGGCTTTGCCTTAAGTCTTATCTTTTGTTCTTCTTGGTTTATAATGTTTCTAATTATTGGAGATGTTGAGAAGATCCAATAAAGCAAAGGATATTAAAAAAAAAAAAAAAAAAGGAAATGCCACCCGAGAGAGGCTAGGAAACTTGGTTAAGATCACTGGCTAGTGAAAGGTAAAGTCTCAGGTCTTACTTCTTTCCACTCCTTCTGTTATCTACCTCCGGTGAGACTTAGCAAGGTACTTAGTTGATGTTCAGAAACTTAATTGATATTCCTATTCATGGTATATTTCTTCTGATAGAATAACGGTAGAGTATCCTGACTGCTATGATGTAGGAGGCTGTGTCAAATGAATAATTTTTGTTTAGTTTCTCAGAATTGCTTAGACATGTCTGCCTCTTGTCATATTCCATAGCCCTTCATTGATACTATGAATACTAATATCATTGATACTATTGATACTAATATCCATTCTAATATAAACCTTATTTTGTAGGATTCTGGGTAATTTGATTTTCCAGAAACTCCCTCTGGATTTTAACCTCTCTGATAAGAACCATTTTCCTTACAGTGTCTTCAAATAATTCTCAATAAATACTTGTGGAATGAATAAGTGAATGAATCTTAGATAAAGTAAGCATGGTTATGTATTCTATCTTGTCATATATACAACAGTATTATGTATATTATAAGCTAAACCACAAAAAGAAATGTTTTTTCATTTTTTAATGCCAAACAAGGTAAATCTCATTATGTTTTAAAATTGTCTCCAATAAATATGAAAACCTTAATAATTTAACTAGAGATATCTATGCTTTATGTGTGGCCTATCCTGAACCCCTTGGAGAAAGACTTTATACAGAAACTAAGATTTTTTTGGAAAATCATGTTCGGCATTTGCATAAGGTAAGCAATGATACATACGTGATATAAATATGTTGATAGTTGTATACTTTACTAGTTTACTGTTTTCCAGTGTAGAACTTTTATCAAGGTCAGCTTGTTTTGCTGCTGCTGCTGCTTTTTTTAAATACAGGGTCTTGCTCTGTTGCCCAGGCTAGGGTGCAGTGGCGCGATCATGGCTCACTGCAGCCCCGACTTCCCTGGCTTACGTGATCCTCCCACCTCAGCCTCCCGAGTAGCTAGGAATACAGACACACACCACCACACCTGGCAATTTTTTTTTTTTTTTTTTGGTAGAGATGGGGGTCTCACTATATTGCCTAGGCTGGTCTCAAACTCCTGGGCTCCAGTGATCCTCCGGCCTTGGCCTCCCTTGTTTTTGCTTCTTAATCAGCATTTTAAAAATATATACATATTAAGATCTTTGAGTCAAGCACTGTGTTAGGGAAATCAGTTTACTTGCTCAGCATCTCGTAATTAGTAAATGAAGGAGAGGGTCAGCTCAGGGTTTGTTGAGTTTTAAAATGTGCTCCTACGTCCTCTGGATAGTGTTTATACAGCCAAATTTTCCCTCGTTTTTTATTCCTATCTCTTGGTAAATCTCTGTCTTTATTATTTTCAGCTTTTTAGCTGCCTTTCATGTGCTATATGAAGTCTTCCCAAAATCTAAAATTAAAAAGAAATGGTAAATGGTGATAGAAGCTGTCTCTGTGACCAGTTTTTTTATTAGTATGCTGTACATAGAGGGGCAGCATCACAGACATGATCTGTGTATAAACAGTGAATTTTGCAGTATTTTGCTATAGACAGCATTTCCAACTTAATTTAGACTACTGATCTAATCAGGAACTGGATGAGATAATTTAGTGCCTGCGTAAGAATCTTCACTCTGCTTTTTATTAGCTGTTGTAACCACGGGCAACTCACTTAACAACTACCTTATGGACTGAGTTTTGACTTTATCTATAAAATGGGAATAAAACAACACAGTTTTATTTAAACTGTCTAACCCTGCACGTGGTCAGGAGTAGATACTTTTTTAAATGGTAAGAACTGGCCTGGTGCGGTGGCTTACACCTGTAATCTCTGTACTTTGGGAGGCTGAGGCAGGAGGATCATATGAGGCCAGGAGTTCAAGAGCAGCCTGGGCAATATAGTGAGACACTACCTGTACCAAAAAAAAAAAAAAAAAACCCTCATAAGTAAGGCACAATTGATTGTGTGCTGTTTCCCTGAAAATATTGGAAAATGCTCTACTTTTGATAGTATATGGCATGTGCATTTTAGTGTTCTAATGTGATCATTTATCTGCTTATAAAAGTGCTTTTGATAGCAAGTGTGTTAAAGTGGTCTTAAAGTGTTTAGTATGTTAAAGTTCTGCTATTGTAAGCTAGTGAGCTTTGGTTAACACCATAAGTGATAACTATGTAAGACATTAATAATTTTTTTGCAATTTTATATTTTAGGTTACATTATAAGTGTGATTTTTTTTTTTTTTTTTGGGAGACAGAGTCTTGCTCTGTCACCCAGCCTGGAGTGCAGTGGTGGGGTCTCGGTGCGATCGGGTTCAAGTGATTCTCCTGCCTCAACTTCCCAAGTAGCTGGAACTTACAGGCATGTGCCACCACGGCTGGCTAATTTTTTTTTATTTAGTAGAGACGGGGTTTCACCATGTTGGTCAGGCTGGTCTTGAACTCCTGACCTCAGGTGATCCACCCGCCTTGGCCTCCCAAAGTGCTGGAATTACAGGCGTGAGCCACTGCGCTCGGCTCAGTTTATTCTCTATTATGGATGCTTCACTTTCATTTTGAAGACTCACATCTTTCCCAGTTGTTTCATTTTTAATACGTGTAGTTAATATGTGTTGTGTAAATGTAATTTGTACAGCTAGAATTATGTAAATTATTTTAGAACATTAATTTTGATACATTTTATTGTTGACAGTGAAAATGATTATTGCTTTTCAAGTAAAAATATTTTTCCTCTTTATATAGAGAGTTTTGGAGTCAGAAGAACAAGTACTTGTTATGTATCATAGGTACTGGGAAGAATACAGCAAGGGTGCAGACTATATGGACTGCTTATATAGGTGAGTGTGCCTTTAAAATCTAGACAAGCTAAGCAGCGTTGCCTGCATTCAGTAGTTGACAGGATAATTTTTTTATTGCCTATTTCTCATTCACATATGCAAAACTAAAGCATTCTCTCTGACATGGACTTTTCTCTGCTGTGGGGAAAGGTCTATAGTCAGGGTAAGGTGGGTATTTAGGAGCCAGGGAGTGTGTGGAACGTTCTGTGAAAAGTAAAACTGTACTCGATTGCATGGCTCTGTTTCTTCTGATTGTTTACAACCTGTAGCACATGTTTAATCTCAACAGAGATCAATGTGAAAATTCAACTTGCATGAAACTTAGTGGGAAAATCTCAGCTCATGTCCCCTCGATATGTTCTTATTTGACTCTAGCATTCAGTATTTTATGTTTGATGCAAACGATGTTAGATAAATTACTGGGTTATTTTCCCCTTGAAGTTCTGCATTCCCCATGGTCTAGGCATATTGAATTACTTGTAGTTTCCTAATGGCCCATGGTCTCTCCCATCTTCCTGCCTTTCCTGGTGCTGTTCCATCTGCCTGGATTGCTTCTCTTTCTTTTTCTATTTTTCTTTCTTTTATTTTGTCCTTTTTTTTATTTTTTATTTTTTGAGGCAGGATCTCACCTAGGCTGCAGTGTAGTTGCATGATCTCAGCTCACTGCAGCCTCAGCCTCCTGGGCCCTAGCAATCCTCCCACCTCGAACACCCTTCTCCCCAGTTGCTGGAACAACAGGTGTGCACCGCCATGCCTGGCTAATGTTGTTCATTTTTTGTAGAGATGCTGTCTCACTATGTTGCCCAGGATGGTCTTGAACTCCTGAGCTTAAGCAGTCCTCCCTCCTCAGTCTCCCAAAGTGCTGGGATTACAGGCATGAGCCACTGTGCCTGGCTAAATTAGTACTATTAAATTGGTGCTATTTGTGAACTTTTAGTAAATGTTGCAGCCTATTTAATATGTGTTTGTGTATGTGTGTGTAAAATGATATGAGTTAGTTAGTATCTCTGTTTTTTACAGAGGAAGAAAGCAATGCTGAGAGCATGATTTTGTTGAAGGTCACTCAGCTAATGAATCACAAAGGCAGGATTTAAACCCAGATCAGTCTGAATCCAAAGCCCATCCATTTAACCACTTCATTCTACCATAATCTTGTTCCAGAAACATGGTATTTCACTTAAGTAGATTCTATTCTCAATCTTCTTGTACAGGCATACTTTGGAGATGATGTGGGTTCAGTTCCAGACCACCACATGTAAAGGGAATATTGCAGTAAGACAAGTCACACAAGTTGTTTGGTTTCCCAGTGCATATAAGTTATGTTTATGCTATACTGTAGTCTGTTAAGTGTGCAGTAGCATTGTCTAAAAAAATGTGCACAACTTAATTTAAAATTACTTTATTGCTAAAAAAAATGCTGTTGATCATTTGAGCCTTCAGCAAGTTGTAATCCTTTTGCCAGTCTTCTTACCTCGGTGTTGATGGCTGCTGACTGATCATGGTGGTGGTTGCTGAAGGTTGGGGAGGCTGTGGCAATGTCTTAAAATAAGACAACAATGAAGTTAGCTGCATCAGTTGACTCTTTCTTCACAAAAGATTTCTCTCTAGGGTGCAATGCTGTTGGATAGCATTTTACCTGCAGTAGAAATTCTTACGAAATTGGAGTCAGTCCTCTCAAACCCTGCCACCACCTTATCAGCTAGGCTTATGTAATATTTGAATCCTTTGTTGTCATTTCAACAATGTTCATACCGTCTTATTAGGAGTAGATTCTGTCTCAAGAAACCACTTTCTCATCCATAAGAAGCAACTCCTTATCCATTCAAGTTATATCATGAGATTGCAGCAATTCAGTCCCATCTTCAGGATCCACTTCTGAGTTCTCTTGATGTTTCCACCACACCTCCAGTCACTTCCTCCCCTGAAGTCTTGACCCCCTAACTCATCCATGAGGGTTGGAAGTGTTAACTGAATTGAGTGACTGAGGCAGCTGTCTCAATCAAGGTTTATTGAGCTAGCTTAAGGATGCTCCCAGGAAAAACGCAAGGCACAGATGCATCTGTGGCTGTTTTGTCCAAAGAGGTTCTTAGGAGGGTTAGTGTTTATACATTTTCCTTAAAACATGAGGGGTGGTGGCAGTGAGGCAAATGGTTACCTACTTGTGAGACTAATTAATGCCCAGTAAATCTACATTTTATATAAGATAAACCTTTGAAGCAAAAGGAAATAGAAGAAGAAAACAGTTGTGCAGACATCTCAGGGAAGGAATGATTACTCTCATCTTGCCTTTGCTCTGTGCCTGGGAATTATCAGCTAAGAATCGACACTTATCAGGTGGATGCTAGCAGACCTTAGGTTTTAGGAACTAGACTTTAGACTACAGATCTGGAGTTACAATGGACCTGTCCTTGTGTTATGGGAGGATTTACATTTTAATGGTTTCGAGGCTAGCAAAGAATTTACGAATGAGTGACTTTTTGAGGCGGGTTAGTCATCAGGAAATGGCTGAGGCTTTTTGCCTTACCACGGGGGTCTGGCTAATATATAATGTTTCGACACAAACTTGTAAGAGTTATTCGTCCAGGAAGAGGATGGCCATTTAGCATGACTCAGCCTCCAAGGTTAAATTCCTGTTTTGGCATAGGAGTTTTGGGAATCCTGAGATTTTATTTCCCTTTATAGAATCAGCATCTTCTAATCACCTGTTCATAATGATATTTAGACCTTCTCCCATGAATCATAAATGTTCTTTTTTTAAAAATTTTATTACTAATTTTTGGGACCGAGTCTCGCTGTTTCCCCGGCTGGAGTGCAGTGGCACAATCTTGGCTCACTGCAGCATCCGCCTCCCAGATTCAAGTGATTCTCCTTCCTCAGCCTCCTGAGTAGCTGGGATTACTGGCACGCGCCACCACACCTGGCTAATTTTTGTATTTTTTTTTAGTAGAGATGGGGTTTCACCATGTTGGCCAGGATGGTCTCGAACTCCTGACCTCGAGTGATCCACCTGCCTCAGCCTCCCAAAGTGCTGGGATTACAGGCGTGAGCCACTGCGTCCAGCCCATGTCTTTATTAAGAAGCAAATATGTGGTTAATAAATTTGATTGTAAAATACTACAGTGACTTATAAAATAAGAATGGTGTCCATATTAAAATGAAAAATGGCACTGTTTATATTTTAAATTGTGACTTTATTTTCTTTTTTTCTTTTTTTTTTTTTTCAGACGGAGTCTTGCTCCGTCGCCCAGGCTGGAGTGCAGTGGCACGATCTCGGCTCACTGCAACCTCCGCCTCCTGGGTTCAAGTGATTCTCCTGCCTCAGCCTCCTGAGTAGCTGGGATTACAGGCAACCACCACCATGCCTGGCTAATTTTTGTATTTTTTTAGTAGAGACGGGGTTTCACCATGTTGGCCAGACTGGTCTCCTGACCTCAGGTGATCTGCCTGCCTCAGCCTCCCAAAGTGCCAGGATTACAGACATGAGCCACCGTGCCTGGCCATGACTTTATTTTAAAACATTGTATTTCAAGCTTAAATTTACCAAGAGTAAAAATCTGCAATAAGAAAGACATAGTTAATGTAAGTTAGTTTAAATTTTATTCTGTGAGGAAAAGATAATACTGGTTTGTCTTTGCAGATACAAAGCATGTAAAGCTGCACTAAATCAATACCTGGCTCAAGAATATACATCTAGATCTTTGGAATGGATTAGTGAATGCAGGCCTGATCTGCAGATTTAGCATCTGCTTCTATGCTAGGCAGTTTACACTTATTATGTAGGTAAAGGAAGCTCCTGTAGAATTCTGAATAGGAAAGTAACATCCTGACAGCAGAATTTTTAGATGAATTAAAGATGCCAGAAACTGAAGTAGAGCCCAGTCATAAAAGTGTTCCACATAATCGGGGCAGAGGGTCAGCAAGTAGATTGGAAGTCAAAGGAAGTAGTGAGAGGAAGTGATGCATACTTTAGGAAGACAGGAAGACTGACTGATTAAAGCAGGCAAAATGGAAGGATGAGATAAGTGATTCTGATGTTTTAGGCGAGGTTACTGGAATGGTCTTGGTGCCAGTGACCAGAAAAGAAAACTGGTTTGGAGCAGATTCCGTATTGGAAGGCATATGTAAATGGTAATATGACAATTAAGTACCCTCTACTGAGGGAGCACCGCTCCTGACGAAATCTTATATTTGTTTGTATATTGTACCACAGAGTGAGCTCTGTGTGGGCAGAGACCATATTTTTGCTTTTCATCTTTGTGTTTCCAGTGCCTCATGTTGACCTGGCACACGATATACCCTCAGCCGATGTTGAATGGGAGTGGAAGACCTCTCCTGAGTTTCTGTGCCAGCCCTGCCACTTAGGAGCCGATTGACCTTTGGCAAGCTCTTTAACCTCTCTAGGCTGCAGCTTTCTTATGTATAAAATGATCATAGGAGTACCACATACATCTGTCTTATAGTATTCAGCCACATAAAATGCTTAGGGCTGTGTCTGACAGGTGATCTCAATAAATGTTAGTGATTACTTTTATTTCCTGGTATTCATGGCTTTTATGATCTGGCTGCAGGCTGCTTTTCCAGGTTTGTGTTCTACTGTTAGCTTTTGCTATCCTTGCTGTCTGGAATGTTATCCATTTATTTATTCAGTAATTATTTTTTGAGGACTTGACTTTTGCCTGCCACTACTGTGGATGCTGTCTACAAGAGGAGGTTCTTGCTTTGTATACTGTACATTCTAGAGAGAAGATGAATGCACAAAAAAAGAAACCAATAAAAGCATAGGATTATTTCATATAGTAGCAATTACTGTGAAGAAAGTAAAACAGTTGTGCGTTAAATAGTTACTTGCTTAGGGCTGGGAAGTGAAGGCTAACTCCTCTGGGGTTCAGGGCACACCTGAAAGGTGTGTCTGTGCTGAGACTCGGATGAAAGGGGACTGACTACCCTCAGAATATCTGGGATGGGGCACTTAGGTGGAGAGGCCATCCCCTCTTTACCTTTTACTTTTGTCTCTCAATCTTATTCCTCTTTCCTTAGCTGGAAGGCATGGTTGGAAACTCAGCATGAAATTTTGAGAGTTACAGTGAGGATAGAGAGGAAGGAATAAATGGCATTTTAAAGGGGAAAAAAAAGAGTATGATCTTGTAACTTATGGTCAGAGGACACTAAAATATCAAATGGTACATCAAGGTTGTAAGCCATGGAGTCTAGAGCCTTGACTAGTGAATATGGAGATGGAGCTTGTGTAAATGGTTGTGGGTATACCACTTTGGAGTCAATTTTCTAGGAGTTATTATTATTATTTCCTTAAGAGACAGTCTCGCTGTTACCCAGGCTGCTCTCAAACTGCTGGCCTCAAGTGATCCTCCCGCCTCAGCCTCCCAAAGCACTGGGATTACAGGCGTGAGCCCCGACGCCTGGCCAGGAATTATGTGTTTAATTGTTTCCCAAAATTGTTGTCTTGTTTTGGTTGTCTTCGTTTTTAATTTGTCTGTAAATGCTGAGTGGACCCTTCATTTTGGTGTAGTGAATTTTGAAAAGTGTATATATTCATGTATAGATTTCATGGGTTGTTGCCTAAAATACTTGTATTGTCAGTAGCTATTTACACTAGCAGAACCTTTCAAATGAATAGTTTTAGGTGGTGACTGTTTAAAGGCATTATAGTGAAATCTGGAATCCTAAAAACTACACAGTTGAACATTACGAGTCCTTTCTCCATGTTTTATTTTATTTTAGATTTCTGTATTCATCTCAGTTATTCTGAGTTAATCACATATATTAGTCTTGAAATATATTAAACATTTTTAGTATAATTCATTTTCCTCTGGTAGACAAAGTCATCTTGTATCTGTCAATCTTGCCCATACTTACTATCTGTAACACTGTGTTCCATTTTCTTACCTACTGATTGTGATCTTTTTTGTTTAAAAATGAAAAATTGCATTTCTTCCTGGTGATTAGAATATAAATTAGAAAGCTAACTTGACTTTTATCTTTTAACCATTCTCTGTTTAATTTTTGGAAAGTGGACTTTATCTTGACTTTCCCAAGAAGAGTCTGGGAAGTAGCAAACGAGATTATAGAAATTCTGAAACTTGGATAAGAGCTGTTGGGCTAGAAGGGTATTGTAAGGGCTTGCAGAGAAAGGTGGGCTGATAATTTTAATTTTTATTATATTTCTAATCTCTACATAATTCATTTCTTTTGGATTTGTTAGTAGGCTATTCCATGGCTTATATGTAATCTTAAAAATATTCTTCTAAAGTTGCAAGTCATTTGCTTTCCTACTGACTTTAACTTAATATCCATTGATATTACATTTATTTTCCAGGTATCTCAACACCCAGTTTATTAAAAAGAATAAATTAACAGAAGCGGACCTTCAGTATGGCTATGGTGGTGTAGATATGAATGAACCACTTATGGAAATAGGAGAGGTAGGACATTCTTTAAGTGACTAGCAAACATAAGTATGTTTTTATACACTGAGGTAATTTGATTGCACATCATTTTTTAAGGACACTGATTTGGCTAGCTTAAAATGGTCAAGATTTAAAAGATCCTAAATAAAATGCTATAGTGATTTCCTAAGAATCCTCAGGAACGAAAAAGATGTGACAACTACTCTTTTGATAATTAAATTTATAATGGATGAATGATAGAGTTAATGGTTCTGCATTGTGAAAAAACTCAGAAACAATTATAAAGTGTTGACGGCCCTGTAGTTAAAAAGTGCAGGGGACAAGTACTTAAAAGACAGGCTAGAGGAGAGGAAACACAAATTTATGGATACAACAAATTTATTGTAACTTTACTTTAAAAGTAATTAAATTCAGAGTGAAACAATTAAATGGGCAGTTTGGTCCATTCAAGTTCTTGAGGTACAGTGCAAATTAAAATATGGAAAATTATGCTGATTGTGAAAGAAGTATTATTGTACAAGCTTGTTTATTCATTTAATACATCTTTATTGAGTAGCCAGGCATTGGGGATACAATGGTGAACAGACAGAAGGTCCCTGCACACAAAAGCTTGTAAGTTCATGTAAGGGAAGCAGATGCCAAATAGGAAATTAATGTTAACTTGTGATTTATGTTAATGAAGGAAATAAACAGGCTAAGAGGCAGCATTAGGAGACATTTAAGGTAGTGTAATCCTTTCCGAAAGAAATTGATCAGTGTCTTTCTTTCAGTACAGTTTAAAATACTTAATACCTTTTGACCAAGTAATCCCAAGTCCTAAGCCTAGTGATCCATACTTGGAAAATAATAAATATTAGAAAAGAGTTTAATGTTTAAAAGTATTCTTTGCAATCATTGTTAATAGGGTGCCTAATGGCTGAACAGTGTAAAATTTCAGCATCCAACATTCAGCAATAAAAAGCATGGAAGAAGAATGTATTATATATGATATGATTTTGTTATAAAAGTAGGCAAATGGATAAATTAATAGCAGAAAATTGTTCATAGAAACTTTAACAAAGGGGACATTGTTTATGAAAAAATTTGGACACAAAATTATAGGTATATGTTGAATACAAATACAATTATAGGGAAAAGATGATATAGAGAAAAAGATCAATGAGAAATACCAAAATATTAACAGTAGTTGCTTTTAGTTAGTAGCATTGTAAGTGAATAAATCATTCCCTTATCACCAGCACTGTCAAGCACACTTCTCTTCCCAGAAAATCACTGTAAACAATTTAGTTCGCATCTTTTCTGAACTTTACCTGTGTATTTATAAATATTTACATAAACACACACACACACAGCAGTTTTGATTTTATTTTTCAAACTGCGATAAAACGGCACACATAAAGTTCTACAGCCTATATTTCTTGCCTTTTTTTTTGTTATTTGTTACTGTCTGTCTTTTTACATAAGTTTGTTTTTTGTGAAAGCTTAATATTCTGTAGAGATACAGAATAATTTTTTAAACTATCCCTTTAATTTTTTTTTTTCTTTTTTTTTTTTGAGACGGAGTCTCGCTGTGTCACCCAGGCTGGAGTGCAGTGGTGTGATCTTGGCTCACTGCAAGCTCTGCCTCCCAGGTTCACACTAGTCTCCTGCCTCAGCCTCCCAAGTAGCTGGGACTACAGGCGCCTGCCACCACACCCGGCTAATTTTTTGTATATTTAGTAGAGGCGGGGTTTCACCGTGTTAGCCAGGATGGTCTCGATCTCCTGACCTTGTGATCCGCCTGCCTCCGCTTCTCAAAGTGCTGGGATTACAGGTATGAGCCACCGCGCCCCCCAATTTTTAATTTTTTGTTATTACAAACAACACTGCAGTGAACACCACTATTCATTTATTCATTCATTAAGTATTTTTGAACCCGTCTGTGTTATATATGTTGAATACAACAGTGAACAAAATAGAGAAAAATCTTATGCTCATGGAGTTATATTTATGTGTATCTCTTGGTACATGAGCAGAACTTTTTATAGACTGGGTGTCAGGAAGTGGAGCCTCTGTCGAAGCACATCCTGAAGTTTCGCAGCTCTGCCCCATTGCCTTTCAGAAGGGCCTTTACCAGTTTGCCCTTCCACCACATGTGTAAAATACCAGTTTTTCATGTATTGCCTCCCCAACCCCCATTCATGCTATTAAGAAAGAAAGGCAAAACTTGAACAGTGTTCCTTGTGGGAAGACAGATGCTTAATTACCAATGGATCAGAATAAAATTACCCTAGGGAAACAATAGGGAGGCTAGCAACAGCCTATCTGGATGTAGTTAGGGTGGAAAAAGAGAAGAGTCAAACAAACAAAAAATTGGTTTTCAGTACTGGAATAATTTATACTCTATGTGGGGAAAATATATTTGAAGTTTAAAGGCCTAAATGTGAAAGGCAAAGCTTGAAAACTTGGAAGGCAGAGTAGGACCACACATATGCCTATTACCTTAGGGCAGAGAAGGATTTCTTAAAAAATACCCATGATAAAGAAGATTGGTAAATTTGAGTATATTAAACTTTAATATATTTTTACCAAAACACAATAAAGAAACCGAGCAGTTGATTTACTGGGACAGACTGTGAAACTTTCAAGGGATTAATTTCCACAATATATAAAAAACTCTAGCTTTTATTAAGAACAAGACAAACTTTAACAGACTAACGGGCAAAATTAGGAATGGGCGTTTCACAGGGAAGAACCCAAAATGGACAATAAACATTAAAGAATTCCCAGCTTCATTCAGTAAAATGAGAGTTAAAACCACAAGGAGACACTATTTTTTGTTGTTGTTGTTGTTGTTTTGAGACGGAGTCTTGCTGTCGCCCAGGCTGGAGTGCAGTGGCACGATCTCGGCTCACTGCAGGCTCCGCCCGGCCGGTTCACGCCATTCTCCTGCCTCAGCCTCCCGAGTAGCTGGGACTACAGGCGCCCGCCACCTCGCCCGGCTAATTTTTTGTATTTTTAGTAGAGACGGGATTTCACTATGTTAGCCAGGATGGTCTCCATCTCCTGACCTTGTGATCCGCCCGCCTCGGCCTCCCAAAGTGCTGGGATTACAGGCGTGAGCCACCGCGCCTGGCCGGTTTTTTTTCTTTTTTGAGACGGAGTCTCGCTCTGTCACCTGGGCGGGAGTGCAGTGGCGCGATCTCGGCTCACTGCAAGCTCCGCCTCCCGGGTTCACACCGTTCTCCTGCCTCAGCCTCCCGCATAGCTGGGACTATAGGCACCCGCCACCACGCCCCGCTAATTTTTTGTATTTTTAGTAGAGATGGGGTTTCACCCTGTTAGCCAGGATGGTTTCAATCTCCTGACCTCGTGATCCGCCCGTCTCAGCCTCCCAAAGTGCTGGGATTACAGGCGTGAGCCACTGTGCCTGGCCAAGGAGACACTATTTTATGTCCAGCAGACTGGCAAAATTTGACTAAAGCCTGGCAGTACCACTTGTTGTCAAGGATGGGGACTAATGGGAAATCTTGTGCTTTGCTATGCAAGTATAAATTGGAAAATCATTTGGCTTGATTTAGTAAAGCTGCATGAGCACTTGATTGTTCAGTACAGGATCTCAACTTGTAGATGTATATCAGAGAATCTGTTGCTTATGTGGGCCAAATGATGCATACAGGAATCACAGCATTGTTTCCAGTAGCAGAAAATAGGAATCACAGACACATCAGCAGTCATCAGCAGTAGAGTGGAAAAATAAATCATGGCATATTTATGCAACAGGATGCTGTATAGCAGTGCCAATGATTGAGCTATGGCTGTATGTTTCCACTGGATGGGTTTCACAAAATTGTGGATTGTAATAACCTGAGGGGAAAGGAGGAGGATATCTGGGACAATGGTAATGATGAAGTTGTATTTCTTAAACTGGGTAGTGAATACAGGAATGTTTTATTACTCTTTTAACCGACTTGCTCTTTTTATGTTGGTATAAAATTTTTCATAATTAAAAAAATCAGTCTACAGCCAAATCACATTATTTCATTTAACATAAATCCTTTGTTTCTGTTACGGTCTAGGTATCTATAGCCCATTTATAGTGTTGAGCATTTTAACAATCAAAAAATTAAGTTTTTTTTTTTTTTTTGAGACGGAGTCTCGCACTGTTGTCACCAGGCTGGAGTGCAGTGGCACGATCTGGGCTCACTGCAACCTCCACCTCCCAGGTTCAAGCAATTCTCCTGCCTCAGCCTCCCGAGTAGCTGGGATTACAGGCGCATGCCACCACACCAGGCTCATTTTTGTATTTTTAGTAGAGACAGGGTTTTGCCATGTTAGCCAGGATGGTCTTGATCTCCTGACCTCGTGATGTGCCCACCTTGGCCTCCCAAAGTGCTGGGATTACAGACGTTACCCACTGTACCTGGCCTAAATTAAGGTTTTATAATAATCAATTATTTCTTAAGATTTTCAACTAATAATAAAACCTTAATGTTGATAAGGCTAGTAGAGTGGTCACTGATATTTCAAATTAGAAATTTGTTTTCTTTGAGTTTTTAAATTTTTGTTCAGGTTTTATTTGAATTTTGAAGTATTAGTATAAATACTTCTTTTGATGAGTATTTTTAGTTAAAAAAAACCTTGAGGAAATGTTAAACATATACTAAGTAATTCAGCCCTGATGATTTTCGTTTTTCCCGGCAGCTAGCATTGGATATGTGGAGGAAATTGATGGTTGAACCACTTCAGGCCATCCTTATCCGAATGCTGCTCCGAGAAATCAAAAAGTGAGTGCTGACATTTATCTTACTGAGTCAATTTTATTTTGTTGTTTGATATGGTTTTAAAATAGTGTACAATTGCAGAGCCAGTGACTAGCCTTGGGGCTGGTTTTACTGTAATGAGCCTCATTTTACTTCCAATGCCAGCATTTTTTAAGTTGTTTTATTTTCTTCTTCTTCTTCTTCTTTCTTTTTTTTTCTTTTTGGTGGGGGGAGCTCTGGTCTTTTCTTATACCCTAATATGCTTAGTATATAAATAAGTATCTGAGGGAAGTGACTTATTGCTTTTCAGAGCTGAAAACTCTTAGACTTTCTAGGCAGTGCCCTGAGTTGCTTGTACATATTACCTGTTTAAATCCTCGTGAGGACCACCTATTGAGGAAGACATTCTTCTAGTTAGTTGGCTACCTCTTAGCCTCAGTGTTATAATCAATAACTTGCCTAATTCTGTGAGATAAATTTATGGGAAAATGGTTTCCCACTCTACCCATGGCTCAGAGTGGTTAACACTTTTTACCCTAGTGCTGTGTGAATACAATTTAGTACAAAGAACATTTTCCTGTGGAGTCTAGAATAGAACATCCTTGGATTAGCTCTGGCTCAAAGACTCTCAGAAGCACTCTGTCAGTCACACAAATATATATCCAGTAAATTCCAGGTTACTGGAACTGATGTTATAGGAATTATCTAGACCAGTGAATTGTAGTGTAATAATGGCCACTCCACCTATATCTGTGCTCATCAAGAAGACCTAAATAAGGAGTTTTTTTTATATGAGGAATACTTTGTCAAAGCCGTGGTATTTAGTATGGGACTCCTGGGAGGAAGTAAGGGATTAAACACACACACCCACCCCTATGCCTCACATAAGAAGATAAGAGAATATTTTTAAATTTTTGATACCCAATAGAAAGTAGGTGGTAACAACTAGTAACTTGATTTTTAAAAATTGTCACTGACCGTTTGAGTGATTCCATTGTTTTTAGAGATAGAGAGCTGGAGAGGAAAGGCAATACTGAAGCAGTAGGGTGTAACCCGTTGTTTTTCTTCCTCTTTTCTTTACAAAACTGTGAACTAAAAGAACACTCCCAACAAAACTTCTAAGTTCTAATATAATTTCTCCTGCTAAAATATACTAACTTTTCTTTTGACTTGGAATTCAAGTATTTAAAAGTATAATGACAATACTGTTATACTTTCTAAATGTACTTTTGTGAAATATCTTTTTTAATATAATTTTGTCCCAACCTAGTAAATTTTTAGTGTGATTGTTAGTTTGCTAAAAATCAATATGATAAAAAATGAAGGAAACAATGTAAGAAAAATAATACAACTAAAGCATATTAGTTCTGGAAAAGATAGATTATCTGGTCTGCTTGTCTTATTTTTGTTGTTATAATCGGCTTCCATTAAAGCATTGTTTCACATGCTTTACTAAGATCTCACTTATTCTTCATGACAGCTCTCTTAGAGTTTTGCATGTTAAAGTTAAGGAAACTAAGGCATATTAATAATAGAAATTAAACATGGGAACTACATACCAAGCATTGTGCTAAAAATTTTACATCCATCTTCCCATTTAATCCTCACAACACTGGAAGGCTAATACTATTAGTGTCACCATTTTACATGCATGACATCCTTGACATGCAAAAGTCAATGGTGGTGATCTGACTCAGATCATTTGACTCCAGCCTCCATCTAATAATAATTCTAGGGATTCACATCTGGGCTAATCTAACTCTGAATTCATTATGCCTGTCCTTTTTTCCTTTTTTTTTTTGAGACAGGATTCCCACTCTGTCTACTAGGCTGGAGTGCGGTGACATGATTTCAGCTCACTGCAGCCTCCGCCTCCTGGGTTCAAGCAATTCTCCTGCCTCAGCCTCCCGAGTAGCTGGGCACCACCACGCCCTGCTAATTTTTGTATTTTTAGTAGAGACCGGTTTTCACCATGTTGGCCAGGTTGGTCTCGAGCTCCTACCTCAAGAGATCCAACTTTCTCGGCCTCCAAAAGTGTGGGGATTACAGGAGTGAGCCACCGCACCCGGCCTTTATGCCTGTATTTTTTTTTTTTTTTTGAGACAGTCTTGCTCTGTTGCCCAGGTTGGAGTGCAATTGCACGATCTTAGCTCATTGCAACTTCTGCCTGCTGGGTTCAAGCGATTCTTCTGCCTCAGCCTCCCGAGTAGCTGGGACTACAGACGCGCACCACCACACCCGGCTATTTTTTTTTTTTTTTAGTGGAGACGGGGTTTCACCGTTTTAGCCAGGATGGTCTCTATCTCCTGACCTCGTGATCCACCCGCCTCGGCCTTCCAAAGTGCTGGGATTACAGGCGTGAGCCACTGCGCCTGGCCCAGAAATCTTTAACCAAATTATTTTTTATTGTAATCTAATGTGTTCACTCACAGAATTGAGGAACTATCATAGAGAATTAAGCAAATATGGAGGTTGAGGTAGGGTTTCTGATGTGAGCCACATCTTTCTTTTACAGTGAATAGAATTCCTGATATTTAAAATTGTTTTCTAGGTGGGAATGTCAGTTAAAGGAAATGAAGAAATTAGTAATTTAGTCAGCATATTATAGAGCTGCTTGTTAGAGCCATCTATCATTTTGTTCTTCTTTATTACCTGGAAAATTTTATCAAGATATGCTTCTTCTCACCTACTGTTTAGTTACCCAATGGTAGAGTTCATATAGGAAAAGCAAAATAACTGTTTGTTTCTTTCCTTTTTAATAACCCAGTTTTTTGTTTTTGTTTTGTTTTGTTTTGTTTTGTTTTGTTTTGTTTTGAGACAGAGTCTCACTCTGTTGCCCAGGCTAGAATGCCGTGGCACGATCTTGGCTCACTGTAACCTCCTCCTCCCAGGTTCAAGCCAATTTTCCTACCTCAGCCTCCTGAGCAGCTGGGATTATAGACATGCGCCACCATGCCCAGCTAATTTTTGTATTTTTAGTAGAGACTGGATTTCACCATGTTGGCCAGGCTGCTCTCTAACTCCCGACCTCAGATGATCTGCCCACCTCAGCCTCCTAAAGTGCTGGGATTACCAGTGTGAGCCACTGCGCCTGGCCAATAACCCAGTTTTTAAGATAATGAGTTGGTTTGCTGTCATCCTTAGGTGACCAGTTAGCTTTTTAAACTTTACCAGGATGAACTCAGACTTAAACTAGAGAGGCCTACCTCACTTTATTAAACTCTTCTCCTAGTGGCGTATATTAGGTTCCTTCCAGTTTTTCCACTAACACCACTCTTGTTTCTGTTGTACACATATGTAGATGTTTGCTTGGGGTCATAGGGTGTGTATACTTAGAGTTTTGCCAGTATGTCCTCCACAGTATCTGTTCTTCCACCATAAGCAGAACATGAGAAAATAGGTAACAGTTCAGATCAGTATCTCACCAGATTGAATGTGGGCTTATGTGAGGTCACGCATGTGACCCAAGCCAAGGAAATGAGCTCACATGTGTGACCTTATTATATGAACTAGTCAGTGATATCAAGATATCAAGATTCTCTATGACTGACAGAATTACTGTAGCCATATTAATTCATGTCCAAAAAATAGTTCTCAGAATATCCAAATAATTAAAGGAAGAATCAAAGAGGACTAGAGGGGTTCAGAGGCAGGGAAGGACTCTAGTATGTAAAGGTAATTGCCTGGATGCTTTTCCTTGATGCTTTTCTTCAATGATAGAAAATTCTTACATCCTATATATAGAGCAACAAGCTCTTACTAGGGAATGATGATAATAAGTTTTCTGTTGCTCTCTTTGTGACATTATTAATGCAAAGAAGAAATTATTTTAAAGTAGGTTGGAAGAGTGTGTAGTGAGGTAAACCATAATGGTTTGATTTGAGCATTGGTACTAGAGTCACAAAATCCCAATTTAGAGCTAGATTATTTTACTGTGGCTTTAAGCAAACTTTTTTTCTATTTTATTTTTATTTTTATTTTTTAATTTTTGAGACAGGGTCTTGCTCTGTCACCCAGGCTGGAGTGCAGTGGTGCAATCGTGGCTCACTGTAGCCTCGACTCCTCCTGGGCTCAAACGATCCTCCCACCTCAGCCTCCAGAGTAGCTGGGACCACAAGCATGTGCCACCATGCACAGCTAAGTTGTTTTTTTTTTTTTTTTGTATGGGGTCTTGCTATGTTGCCCAGGCTAGTCTCAAACTCAGGACTCAAGGGATCATCCCACCTCAGCCTCCAGAGTAGCTGGGACCACAGGTGTGTGCCACCATGCATGGCTAATTTTTTTTTTGAATGAGGTCTCGCTCTATTGCCCAGGCAGCTCACAAATTCAGCACTCAGGGATCCTCCCACCTTGGCCTCCCAAAGTGTTGGGATTACAGGCACGAGCCACGGTGCCTGGTTCTATTTCATATTCCTTTTATTAGAAAAGCTAACATTTCACCTACATGTCTTAATATGATTAAGACTTTGTAGTTTGTAGTGAGTGAAAATCAAGCATTCTTAACCGCCAGTATTAAAGTTTTGAATTGATGGGCTCGTATCTACTTTGTTAAAATTAAAGAAGTGTTATCTTATTACTGACATAGTATCTTGAACTTTACAATCAGTTTTCTTTTTATTTCTTGAAATGACATCTAATGTATACATTAACTATCATGAATATTAACTCAGCTGTGATATAAAAAAAATCATTGTTAAGATTCATGCATGTACCTTTTTATAGTTCTTTACACTTTGATTAGACCAATAGAATAAGGAGCCATATTTTGGCATATTTTGGGTATATTTCCATAGATAATTTGTATTCTCAAGAATATTTTGTGTTATACCTTGTTTTAGTGATCGTGGTGGAGAAGACCCAAACCAGAAAGTAATCCATGGGGTTATTAACTCCTTTGTTCATGTTGAACAGTATAAGAAAAAATTCCCCTTAAAGGTAAACAGCCTCCTTTAAAAACAAATAATCAGACTGTTAATTTCTTAAACTGCTTGTTCTAATTTCTTCTAATATGATGTAATTGATTTATTCAGTTTTATCAGGAAATTTTTGAGTCTCCCTTTCTGACTGAAACAGGAGAGTATTACAAACAAGAAGCTTCAAATTTATTACAAGAATCAAACTGCTCACAGTATATGGAAAAGGTAAGAAATAAAACATATCGAATACATTTATCTATTTTGTATCTGGCCTGGTTTTATTTAACATCGTTCTTAGTTTTCTTGTTTTGTTTCTTGGTGGAAAAATATTCTGTTTATTTAATCTATTTAATCATTAACTCTGAGTTACAGTTATTATATAATATCGATTGATAAGTCATTGCTCTTTACAATACCCTTCCAGTTTTCATCATAATTGATGCTTTTTGATAAATCCTGACTGCTTGGTTTACTTGTCCTTGAAATTAATATATATGCACATTCTTGGCAGAATAATCAGTTTATACTGGATTTCATGCTTAGTGGTTAGTTTAGAGAATAGGATAAGTGCAGAAGCTCTGTGTTGAGGTTTTTTTCTTCCTTTAAAATGAGAGGAAAAATATGAGGAAAATATAGTAATTCTAGACATTTGGATGAGTCACTCTTTTGGTCTGTTAAGTTCTTGAAAGGCTGAGAGACAACCCCACGTGAGGTGTTTTTTTTTTTTTTTTTTTTTTTTGGAGATGTGGTCTTGCTCTGGTGCCCAGACTAGAGTGCAGTGGCTTGATCATGGCTCCCAGGCTCAAGTGGTCCTCCTGTCTCAGCCTACGAAGTAGCTGGGACTACAGGCACACACCACCACGCCCAGCAACTTTTAAAATTTGTTATAGAGATGGGGTCTTGCTGTGTTGCCCAGGCTGGTCTCAGAACTCCTCAACTTGAGCAGTCCTCCTGCCTCAGCCTCCCAAAGCGCTGGGATTTTAGATGTGAGCCATTGCACCCAGCCAAGAAATTTTAATTGATCACTAAACCAGTACATATTGGTTATCATATGTTAAATCCCATGTTTATTTTCTCAGTAGTAGAAGAAAAAAGTGTTCATACAAATTAAACCACCATATGTAAGATATATTAGAACTTCTAGCCAGGTTTTTAAATCTGCAGTGTTGGATTTCAAGCATTTTATTTTGGGATGGTTTGTGTTAGTTTATGTAGCCAAGAAAGGTCGAGTAGTTTAAGTGGGTGAGCTGTCATCCTACATCCCTAGGCCACAAGTCACAAAGCATCCGTGCTTACCGATACACTGTTGTGTCATCCACAAAGCCCAGATCTAGAGGTCTTAGTTGTTTGATTATCTTCCTGCTTTTCTTACTAGTTAGCTCTGTCCCCTGAGCAAATTATCTGGAACTTTTCCCCCATCAATTAAGTTCAGGTTACACTAGATCAGTGGTTCTAAGCTCTTAGCCCTTATTGCACCTTAGACTTTTGTTGAAGCCTCTAGATCCAGCCCCAAGAATCACACACAGATTATCTGTGATACATGCACTTTGCTCTGTCTGGCTGTCAAAAATATGCCACTGGCAAGTGGTGGCAGTAGCCCAGATGTCTGTTAGAAGTTGAAAGAATAAGCAAAATGTGATACATATGTGCATTGGAATATTATTCATCGTGTGTAGTGAAAAACTCTCTCAAACCATGTTTTTCCTCTACTCTCACACCACAGCAACAATCATCAGCACAGAAGGCTTCTGTAAACAAAGGTGTGGCTCTCTTCTCCCACACACCAAGCAGCAGACACCAGCTAGGTGTCCTCCAGTTCAACTCTAACACCATCTACTTGAGATAGTGGCTAATCCCACAGTTTGGGGACTGAGTCTCCAAGACTGCCCTGCACACCCCCAGACACCAGTCACAAGTCTGGGCCTCCGGACTACTGACCGACTGGCTTTCAAGTTGAAGTCCTACAGTACACTGTTTGGGTTCCATTAATTTGCTAGAGCAGCTCACAGAACTTAGGGAAACACTCACTTAATGTTTACTAGTTCATTAAGAAGGATATTTTAGAGGATACAAATAAACAACCACTTGAGGAGACACATAAGGGAAGGTCTGAAATCACCATGAGTGCAGGAGCTTCTATCCCTGTGGAACCCAGTCTTCTTGGATTTTTGTGGAAGCTTCATGATGTCAGTAGTCTTTCCCCCAGCGTACAGGGTGGGGCTTTCTCTGGGGAGGGTCTTATGACCCACAGTCAGAAAGGTAGGGCAAGATTAGAGTCCTGCCTTGAGGCAGGTGAAAGGAGAGTAGGAGAGAAATTCTGTTTCCTGAGACCTAACACACTCAACATTATAACTAAAGACTGTAACTAGGGCTAAGGGAGTTATGAACCAGGAACCACAGATGAAAACCAATGTACTTACATATCACAACACCACACAGTCTTTAAAAAGAATTGAAGTTATACATGATACAACATGGATGAACCATGAAAATGTTATGCTAAGTGGAAAAAGACAGACACAAAAGGGCAAATATTCTGTGGTTCAATTTATAGGAAATATCTAGAACAGACAAATTCAAAAGGACAGAAGATAGATTAGAGGTTATCAGGGGAGGAGGATGTGAGGAGTTGTTACTTAATGGTTATAAAGTTTCTGATGGGGTAATGAAAAATATTTGGAAGTAGACAATGGGGGTGATTACACAACATAGTGAGCGTTATTTAATGCCACTGAATTGCCCACATAAAAATGGCTAATGTAAATTTTATTATCTATGTTTTTACCACAATTTAAAAACATTGATAATGTAATATACCAAAACCATTGAATTGCACACTTTAAATGGGTGAATTATTTAATATGTAAATTACATCTCAAGGTGTTAAAAGGGAAGGAGGGACATTGGAATAAATTATGTTTGGAAAAGAATGTTTATTAGAAAAGCTTATTTCAGGCTGGGCACGGTGGCTCAGACCTGTAATTGCAGCACTTTGGGAGGCTGAGGCGGGCAGATTACGCAAGTCCAGGAGTTCAGGACAAGCCTGGGCAACGTGGCAAAACCCCATCTCTACAAAAAATTAAAAAACTAGCCACACATGGTGGTGTAGTCGTCTGGTCATAGCTCTTGGGACGCTGAGGTGGGAAGATCACTTGAGCCTGAGAGGCGGAAGTTGCAGTGAGCCGAGATTGCACCACTGCCCTCCTGCCTGGGCCAGAGAGCGAGATCCTGTCTGACAAAAGAAAGAAAAAGAAAAGCTCATTTCAGGAAATAATGTTGGACCATATTAGCTTCAAGGGCAAAACCCTGGGCTTTGCTCTCCATTTAGTTAATTGGGGAATGAGTCAGTACAGCCTTCCTGCCTCCTTGCTGCGTTCCTCTTATAGCTTTGGCCTTTCTTTCCCCCAGGGGTTTTACAGCTGTTTGAAGCCCTGCACTGGGGCAGTCCAACCTTCTCTACATTTCTCTTGATATGCGCCTCTCTCTCCCAAGTTATCATTGTTTTATTTTTTCCTTCTTCCATCCTCCTTCACCTCTCTCAGACCCACTGTAATTCCTGTTGCATTAACTTGGCAAGCAGATTAAAGTCACTATAGTATGCTCTGAATGACTAATAGACTTAATCCTTTTTGTTATAAAAATAGCCCTTAAAGGATTTATTGTTAATCAAAGTGCCTTTCTTAGCTGATGTAATATGTGGTGAACACTTTTGTCCTCTAGACCAGGGGTCCCTGACCCTCAGGCTGAGGACCAGTACTGACCTGTGGCCTGTTAGGAACTGGGGAGGACCAGTACTGACCTGTGGCCTGTTAGGAGGAACCGGGCTGCACAGCAGGGAGTGAGCAGCCACTGTGTGAGCATTACCTACTGCCTGAGCTCCGCCTCCTGTCACATCAGCAGCAGCATTAGATTCTCATAGATTCTCACAGAGCGCAAACTCCATTGTGAACTCTGCATGCAAGGGGTCTAGGATGTGCGCTCTTTAGAAGAATCTAATGCCTGAGGATCTGAGGTGGAATACTTCACCTGGAAGCCACCTGCCCCCACCAATGCCGCCCGCACTCCGTCTGTGGAAAAATTGTCTTCCACAAAAGCAGAGCCTGGTGCCTAAAAGGTTAGGGACTGCTGCTCTAGACCCCTTCTTGCCCGACCTGAGTCTGTGACTTTGCCCTGAACTCCTGGCTTCAAAGGGTCGCACAATAGGAAAGACAGGACTGTGGGAACCTACTGTCTGGAGCCTCATTTTTATTGAAAATTTCTGATCCGCTTTCCAGGAATGATTTTCACTCCTTGTGCCCAGGCCAACTCAGCAGCACTCTCCAAAGTGCCAGGTGTATGTAGTTCCCCGGGAACACTTAATTTCAGAAACTCTAATTACACAGCTTTATGTTCCAGAGTGTTTCCAAGCCGGTGCATTTGTCTGTGTATATGTTGTTGTTTTGTCTTGAGACAGAAATTAGTCAAATTCTTTGGTTATTTTCCTTATGGGCTAGTTCTTGTTGATATTAACCAGTGTTATTTGTAGCTCAGCGCTTTATGTAGGATAAACTTTAATAAAAGTCTTGATTGACATACTTGACTATGACTAAATTATATTTACTTTCAAATTTTTTATTTTTTATTTATATTTATTTTTTGAGACAGAGCCTCGCTCTTATTGCCTAGGCTAGAGTGCAGTGGCGTGATGTCGGCTCACTGCAACCTCCTCCTCCTGGGTTCAAGCAGTTCTTCTGCCTCAGCCTCCCGAGTAGCTGGTGCTACAGGCACCTGCCACCACACCTGGCTAATTTTTTGTATTTTTGTAGAGACGGGGTTTCACCATGTTGGCCAGGCTGGTCTCAAACTCCTGACCTCATGTGATCCACCCACCTCGGCCTCCCAAAGTGCTGGGATTGCAGGCATGAGCCACCTTGCCTGGCCTTATTTTTATTTTTTTGAGACAGTGTCTCACTCTGTCACACAGGCTGGAGTGCAGTGGTGCGATCTTGGCTCGTTACAACCCCCACCTCCCGGGATGAAGTGATTCTCTTGCCCTGGCCTCCCAAGGAGCTGGGATTACAGGCATGCCCGGCTAATTTTTATATTTTTAGTAGAGACAGGGTTTCGCCATATTGGCCATGCTGGTCTCAAACTCCTGACCTCAGATGATCCACCTGCCTTGGCCTCCCAAAGTACTGGGATTACAGGTGTGAGCCACCATGTCCAGCCCCTACTTTCAAAAATTTTAATTAAATCTTTAATATGGTAGTTAACTATCATGCACATACAGTTCCATTTACAAGAAGAGAAACCAACGTAAAATAATTAGATTCATCTACTTGATTTCAATATAATTTATTTTTTAGTTTGATAGTTATTCATAACAGAGATCACCTGTTCTGAATTTAATCATCTGTACCCACTTTTCCTGTTACATGTTATGTTGTCCATGTAATAGGATGAATGGTGTAGGTAAATGAAGACAAAATGCAGACTATTTAACTTTAGTTCTTGCTTATAAGACTGGTGGAATGTAGATGACAGCTAGTAGCTTAAATAAAAATTTGAAATGATTTATAGAATGTGGGTTTAAATTGCTTATGTAACCCTTATTACCTTTGCCATGTTTAATTCAGCCATTAAAATTTGGCTGAGTTACTTGCTGATATTACAGATTTTTCCTCATAGTAAAACTTTGTGTTCATGACTGTAAGAAAATATTTTTATAGGTTCTAGGTAGATTAAAAGATGAAGAAATTCGATGTCGAAAATACCTACATCCAAGTTCATATACTAAGGTGATTCATGAATGTCAACAACGAATGGTAGCAGACCACTTACAGTTTTTACATGCAGAATGTCATAATATAATTCGACAAGAGAAAAAAAATGGTAAGTGACACCAAACATGAGTAGAAATTAAATTATAAATCCACCTTTTATATCATCCTCTAGTCACCCTTGATTTAATGCCTATTTTAGTAATAGTCTTTAAAATATTTTAAATAACCTTTTACAGATTATTAATACTTTATTTTGAAAGACTATTTTAGGAAAGTGTTTTCAGAGTGTTCTAAAATCAGAAGAAAAAGTGGGAAATTGTGTTTATACATTTTTATATATTACAAGAGCTAATTTCCTTAATGCATTTAGAATTCCTGATAAACAGTAGGAATAAAGGCAAAGACTATAAAAAGGAAATACAAATATTATGTAATAAATGTAATAATTTATATAATATAAAAAATCAGCTATATCTGATTTTTTTTTTTTTTTTTTTTTTTTTGAGACAGAGTCTCACTCTGTCGCCCAGGCTGGAGTGCAGCGGCGTGCTCTTGGCTCGCTGCAACCTCCGCCTCCCAGATTCAAGTGATTCTCCTGCCTCAGACTCCTGAGTAGCTGGGATTACAGGCGCTCATCACCACACCTGGCTAATTTTTTTGTACTTTTAGTAGAGACAGGGTTTCACCATGTTGGTCAGGCTGGTCTCGGACTCCTGACCTTGTGGTCCGCCCGCCTCAGCCTCCCAAAGTGCTGGGATTACAGGCGTGAGCCACTGCGCCCGGCCTCTCTGATTTTTAAAAAAACAAAAAACATGCATTACTTTTATAGGCAGGAAAGATAATAAATATGTATATTTTATTTAATTAATTAATTTTTTTGAGATGGAGTCTCGCTCCGTCGCCCAGGCTGGAGTGCAATGGCATGATCTTGGCTCATTGCAACCCCTGCCTCCCAGGTTCAAGCAATTCTGCCTCAGCCTCCCAAGTAGCTGGGATTGCAGGTGTGTGCCATCACATCCAGCTAATTTTTGTATTTTTAGTAGAGACGGGGTGTCACCATGTTGGCCTCCTGGTCTTGAGCTCCTGACCTCAGATAATCTGCTTGCCCCGGCCTCCCGAAGTGCTGGGATTACAGGTGTGAGTCACCGCGCCCGGCCATTAATCAGGCTTTTTGTTTTTGTTTTTTGAGACGGAGTCCCGCTCTGTGGCCCAGGCTATAATGCAGTGGCGCGATCTCTGTTCACTATAACCTCTGCCTCCTGGGTTCAAGCGATTCTCCTGCCTCAGCCTCCTGAGTAGCTGGGACTACAGGCATCCGCCCCCACACCTGGCTAATTTTTGTATTTTTAGTAGAGACGAGGTTTCACTATGTTGGCCGGCTGGTCTCGAACTCCTGAGCTCGTGATCCACCTGCCTTGGCCTCCCAAAGTGCTGGGATTATAGACACGAGCCACCACCCTTGGCCCCGTGTTTTTTACAGCAACATTAATTTCATAGATCCAGGGCAATGTAGTCAAAACCCAATAATTTCATTTTAATTCCGAAAGTCACTGTCTTGAAGAGTATGATGGAAAGACTTTAATGACCAGCAAGACTTATTGTAAAACCTATAGTAATTAAGACAGTGAGGCATTGGTACAAGGACAGACAGATATCCTAATAAAATAAGAGATCCTAGAAACAACCCAAGCATATGTGGCCACTTGATGTAAGACCAAGGTGGCGCTGCAGAGCGGCAGGTAAAAGATGGTCTTTTCAACACGCATTGCTCAGTCAATTGGATATCCATTTCAGAAGAAAATGAAATTTGATCACTACCTCAAGATACCATATACAAAATCAATTCACTATTGAGTTTTTTCTCTAAATGTACAAGGTAAAAAAATAACACTTCTAGAAGATAATATAGAAGAATATCTTCATAACCTTGAGACAGGGAAAGATATTTTAAATAGGACACAAAAAGCCCTAACCACAAAGGAACGATTGATCCAGTGAACTACATTAAAATGAAAAACTTTGGATTATTAAAAGGCCATTAAGAGGGAGGAAGATTGCTTGAGCTCAGGAGTACAAGACCAGCCTGGGCAACATGACAGTATCCCATCTCTGCAAAAAAATACAAGCATTAGCCAGGCGGGGTGGTGTGCACCTGTGGTCCCATCTACTTGGGAGGCTGAGGTGGGAGGATCACTTGAATCTGGGAGGTGGTGGTTGCAGTGAGCCGAGATCCTGCCACTGCACTCCAGCCTGGGTGACAGAGTAAGACCCTGTCTCAAAAAAAGCCATTAAAACCACTGGATCATCAGAAGACAGTTATAGGGTAATGTACCTGCAATACTAAAGATTTATATCCAAAATATAAAATGCTCAAAAAACAGGCACTGCAGAATAGAAGATACCCAGATGGCCAATAAACATAGAAAGAAGTGTGAAGTAGCAGGAACTTGTTGAACACTGAAGTGAGAGTATAAATTGATGCAACTACTTTGGGAAACTGGCACTGACCGCTAAGTGGGATATATTATGCATATTTTATGATCCAGCAGTTCTCCTAAACATATAACCACCCCCCAGCTTTACCTCCCCACTGCCAATGCCTGGACATATATACAAAAAGACATACAGGAATGTTCATAGTAGTGTTTGTAATAGCTCCATAAACTGGAACAGCTCAAATGTCCAGTTACTGTAGAATAGTACAGTATATTCATACAATGGAATATTATAGAGGAGTGGAAATGAACAAATTAAAGCCATGCACAACAACATAGATGATCCTTATACACATGTTGAACACAAGAAGCCAGACACGAAAGAATTGTGTGATCCCATTTTTATACGTAGTTCAAACTCATCTGTGATTTAGAAGTCACAGCAGTGGTTACCTTTGCAGAGGAGCAAGAGTGTGTGATTGGAAGGAGGCATGAAGGGGACTCCTGGGTGTAGGTAATGCCTGTTTCTTATCCTGCGTGTGATTACATGGGTGTGTTGTGTGTTCACTTGTGATAATTCAGTAAGATATACACTTATGGTTTGTATACTTTTCTGTATATGTATGATGCTTTAATGAAACGTTTAAAATTAAACCTACTACACTGAGAGATCATTATTCACCTCCCAGTGTTAGAGATCAAAACATTTGGCAACACATTGTTGGCAAAGGAACTCTCTGCTGTTGGCAGCTGTGGTTAGAAGGATCTGTCTACAAGATTAAACTTTGACACAGTAACCTCACTTTTGGGAACTTATATTGCATATATTCTTGCTCATGTATAAGATTATTGATTGCAACATTGCAATATCAAGAGACTGGAAACCACCTAAATTTCCATCAGTTGTTAAGAAATTATATCCACATAATGGAGTACTGTGCAGCTGTAAAATACATAGAAATGCTTTGTGTACTGATAGGAAAAGACCACTAAGTTAAAATGTGTTCTGAAGCTACAAATAATATACAAAATACAGTACACTGTATTAAAAGGGGCAAAGGGAAGAATATATGTATTCACTTGAATTTGCACAAAATATCTTTGGGAAGATGTTAAATAACCACATCCCTTTCCTGTGGGGAGAGGGGCTTGGGTGGCTGGGAGGTGGGCATGGGGGACTTTTCTCTGGGTGCTCTGCACTTGGATCCGTATATTGTACTCCTGCACTTGGATCCATATATTACCTAATAAATGAAAATATTTGGGAGTTAACCCTCAGATGTCTTTTTCCTCTCAGACATGGCAAATATGTACGTCTTACTCCGTGCTGTGTCCACTGGTTTACCTCATATGATTCAGGAGCTGCAAAACCACATCCATGATGAGGGCCTTCGAGCAACCAGCAACCTTACTCAGGAAAACGTGAGTTGTGTGGGAAACTGCAATGTTTTCCTCCTAATCAGATCCAGCGTGGAGCCTTTCCTTTGACTTTATTGTTTTGAAAGATGAAAGAAAAAGTCTTACCATGCCAACGAAAGAAATGTCTTTATTCAAATGTTTTAAACCTAGAATTTGTTGGACTCATTTTGGAATTATCAGATTATTAGAAAGCTATTGATAGGCTGCTGCTTAGCCATACGGAGGGTGTCCATTGAACAGTTGTTAACTTTCCACAGGAAAATAAGCTCGCCATTTTTAAATAACTGTGTTTTTGTGTAATTGGCATTGATAACGTAGTTTGTTGTCATGGTAGTAGTATTAATCAGTGGTAATATAGACGACTTGCAATTTGCCTCCTTTCCATATCCTCTGAATTTGGTTGTCCAGGAAGCAAATTTAGATTAAAATAATCTTCTGTAAGTATATGCTTGCTGCCCCAAATACCCAAAACAATAACCCTCATATCCCTAATACTCATCTTTCTCGAATACTTTGCCAATCACATGACTGTAACAGTTTGTACTGTAACAGTTTGTCTTTCCCATCACCAAATCTTGTTATTACTGGTAATGTTTGATGAGCAAGAGAGAAATAACTTCAAATGTTACTGTCTCTTCTTAAGTAGAGCTGTTTGCCCTTCATCTATAAGATAGTATCTGTGTATAGACGTCACTGTTCAGGAGCACTTTTTAGAGGCTGTTACCTTAGCTGCAGATTGGTTTTTGGCAAGTAATAATTTTTAGTTTTTATGTTATGCCACAATAATGTGTAAGTTTTCTATTTTTTTATTTCTTCAAATTCCCTTTACCACAGTTTTCTATTTTTTGTAGAACTATTAGTTTATAGTATTCAGGTTTATTACTCTATTATTTGTCAAACTTACTAGTTTACATTATTACGTTTATAGATTCCATGTCCAATGACATTGGGCATAGAAGCATCGAATTTTGTGTCAAGGCTGGGAGATGGAAACATAAGTGAATACATTTGTGGTAGACTCAAATCCAACTGACTTAGTTAAGTCTTAGGTAGTAACTTCTTCATGGTTATCTCCATTAAGAGGGAAAACTCACTTTTGTACTATTAGGTATTTCTTCTCTCTGAGATGTGAGGGATTGTCTTGCCGAGTTCAAGGGGTCTCTGTTCTCAGGATTATTGGCTTTTTAACTCTCCTTTCTCTCAGCCTTTAGTGACTTTGCAGGCAGTCTTTGCTTATTTAAGCCTCTATGAAAGTGATAGACCTGGTAGTTCAGGTCTTGTTATCCTTAAGATAAGTTATTCCAACACAGTAGAAAAGTATGCTTTTGGTGGGTTCTTCTGACAGGTACTAGACAGTCTATGACAGCTTGTTGTGTTGAATGACAAGCTATTTTCTTTCTTCCTTTTTTTTTTTTTTTGTTGTTGTTGTTGTTTTTCTGAGACGGAGTCTCACTCTGTCGCCCAAGCTGGAGTGCAGTGGTGCGATCTCTGCTCACTGCAACCTCCACCTCCCTGGTTCCAGCAGTTCCCCTGCCTCAGCCTCCCGTGTAGCTGGGATTACAGGTGGACGCCACCACGTCTGGCTAATTTTTTTGTATTTTTAGTAGAGACGGGGTTTCACCGTGTTGGCCAGGATGGTCTCGATCTCCTGACCTCATGATCCGCCCGCCTCAGCCTCCCAGAAGTGCTGGGATTACAGGTGTGAGCCACTGTGCCCAGCCTTCAACACCAAAGTTGTAAATTTCTAAGACCGTCTTAGCTAAAACCATTTTCTGAGAAGTGTGCATGTGTGAAACATAATTTCCTTGAGGAAAAATTTACTAATAAGTCTAATAAACCTCATAGTTTGGATATCCTTGAACCTCTTAAAATGTGGTTTTGTACTTATATTTCATTTTTAGATGCCAACACTATTTGTGGAGTCAGTTTTGGAAGTGCATGGTAAATTTGTTCAGCTTATCAACACTGTTTTGAATGGTGATCAGCATTTTATGAGTGCGTTGGATAAGGTAAGTTTTAAATACATATATACTATATATGTACATAAAACTCTATCATTCTTTAGGCAGTTTCAAGATCAGAATTCTAGTATGAGGTTTCTGATGTAGACATGGAGATTAAGTAATTTTGATATGAAATTCAAAATAGAAATAATATAATTTTTAAATTATTAACTGAATAGTTAAATTGAATGCTTGTAGAATGTCCCGTGATTATGCTATATAAGGGGAATTTTTAATCTGATATGTTCTGGATAGACATGCATAATTTTGCAATTTTTAGTACTGATTTTTTTTCTTTGGCCATAATACTTAGGCTATATTGAATAATATTTGAAAAGAGAATAGATATGTTTTACATGAACTTTTGCATACGTTAAAGGAAAGCTGCTTACAAGATTGTAAGTTTTTTTTTAAGTAACGTTATTTTATCTGTTCAAATTTCGATAATGAGTTACAGAATATCTTGGAATAGCAACAGGATATATAGATATTTTGTAATTAGAGAATAAAGTCAGAGGAGTCTACCATGTTAGGCATGAAAATATTAACAAACTACCGGCAATGCTGTGTTTTATGTGGCGGGGTAATTTTTGGATGTACAGATTATGGCTTATATTGAACTAGCTGTACTTTTTCCCTATGGCTGGTGGTTAATTATGGCGTGTTTTTTTATTCAGGCCCTTACGTCAGTTGTAAATTACAGAGAACCTAAGTCTGTTTGCAAAGCACCTGAACTGGTAAGTTTGGTGGTTGCTGAAAAGTAATCTTATGAAAAGTCAGTATTAGAAAATGAGAACTCAGAATATCAAATTAATTTGGTTTTTGTAGCATTTTTCAGAAAAATAGAAGGAAAATTATCTACATTGTATATAGTTTGGCATTTATGTAAGGAATGCAATATACTATGTGTCTTAAAGAATAACCATTTTACAAAGTTTGGGTTTTAATGTATATCTACTTTGAAATAATTTGCAATACTTTTCATGTAGATTCTGTTACATCTGAAATCTAAAGGAAATCTGATGATAAAGTTTGGGTAACCTTTGAAGGAAACTTGCTTACAAGATTTTTGTAACTTTTTTTTAAAGTACTTGTTCAATGTCAAAAATTATAAAACCACTCGAAACTCACCTAGGTGTTCTTTTAAAAATTTGTATTACTTATATCAGTTGCTTTATTGGTCAATAAGTGATGATTTGATATTTGACTTGTTCTTTTTAAAAATTTACCTTATGATGTATATTTTATTTAGTTTACATTTATGATTATTACATAAAGCTTTAGAAGCCTGGTGTGGTTGTGCATGCCTGTAGTCCCAACTACTTGGGAGGCTGAGGCAGGAGGATCCTTTGAGCCTAGGAGTTTGAGGCTGCAGTGAGCTATGATCTTGTCCACTGCAATCCAGCCTGGCAACAGAGCAAGACCCGGTCTCTAAAAAAAACAGCAAAAATTCTGTCCGCTGATCTTACCTTGTATCACCACTTTGCCTCCTTTGAGGCGTGATATATACAGAAGCACCCTTTGTAAGATTTATTATCAATTTCTACATGAGCTTGCTAAGTACTGTGACAACTTACTGAAGAAGTCAGCGAAAGGGATGACAGAGAATGAAGTGGAAGACAGGCTCACGAGCTTCATCACAGTGTTCAAATACATTGATGACAAGGACGTCTTTCAAAAGGTATGTTGTGAACAGAAAAGTTTCATTTGTATTTTGGTCAACTTTATTTCTGAATGCTAAATCATTAGAAAGGAAGTAATCTTTTAAAATATTTTTAAATGTAGTTCTACGCAAGAATGCTGGCAAAACGTTTAATTCATGGGTTATCCATGTCTATGGACTCTGAAGAAGCCATGATCAACAAATTAAAGGTAATGTAAGTCTTTAATGTGGTATTGTCCTAGAAATTCATTCACAAGCACATAAAGATGTTCATTGCAGCATTGTGTACAGTAACAGGAAACAATTCATCTGGTTAAATGTGTATTTGTGTAGTCACACAGTGGGATATACAAATACTGTATTAAAAGGACAAAATGTATATGTTTATATATGAAGATTCACAAGATAATCAGTATTAATGATAAAAGATTATTACTACTTATAAATGAATACACCTAAAATATTCCTTTAAGTACAGATTTTGGAGTGCAATTCCATTTCAATTTATTTTTACATCATTTCAGCTTGCTTACATACCGATAAGTGGTAGCAGGTTCATATTTATCCTGTGTTATTCAATAAATTTTCTTGCATAGTAGACATTTTGAATATAATATGCATTCCTTTTTTCCTTTTTCTTTTTTTAAGAGATAGGGTCTCACTATGTTGCCCAGGCTGGACTCTAACTCCTGGGCTCAAGCGATCCTCCCGCCTCAGCCTCCTGAGCAGCTGGGACAATAGGTGTGCACCACTGCACCCAGTTGCTGTGTGCTCTTTTTTAAACCTCCAAAAAGAAACTTAATTTTTAATTTCTAAAAGTAGTGTTGGCCAGGTGTGGTGGTTCATGCCTATAATAGTAGCACTTTGGGAGGCCAAGGCATGTAGATTGTTTGAGCTCAGTAGTTCAAGACCAGCCTGGGAAACATGGCAAAACCCTGTCTCTACCAAAAATACAAAAGTTAGCTGGGCTTGGTGGCGTGTTCCTCTAGTCCCAGTTACTCAGGTGGCTGAGGTGGGAGGATTGCTGGAGCCTGGGACATCAAGGCTGCTGTGAGCCATGATCATACCACTGCACTCCATCCTGAGTGACAGAGCAAGATCCTGCCTCTAAATAGATTAATTACAAAAAAAAAGTAGTGTTAATGAGCTTTTTATATTTCAAGATTAGAGATTCAGATTTTCTGACCTGGTAACAACAGAATTTTGAATAATTTTAAAGAAATAGTTTTCTTCAGCACTCAGTAGATGCTATTAAAAATATGCCTAAATAGAACTTTTTCAATTGACTACAGGCTGGAGTATTCCCAGTAATCATTTATGTAATCTTTCATTTGATACTATCTGTAAACCTTATAAGAGCCAGCAGCTGTGGCATGTGCCAATAGTCCCAGCTACTGGGAGAGTGAGATAGGAGGATCACTTGAGCCCAGGTGTTCGAAGTTGTAGTGCACCATGATGGCTCCAATGAATAGCCACTGCGTTGCAGCATGGGCAACAGTGAGACCCCAAGTCTTTAAAACAAAACACAACATAAAATCCTTTTAAGGTATCTTATGTATAGTAACGGGGCATTTTGCAGTGCTGAAATAAGAGATGAATGTATAAAAAAGTTTTTGTTTAAGGGGAGATTTATTGTTCCTAGATAGGTGGTTTTTATTCACTTATTTAAAATACGTCTTTAAAAAGAAAGTTTGAAAGGTTTTGATTAGTTGCTTTGACTTATGAAGAATATATTACTAGTCCTTGGGTATAAGTGTATATGCAAGAACCTTTGATCAAAGACCTAGCAATACCGACACATTATTATTAACCAATATGACTTATTATTTTTCTTTTGAATTCATGTATTTTCTAAAACTTTTTTATAGCAAGCCTGTGGTTATGAGTTTACCAGCAAGCTACATCGGATGTATACAGATATGAGTGTCAGCGCTGATCTCAACAATAAGTTCAACAATTTTATCAAAAACCAAGACACAGTAATAGATTTGGGAATTAGTTTTCAAATATATGTTCTACAGGTATGAATATGTGTTTTACTATGAGCATTTACTAATCATTTCAGTACGTTGATACAAATGATTCATAAATGGATGCCTGATTACGTTTGGTTCTGTGAGTAGATTGTGGCTTCTAAAGTCCTATTGATTTGGGCTGGGCGTGGTGGCTTATGCCTGTAATCCCAGCACTTTCAGAGGCCAAAGCAGGCAGATCTCTTGAGCTCAGGAGTTCCAGACCAGCCTGGCCAACATGTGAAAACCCGTCTCTACTAAAAATGCAAAAATTAGCCAGGTGTGGTGGTGCGTGCCTGTAATCCCAGTTACTGGGGAGGCAGAGGCAGGAGAATTGCTTGAACCCCAGAGGCGGAGGTTGCAGTGAGCGGAGATCGTGCCACTGCATTGAAGCCTGGGTGATGGAGTGAGACTCCATCTCAAAAAAAAAAAACAAAAAAAGGTCCTATTGGTTTGGAATGAAATGTGCCATGATAGAAATACTCAGATTTCATCAACATTTTGAGGAAGAAAAAAATGTTTTAGATGCTTAGATTATTTAATAAATATTTACTTTGAATTTAGATGTTGATCCATTTAGCTTATTTTATTTTATTTTTTTCCTTCTAGGCTGGTGCGTGGCCTCTTACTCAGGCTCCTTCATCTACGTTTGCAATTCCCCAGGAATTAGAAAAAAGTGTACAGATGGTAAGTTTGCAGGAAATATATTAGAAGACTAAAGGAATTTTAATAATTGTCTTCATATTATATCACCTTTAATATTTTTTCAGAGTCTTAAGGGTTCATGTGATAAAAATAGATTCAGAAATTATAGTCAGTCTGCCCTTTAGGAAGAATGTAAGTTATTGTAGTTACTAATATTGATACTAAAATGCTAAGAAGAATGTCATACAGTTCTTTGTCAAAGCATGTCTCTTATTCTGAGTAAGTCTATCATCTGCTATTAAGCAGTTTTAAATTATAAAAATGTTGATATCAGAAGAAAGCTTAGAATTCAACACCTAAAATATCACTTACCAGTTTTCCTTTTGAATTTTGACCAAATACCTCATTCAGCCCTTGTAATATTTTTATTTCTGTCCTGTAATGTAGGTAAATATATGTGAAGTAACTGCTAGTAGAGTAAGTAGTAACAGTGATTGATAGTGGTTATTAGTTTCGTGGTAATAACTAATAGAGGAGAGTCCTGTAACCAGTCAGGTAGGTTTCAGGAAGGCAAGCATGATAGACTTTCAGAATAGGAGGCTAAATTAGGACTTCTTACATCTTCTTTGAAAAGAGATTGTAGCACAGACTATTTTAGAAACTATGTGAAGAAGAGCATTTGTGCAGACATTCATTGGATGGGGCAGACTATAATCCAAGGTTATTACAAATTTTGCAGAAAGGATACATCCCAAAGTGCTGGGATTTCAGGCATGAGCCACCATGCCTGGCCTTGGCAGTCTTTTACATTTCTTTTTAAATATCATGTGTCCCTGATTGAAATTAAGGGAGAGAATAGGAGCTGGCAGAAATGAAGTTTTCCTTTAGTTTTTTCTTTCCTCTTTCCTTGAAATAATTATTTTCTATTTATAGTTTTTAACTCTTTAAACTTTATTTGTTGATGTATAGTCTTCCTCAGGTTTTAGTTTCCCCATTTACAAATAGGAAGTGAGTTTCTGTCTGTAAAATTCTGATTCCAAAAATACTATTCTCTCCATTTGAATTGTCTCCAATTACCAGTAGAGGGAGTTTGTCCTTTATTTTTTTTCTAGTAAGTCCAAGTTTTCAGATACATAGGATTGAAATCCATTTGTATACTTAATAGTGTACAGTTTTCTCATGTAAATTAATCCATCCTGCCTTAGTGATGATTTGCATTTTTTACATCTTAATCTTAAATATAACTATCAAGAATTACCTTTATTTTACACCAAAGTATCTCAAAACTGTGGAATTAAAGCTGTAATTAAAAGTAATTTATTTTATACTTTAGGCCAGTCAATCTTAATTGTTACATTTCTTTTTTACCTAGGCCAAAAACCTGAATAATATTAGAAGTATCTAAAGTTGCCGGGCGCGGTGGCTCACGCCTGTAATCCCAGCACCTTGGGAGGCCGAGGCGGGCGGATCATGAGGTCAGGAGATTGAGACCATCCTGGCTAACACAGTGAAACCCCGTCTCTACTAAAAATAGAAAAAATTAGCCGGGCATGGTGGCATGCACCTGTAGTCCCAGCTACTCTGGAGGCTGAGGCAAGAGAATCGGTTGAACCCAGGAGGTGGAGGTTGCAGTGAGCCGAGTTTGCGCCACTGCACTTTAGCCTGGGTGATAGAGCGAGACTCCGCCTCAAAAAAAAAAAAAAAAAAAGTATCTAAAGTAGTGTATATTAATGTAGCTATCTATTAAAGGTAAATAAACTCATTGAATTTTTAAGGCTCTTTGAGATCTAATTAATGCCCTTAAACAGTGTTTGAAAAATGCTGTTTTTTATCCTGTTTATTTTAAAATAAGTTTAGTCTGGGAGGAGGGGGGAGGGATAGCATTAGGAGATATACCTAATGCTAAATGACGAGTTAGTGGGTGCAGCACACCAGCATGGCACATGTATGCATATGTAACTAACCTGCACATTGTGCACATGTACCCTAAAACTTAAAGTATAATAATAATAAAATTTAAAAAAATAAAATAAGTTTAGTCAACATATATTTTTTACTAATAAGCTTTGCTAACACAATTATTTTAATGATATAATCAAGGAAGGTTTTATAACTTTGGTCTTTGTAGTGCCATATGAATTGATGAATTTATTGGAGTCTGTTTGTTCTTGACTAGCTATAGATACGAGAGTCTTTGTAGTCAGATTTTAAATGTAAGGATGAATCAGTATCTTCTTTTGGCATATTGATATTATCGTCAATAAAACTTTACCAAATAGTACTACTGAAGAGGTAAAACATGTTTTTAGAGCTTGGAATATACCTTTTAAAGCCAGCTTTGCACTTTAAATTATGAGCATTTTAAAGCTGGAATTTCTCATTTCCGAAAGTGTTTTGAGAAAAAAATGAAAGTTTTTTTAACTTTTATTTTGCTTTTGTCCAGATTCATTGTAAATGTGTTATAAATTGTGAATTATATAGTAGTGATTGAATTTTATTGATATCCCTGGGAGTTATTAGTTAGTCAGATCATACTTCTGAAATCCTCTTATGACATATTTCAATTTGCTGTTTGTCTGGATTAGAACTAAGCAGGCAATCTGAAGTATTCCAGGTGCTAGTCATCTCCTGTTCATCCTGCAAAGGGATTGGTGGATCTGCTGGTAGAGGAGGATGCTGCACCATTAGAGGGAAAATAGGCTCAACATATTTCAGCTTCCCAGGACTAGGCAAACTTAGAGTAACTGCTGAAGGAATTGACTCATTTTCTTGGCTGGAGCTATTAACTTTTGCTGTTAAGGAGTGGTCATAATATAGCTGATAGGTCAGTCATTGCTGACTGCTTTATGTGAACTTCCTTTTTAAAGTACAAAAGGTAAAGTTTGATATACAAATAAAAGCTTTAAGTATGTTATATATGGTACATCATGCTAAAAGTTTATTCAGAATTCTGAACTGGCATAATGCAGTTTATTTTTTAGTTTTATAAAGAAATTGAGTTTTTATCTTTTTCACATCCAGTATCATTTTTCCACTTTTTATTGTATACTAGCTCTTTATTAAAGAAAAAAGAACTCTGTATTTTTGTTCTGTAATTACACATTCAGTCCAGGGAGGAATGTTTAAAATTTGAAGGCTACATTAATAGAATTTAAATTTAATTGTTCACAATAATATCAGCAAAAGAATAATCCAGAGATATACCCTAAAACTTCGTATTTGTGTCTAATTGAATGTGGAAGCTATATGTTGGCAAATGGGAGATTAGAGATGAAGGTAGGGTTTCTCTTTTCATGGTGAAATATATATGTTGCTGTGTTTGGTTAGTAGAATTTATAAAGTCCATGTTAGTATTATTCAGAAATGATAATGAATCACTGTGTCATACAGAAAGTCAAATTTGCAGTGCTGTGGTTTAGTGGAGAGAACTCTAGAACAAGTTGTCAATTAAAAGAGCTGGAATATATGTGTATAGCCTTGATTAGGGACCACAGGAACGTGCTTTCTCCTCTGTAAAAGAAGGAGGTAAACCAGATGGGCTTTAATGTCTCTTCTAATATGAATGGTTTTCATTGCTTTTGTAGTATTGTGTTAATTAACTAGGCAAGTTATAGTAGCTAAAAATAATGTGTGTTTTTTTTTTTTTTTTACAGTTTGAATTATTTTATAGCCAACATTTCAGTGGAAGGAAACTTACATGGTTACATTATCTGTGTACAGGTAAAATGCATTTAATTATATCTGGCTTAATGAAATTTACCTGATGATTATATTAATTTAGAAAGAGGTTTTCTATGGCCCAATTACAGTTTTTAACCTTTTCTCCTCCATCAACCTTTCCCCATTAAAGCAACTAACAATGAAATCCAAGTATAGCACTTTTTCATAGTATTTTATAATTACACTGTTTATAATCTTGCTGCTTTTAAAGAAATGTTCTGACTTTATACTGATTTATTACATTTCTCTAGCCAACCACTTCATTAGCAAATGTATTTAGAAACTCACATTTGATGGGGCAGACACACTTAGAAACTTGTTCTCTAAGTATGCCAGATCCTCTTGCCAGTTTCTTTATTATAGCATCATAAGGAGACCTAACCATTTGATTTTTACTTGTGATACTGCAGTGAATGCAATAGTAAAGCTTTTTGCAGAAAGTCCTACTTAATTTTCAATAGTTTCCAATTTTAAAAAACTTTTATCACAATCTAATTTCCTTTGCTTCTTTCTGGAACAATGGAGTCCACTTACTTACAGTAGGATTAATACCTGAATTATTGTGGACTGTGTGTGGAGTTGCCTGAAGATGTAAGCCAAAGCAGACACTTGAATTTTCTCTTTTTTTGCTAAACTATGCTTTGACAAGTTCATTGAATCACTTTTTCTTTGTACAAGAAGGAAAGGGTATATATGCTAATATTTCTTAGAGATGGTACAAGAAAATCATTTGCCATAACCTTTATTAGGAAATGTTTTCTATCCCCTCCCCAAGAGTTACTTTATCCAAGTAACTATGATACTTGGTGTTTATTTGACTAATTTACATCTTGGGAACGTGATGGCTCATTGTATTAGTAATACATTTTGCATTACTTATATAAGTCGATCTTTACTGAGCAAGTTGGACATTCTAATTTTTAAAATAATTTTTGAAATGAGATTTTTTACTGATACTCTTAGTGGTAGTCAAAGGTCAAATTTTAATTTGACTTTTGGCTAGGTGCAGTGGCTCACACCTGTAACCCCAGCACTTGGGGAGGCTGAGACAGGTGGGTCACTTAATCCCAGGAGTTTGAGACCAGCCTGGGCAACATGACAAAACCTGTCTCTACTAAAAAATCCAAAAATTAGCCAGGCGTGGTGGAGCACACCTGTAGTCCCAGCTACTCGAGAGGCTGAGATGGGAGGATCACTTGAGCCCACGAGCTGGAGGCTGCAGTGAGCCATGATCGTGCCACTGCACTCCAGCCTGGGCAACAGAGCAAGACCCTGTCTCAACCAGTCAATCAATATGTTCTATTTTCATTTAGTAAACATAATTGATTTTAAGAAAAAAATGCTGGACCAGGGTTTTAGATTTTTTTTTTTTCCCCTAAGAAAACTAATATATCTTAGTGCAGTTCGATTTAGCTTGCTTTTACTTTCCATGAATATCTGTCTGGGGGAGTTTAAACATTCTTGGTTATTCTCATTATTTCAGCAATAATCAATGTGTCTCCTAAAGTAATTTTAGTAAGGGGCTCATTTTAACAACCAGTGGTGTATAAGAAGAAAATAAATTTATGCACATAGTTTTTTAGCCATTGGAATTTAGTTTGAAAATAGTCACCAATATCACCTAAATAGGAAAGAGAATAACTTTCTTTCTGTTTTTGAGCTATACTAAATTTCTAAGCTGATACATAAGTTGATTTGGGGAGCTCTTTTGTTTGTTCATTTCTTTTATTTAATATTATTTGTGTTTTAGTTAAAACCAAATAGTTACTTCCTTTGGAAAGAGAACCTTATAAGTTTATTTTTTTGTTTTGAGTCACCGAAGGTACTGAAAACACCTGTGACCTATCAGTGAAACCAGGAGTTAGAGTTGTTTTTCTTCCCAACTTTGATAAGATACAATTGACACATAAAAATTGTATCTGTTTACAGTGTACAGTGTGATGCTTTGTTATGTTTATATTGTAAAATGATTAACTCAAGCTAATTAACATAAGTAGCTTCTCACTTATCTTTATTTGTGGTGAGAGCATTTAACATCTACTGTCACAGCAATTACTGTCACAGCAATTTTCTTTTTCTTTTTTTCTTTGAGATGGGGTCTTGCTCTGTCACCCAGGCTGGAGTGCAGTGGCGATCTCGGCTCACTGCAACCTCCACCTTCTGGGTTCAAGTGATTCTCCTGCCTCAGCCTTCTGAGTAGCTGGGATTACAGGCACACACTACCACTCCCAGCTAATTTTTGTATTTTTAGTAGAGACGGTGTTTCACCATGTTGGCCAGGCTGGTCTCGAACGCCTGACCTCGTGATCCACCCACCTCGGCCTCCTAAAGTGCTGGGATTACAGGCATGAGCCACCGTGCCCAGCCTTGTCACAGTAATTTTCAAGTTTACTCCACAGTAGATTAACAGTCACCATGCTATATGATAGATCTCCAGAACTTACTGGTCCTAACTGAAACTTTGTCCCCTTTGATCAACATTTTTCATTTTATTTTTGTTCTCCATTTATTCATTTAACAAAAAGTTTCTCACACGCTATGTGTATTGAAGATACTTGTTCTAGATTACCCATATATGGCCTAAGGCTCCAGGACTTCTTTAAAACACTGGCTCTGAGGCTGGACAGATCTCTCAGAGTTCTGTTTCTTGAGAACCCCTGTTACTTCTGCTTAAACATAGAATGAAAATTATTCTTGCCTAGTCTATTTCTACATTCCCAGCTCATGGAATACCCAAGAAAAGGTTAATTTTTGTATTGTAAATGAAGAGTCTTCACAAATGGTTGATGGTGCACAAGGTGGTGTTTGGGGGAATTTAGAATCAGAAGACCTGTGGCTGGAGTTATTAGCTCACAACTTATTAGCTGTGTAATCTTAAGCAAATTACTTAACTCCTTTGAGCCTGTTTCCTTCTCTTTATTGTTGTAAAATTCATTGATCAACTCAAAGAACATTTTCTATGTCTCAGGTACTTCTAAACGCCAAGTGGACAGAAATAAAATACAGAGCCTTGGCCCTCAAAAAAAACTCATGTCTAGTAGGAAGACAGACATACGTACATAGTTACAGTACGGTGTTTTGAATGTGATAGAGGCCAGCCCAGGGCATATCACAGAATGGTGGTGGCAGTCAGGTCCTTGCGAGGGAAGTCTTCTGGGGAAATCACATCTCAACTTGTTTTCAAGAGCTAATAGGGCCGGGTGCCCCCTCGCCCCACTTCGCCCCACCTCACCCCACCTCACCCCACCTCACCCCACCTCACCCCACCCCACCTCACCTCACCTCACCTCACCTCACCTCGCCTCACCTCACCCCACCTCGCCTCTCCTCACCCCACCTCACGTAAGCTGGAGTGGAGGTGCGCGATCACAGCCCACATTAGCCTCTGCCTCCCGGGCTTAAGAGATCCCTGTAGTCCCAGCTACTTGGGAGGCTGAGGTCACCAGAGCCCAGAGTGAGAAGACCAGGCAGGCCCAAAAAGAAAATAAATAAATGAAAATAAAAAATAATAAATGAAAGAAGGAAGGAAGGAAGGATATACATGTATATGTAAATGAAATGGGTTTTTATTTAATACATATTCATACATTAAAATTGACATTAATATAAACATGTATTAATTATGGAAATATCATCTATATAGTTTTATCACTACATATTTGTGTGTGTGTATGTATGTGTGTGTGTGTATATATATACATACATATATAAAAAAATGTATGTTTATACACAGCAGTGTGCAGAAAATAAGATTCTCTGAGGCAGGAGAATGGCATGAACCCGGGTGGCGGAGATTGCAGTGAGCCGAGATCACGCCACTGCACTCCAGCCTGGGCGACAGAGCAAGACTCCGTCTCAAAAAAAAAAAAGAAAGAAAGAAAGAAAGAAAACATGCTGCAGATTAACATGGAGGTTAATTTAATCTGCAGTTAGAATGGAATAAAATTGTCACCATGTCCATGGCTTGCAGAGACTGTAATGTGCTCCCTACAAAGTCTTCTGTTGAAGCTCTAACCCCTAAGGTCCATGAGAAGGTGATCAAGGTTAAATAAGGTCATAGTAATCTAGCACTGTGGGAGGCTGAGGCAGGAGTATCACTTGAGCCCAGGAGTTCAAGATCAGCCTGGGCAACATAGTGAGACCCTGTCTTGAAAAAAAAAAAAAAAAACCCATAAAATAAAAAGAATGAATAGGACTTAACCAAGCTACGTAAAGGAGAGTGTTGAGAGTGTATTTCCAACAGAGGAAGAATTTTAAGAAGCAATCTGTGATGCCAGATGTGACAGAGTGAGAAAAATCCTGAAAATTCCACTGGATTTATGACTAAGGCTTTGGATAGAATTAACGATAAGGAACAGTTTGATAAAGACATACAGATACTTGATAAAGAGATATAACCAGACAGTGTGACAGAAACCATTACACTGTCTTTGTATAAATAAGTTTTATTTGTGGCAGAGCAAGAAGTTGTAGAGATTGCTGGTCAGTTGCTGAAAGACACGTTGAGAAATGATGAACTCAAGGAAGATAAAAAAAACTTCACCAGACAGTACATAGTATGGATCAGGCTAGAATTTTGTGAACCCTACATCATAGTATGTGTTGGTAGTTACTAGTGTTTGCCAGAATAAAAGTAACACCATATCATTGTGCATACCTTAAAAGATAACGATTCTATTGACTAAATTTGTCCTGCTTTTGTTTTCAAATAATTCCAACAGCTAAAAATAGGGAGGGATGTTAGTATTGTCTAATGTCCAGTCCATATTCAAATTTCCCTGACTGTCCCAAGGTGACTTGCTTGACTGTCAGAGGTCACTAATTGTATTTGGTTGTTACATTTCCCTTCCACCTCCCCACTTCTCAGCATTCTTTGACACACTGTTTTGAACAGACCAGGCCAGTTGTCTTGTAGAATATCCAGTACTTTGGATTACTTATTTGTGATTTATTTTTTTTTTTTTTAAATTTGTTTTCTATTCCTTGTATGTTCTGGAAAGTGGAAATTAGTTCTAAAGGTTTGATTATATTCAGTTAAGTATTATTGGCAAGGATATTTCATAGGTGGTCCTGTGTATTTCATATTGCATATTTCAAAGGCATCTAATGTCAGATTGTCTCACTATTAGAGATGCTAAATTTGGTCACTTGATGAAGGCGGTAACCACCAGATATCTCCATTGTAGAGGCACTCTTTCCCCTCTTCAGTTAGCTTAGCAGACAGTCTGAGGGATGATACTTTGGCATGAATACCCTGTTCCAGGAACCTAATGTAGTTTTAGCCTCCACTGATGATCCTTGCCAGAATCAGTTGTTTCATTACTGGTTGCAAAATGGTGATATCCTATCATGCCTTCAACTTGCCCTGAGAGAGTAGAGAGCTGACACAGATACTGGGGAGTGACTTGGATGAAACTATTGTGAGAGTTCTGCCCGCTCTTTATTTCCTGTCATTGTAAATGCTGCTTGAATTATTTATTGTTGGCTTACTTTAAGTATGCATGTATCAGAATGTTTTATTTTAGTTTTTAGTCTCTTAGGGTTTGCCAACCTATTCTGCAGGGTAAATCACCACTCTTGTTGTTTCTCATTTGTGTTTACACCACAGTAATTAAATGAATCATCCAAGTTTGAAGTTTCCTTTCCCCTGTCGTGTCTTCCCACCCCTTCCCCAGTCTTTTCAGTAAGAGTATGGTGCTAAGAAAAGTGGGAAGAGGTCAGTGTACCCCTGATCCCTGGTAGAGTATTGAAAAATAGCAAGAAAGGGCACAATGAAAGAATGAACTCAATAAGAAGTAAATGATGCTTTGGCCCCTCGCATGATCTCCTAATGCTCTTTGGGTCTCGTGGTGCTGAAAGACGGCAGAAGACTCATTCTGCTTTCAAACCCACGGCAGCATATTACAGCATCAGTGACATCCTGGCTGATGGTGCCACTTAATCATCTTGGTGCTTGATGCATAATTCTCTACTTATTTCTGCATATGATTAAGTCGTCATTGCAGAAATAACAAAATGCAATTTATGTAATGTTTTACTTACATTTTCCAAACTTAAATGTTGATAAGAGTCCTTTTTATAGAAATTGTTAATAGTATACTCCAAATGATAATTTTTTGCACAAGCTGTTTCTATGAATTGGATATTGAATTTAATATATTAAACCTCCTTTTGTGAAAATTTAGAGGGCTATGAATTTTTTCTCTTGGTATTCCCATCCAGATAATTCTGAAAAATGTTTCTAAATATCAGTTTTATCTGAAATGTCAAGGCATAAATGATAATAATCAAGATAATATTGCATTTATGGTGATATTAAGCTAATGAATTCACTCATAGCCTTTAAAATCTTTTTTTTTTTTTTTTTTGAGACGGAGTTTCGCTCTTGTTACCCAGGCTGGAGTGCAATGGCGCGATCTCGGCTCACAGCAACCTCCACCTCCCGGGTTCAAGCCATTCTCCTGCCTCAGCCTCCGGAGTAGATGAGATTACAGGCATGCACCACCACACCCGGCTAATTTTGTATTTTTAGTAGAGACGGGGTTTCTCCATGTTGGTCAGGCTGGTCTTGAACTCCAGACCTCAGGTGATCCACCTGCCTCGGCCTCCCAAAGTGCTGGGATTACAGGCGTGAGCCACTGCGCCCGGCCTAAAATCTTTAATGAGGTAATGAATACATAAAGCAGAAAACCTTAATCAGAGTTACTAATTATCCTTGAGAGGGAAAATGCAGTCTCTGGGGTAATTTTATGAGAAATACAGCTTCCTTGAGTTAACAATGAAGAGCTTTAAAATCAAATCTCATGTTGATTTCATCTTTTTTTTTTTTTTTTTTTTTTTTTTGTGAGATGGAGTCTTGCTCTGTTGCCCAGGCTGGAGTGCAGTGGTGCGATCTCGGCTCACTGCAAGCTCCGCCTCCCGGGTTCACGCCATTCTCCTGCCTCAGCCTCCCGAGTAGCTGGGATTACAGGTGTCCGCCACTGCGCCCTGCTAGTTTTTTTTTTTTTTTGTATTTTTAGTAGAGCAGGGGTTTCACCGTGGTCTCGATCTCCTGACCTCGTGATCCGCCTGCCTCCACCTCCCAAAATGCTGGGATTACAGGCGTGAGCCACCACGCCTGGCCCAATTTCATTTATAATCCATTCAACAATCAAATAATGCAGGCCGTGTGTGTGTTAGTCGTCAAACCACAACTTCGTGCTTTAGGAAGCAGCTCTTTGATCTGCATCTTTTTTCTTTTCTTTTTTTTTTTTTTTAAACACGTATGGAACATTACAGAGTGTAGACATGTTTGCCATATTATTCATTATGAGCTTTCAGTGTGCTGATGTCATGCTGCTGTCTCCCAGGATGTTGCAGAACTGTAGTATACATAATACTTGCTCTATCTCTTAGAGCTCCCAGGGTCATTTAGCATATAGAATTTTTTTTTTTTTTTTGAGACAGATACTCATTCTGTCGCCCAGGTTTGAGTGCAGTGGTGTGATCTTGGCTCACTGCAACTTCTGCCTCCCAGGTTCAAGGATTCTTATACCTTAGCCTCCCGAGTAGCTGGGTTTACAGGCATATGCCATCATGCCCGGCGAATTTTTGTATTTTTAGTAGAGACAAGGTTTCGCCATGTTGACCAGGCTGGTCTCGAACTCCTGGGTTTAAGTGATCTGCCCACCTCGGCCTTTCAAAGTGCTGGGATTACAGGCATAAGCTACCGTGCCCAGCACATATAGAACATATTTATGAAAACATTCAGATTAAATGTTTTTCATTTTTATGAAAACATTCAGATTAAACATTTTTATGAAAACATTCAGATTCTTTTGCTATCAACTTTCAGCAAGAGAATGGGTCTGCCTGTTTGTCTCTCCTTTCATACCTGTTTGCCTCTAGGAAGTTACTGGAAAGAAAAATGTTGTTTATGAGACATAATAGCATTAATTTTGGCAGAAATTACAGCTTAGACAGGGCCTCAAAAGCATTTTCCATGTGGCTGTGGACCTCCCAGGAGGCTTGAACCTTACCTGGGAGAGCCCAGCTATCGACAGCACTTGAGGCTGTTGCTGATATCACTTTGCCCTTTGTCTGTCCATTTCTCCTTCTCCCACCTCCTTTTATTGTTTGGGTTTTTTGTTCTTTTCTTTTTCTGCCTAAGTCTTAGCATTTCTATTAATATTTAAAGACTTTTTTTTTTGTTTTTTTTTTTTTTTTGAGACAGAGTCTCGCTCTGTCACCCGTGCTGGAGTGCAGTGGTGTGATCTTGGCTTGCTGCAACCTCCGCCTCCCAGGTTCAAGTGATTTTCCTGCCTCAGCCTCCCAAGTGGCTAGGATTACAAGCATGAGCCACCATGCCTGGCTAATTTTTGTACTTTTAGTAAAGATGGGGTTTTACTATGTTGACCAGGCTGGTCTCGAGCTCCTGACCTAAAGTGATCTGTCTGCCTCGGCCTCCCACAGTGCTGGGATTACAGGCGTGAGCCGCTGCGCCTGGCCTTAAAGACTGTTTTAACCTACTGGTGAAGTTATGATAGTTTTACTGATTTATACCATATACTCAAAACTAATAGACTTCCATCCTCACCTCCCCAAGAAACAAAATGACTACCTTGTTAACAGCAGTGGCTTTACAACAATTTAATAAAATTATTGGTTCACTCTTTCCGAAGAAAATGTCTGAAATAAAGTAAATTTGAAATGTTTCTTTGAATGGTCAATTCACTGTCAGTTTTTGTTTTAATTGTAGGTGAAGTTAAAATGAACTATTTGGGCAAACCATATGTAGCCATGGTTACAACATACCAAATGGCAGTTCTTCTTGCCTTTAACAACAGTGAAACTGTCAGTTATAAAGAGCTTCAGGACAGCACTCAGATGAATGAAAAGGAACTGACAAAAACAATCAAATCATTACTTGATGTGAAAATGATTAACCATGATTCAGAAAAGGTATGTAGTAATATTCCAAAGAATTTAAGCATCATCAGCATTAAAGCTTTTTCATGAGATGTTTGCAGTTTTAAAATAAGGCTGTAATTGTTATTGTGCTCTGGAAAGCACTTGTATTCACTACGTTACTGTACGCTCCATAGAGCTGCGAGCGTTAAGGCATCACAGAGCATGCTGTGTGAGTTGGTGCCATGTGCCGTTTATAGTTTGATTTTATTTGTCCTATACTGTTACAGCTTATTGAATAATTGTAAAAGAATTGCCATCTGGAAGATTTTGATTAATTGAGATTTTGAAACTAGCCTTTAAAGACTTTCCAGGTTTTTGGTTTTATAAATGTGCTTAATTTCATGGTTCTATAACAGGAAATGACAGCCTGTTGATGTCTGTTTGTACACATATTTAATATGTGTAACTCCATTCCAAGTGTTCTTAATGTCAGCACTCAATTAACTGTCATCTGTTTTTAACCACCATATATTTTTAATATCTGTCACAAGAATAACAAGCCATTAGTATATTACTTTTTTTCTCTGTAACTTTTTTTCTAGTTACAAGATTTTGCTGTTTTGTTGTCATAGTATATCCTAGATGTTTAAATAGTTAAAAATGCAACAGAGGTGGGATTATATCTCCTTCAAATTATTGTGCTTATAAGAAAAAATTCCTATAAATAATGTTTTGTTTTTATTTTTGTAAAGTTAATAGCCTACAGTTTATTTCTCTCATTAATTCATTTTGCTGACATCCCTAGGATTATGATGACATTTTATAGTCTATAACTGAACAACTGTAAAAGGCATATTCTGAAATTCAAATCAATGTTTTCATAATTTTGAGAAATGATTTATCTGGCATCAGAATCTTAGCAAAATATGGATTTTTTTTTTTTTTTTTTGAGACGGAGTTCCACTCTTGTTGCCCAGGGTGGAGTGCAATGGCGTGATCTTGGCTCACTGCAACCTCCACCTCCTGGGTTCAAATGATTCTCCTGTCTCAGCCTCCTGAGTAGCTGGGACTACAGGCACGTGCCACCATGCCCAGCTAATTTTGTATTTTTAGTAGAGATAGGGTTTCACAATGTTGGCCAGGCTGGTCAGGCTGGTCTCGAACTCCTGACCTCAGGTGATCCACCTGTCTTTCCCAAAGTTCTGGGATTACAGGCGTGAGCCACTGTGCCTGGCCAAAATAGGGATTTCTTAAGGTTAATTAATTATGGTTTCTAATTTTAGGCTAGTAAATTCTTAAAGGTTTTATATTTTTTTCTAAAACATGCTATTTTTGCTGCCCAGAAATTGACAAAGTAAACATAGATTCCTTGTTTGCACTTTAAATTTTATTTTATGTTTATTTATTTTTGAGATGAGATCTTGCTGTGCCACCCAGGTTGGAGTGCAGTGGTGCCATCTCAGCTCACTGCAATCCCCACCTCCTGGGCTCAAGTGATAATCCTGCCTCAGCCTTCCAAGTAGCTGGGACCACAGGTGTAAGCCACTATGCCAGGCTAATTTTTTAATTTTTAGTAGAGACCGGGTTTTGCTTTGTTGGCCAGGCTGGTCTCAAACTCCTGAGCTCAAGTAATCTGCCCACCTCAGCCTCCCAAAGTGGTGGGATTACAGACGTGAGCCACCATGCCTGGCCTTTAAATTTAATTATGAATCTGTCCATTCCTTAGCAGAATGTCTTAGATTATTATTGAGAATTATTTCATCTTCCAAGTGCCTTTTGATTCTGCTGCCAGAGAAATTCCACTCTATGATATCAGTGGCTTTCTTAAGCCTGATACAGAAGTTGTTATTCTAAAAATTGCCTAAACAGTTTTCCCCTGAGCAAAGGCCACTTGCTTCTTGAAGAGTGAATAAAACATGGATTGAAATAAATGTTTTCACCATCACCCCAGGTCACAGCAAATTGATGCTGTGTGCTACTGGAGGCACAGCTTTCTCTTGTCATCAGGCCATTTACAGTGGGTATTTTGTTACTGCGGCATTTGTAAAAAAAAATGTGGTTGCTTTTTCAAAATGGGGTGATGGAAAAGTTACGCACTTTGGTGTTTCATAAAAATTAAAATGTCAAACTCTAGGCAATGAGCTTGACTCTTATTTTATCAAAAAGTAGTGTATATAGAATAGTAGGACCAGAAAATAGCTTATTCCCAAACATAAACTGCTTAAGATTCTGGCAGATGTAAAAGTAGAAAATAATTGGGTTTTTTCCTGTTTGTTTGAACAAAAGAATTATTTTTCTCTTAAATTTGGTAATCTATAATATAAAAGTTATGAGAGTGGAGGCTTTTTTGCTTGGTCATTAATTTAGCAGAATTGCTTGCAGCAAACTCTTATTTAAAGATTTTGGTTTTTATAAATATAAATGTTTTATTTTTAAATGTAGGAAGATATTGATGCAGAATCTTCGTTTTCATTAAATATGAACTTTAGCAGTAAAAGAACAAAATTTAAAATTACTACATCAATGCAGAAAGACACACCACAAGTAAGTGCTTTTAATGTCAAGTTTTTTTTGAGGGGGAAACATTTAAGCATTGGACTTTACAAGTGTTTACATTGAGATTGTGCAAAACTTTGCACAGCAAAATTAATAATGGGATATGTCTTTTCTGGTTTGTTGTTGGCATTTATTAACCTTACAGTCAAACAGAAATCTCTACTTGTATTTTAGTTTTTTCTAAGGAAAAGGGTATGGTTTTGTTGTATTTGCTCTTAAACCATTAGAATGTGTAACTATGCATTCTCTCCGAAAATTCCCACATTGAGAAGTAATAAAATTTCATATTTTTCATTTGTAAAATAAGGGAAAGTTCTCCAGTTCATTTTTTTTTTTTTTTTTGAGACGGAGTCTTGCTCTCTCGCCCAGGCTGGAGTGCAGTGGTGTGATCTCGGCTCACTGCAAGCTCTGCCTCCCGGGTTCACGCCATTCTCCTGCCTCAGCCTCCTGAGTAGCTGGGACTACAGGCGCCCACCACTATGCCTGGCTAATTTTGTTTTTTGTACTTTTAGTATAGACGGGGTTTCACTGTGTTAGCCAGGGTGGTCTCGATCTCCTGACATCGTGATCCGCCCGCCTCAGCCTGCCAAAGTGCTGGGATTACAGGTGTGAACCACCGCGCCTGGCCTACAGCTCATTTCTTTCAAAGAAAATTTGTCAGTAGAAAATGCTTCTTAAACTTTCATATGCAAATGAGCCACCTGGGCATCTTGTTCAAATGCAGATTGTGATCTAGTGGGTGTGGAGTGAGGTACTGACAGGCCAGTGTGAGGAGGGGACTTCTGCTCTTCATTATTTTAACTCAGCAGTGATTGTTGCTTTGGTCTGGGATAGACTGTTTCTATCACTTATGCTTCCTGATTGCCTCCGGTGTGCAGTCCTTGGGCTGATGCAGGATGTGAAGATAATATAAGATGTTAGACCCTCTCCAGAAACTTAATTCCCGATGGGGGGAGACAAATATTAACTGCCATTTACTTTGAAACCTAAAATGGTCAAGATTCCATTTTCCTCCAGGCTAATAAATAATAATTTGCAATATATAGATTGTATTTTGTCTTTGAAACGCTGTGAGGAGATCCTCTTAATGTGGCATGGTCTGCTTCTATGCCTTGCTTCTGTGTTTCTTGAGCTCCGTGGAGATAGGCCCCCTCTCCTGGCTTCTCTGCTTGAGCCACATAAAATGCCACTTCACAGCTCTTCCCTTTGAAGCCTGATCCAGTATGCATTTGGAGCTAATTACTGCAGTTGACACAACTCCATCTAAAAGCGTCATGAAAGATTCTGTAATCACTGATAAGAAAATGATCTTGCAAATTATTGCTGTGTCCTCCTTTATTGCCTCTTTACCTTAACAGTACAGTTTACAATAATGTAAATTTTTTTCTAATCTTTCAACTTTAACCCTAGAAATTGTAGATGTTTTAGCAGTGGTTATGTGATATTGGCACAACATAACTATATAATTTGCTCAATATTGTGGTGCATACCTGTAATCCCAGCTGCTCAGGAGTCTGAGGCATGAGAATCACATGAACCCAGGAGATGGAGGTTGCGGTGAGCTGAGAGCGAGTCACTGAACTCCAGCCAGGACGACAGAGTGAAACCCTGTCTCAAAAAAAAAAAAAAAAAAGTATTTGCACTCACTGATAAAATGAATTGAAAACAAGTTCAGTGACTTAATGTCTTGTTGGGTCTTTTTTCTTTTCTTCTGTAAAACAGGAAATGGAGCAGACTAGAAGTGCAGTTGATGAGGACCGGAAAATGTATCTCCAAGCTGCTATAGTTCGTATCATGAAAGCACGAAAAGTGCTTCGGCACAATGCCCTTATTCAAGAGGTAAAAGGAGGGCAGTCCTCAGGGCTTCTTAGGGTAGAGGGCATTGTCATTGTACAGATTCAGTCTCTTTCTTCTTAAAGAGGATACAGAAATAACCTGATCCTCAGATAGCATAAAGAAATGTTTCATACTTAATCAGAATCGTACTCACTCACAATTTCAGTATTAAATTCAGATTTGCAGGCTGGGCACAGTGGCTCATGCCTGTAATCCTTTTTGTTGTTGTTGTTGAGACAGAGTCTTGCTCTGTCGCCCAGGCTGGAGTACAGTGGCGTGATCTTGGCTCACTGCAACCTCTGCCTCCCAGGTTCAAGTGAGTCTCCTGCCTCAGCCTCCCGAGTAGTTGGGAATACAGGCGTGCACCACCATACTTGGCTAATTTTTGTATTTTTCGTAGAGACAGGGTTTCACCATGTTGGCCAGGCTGGTCTCGAACTCCTGACCTCAGGTGATCCACCTGCCTCGGCCTCCAAAAGTGCTGGGGTTACAGGTGTGAGCCACCATGCCCAGTGGACACCTGTAATCTGAATGTCTTGTTAGGCCAAGACAGGAGGATCACTTGAGTCCAGGAGTTTCAGACCAGCCTGGGCAACACAGGGAGACCCCATCTCACCTAAAAAAAAAAAAAAAAAAAAATTAAAAAATTAAAAAATTAGCCAGTTGTGGCGGCACACTTGTAGTACCAACTACTTGGGAGGCTGAGGCGGGAGGATTGCTTGAGCCCAGGGATTGAGCCTGTGTGACACAGTGAGATGCTATCTCAAATGATAATAATAAATTCATATTTGCTTTGGCTTTATTTTAGAGGTCTAAAACTTGCTGATTCATTGAGTCTTCTGTCCAGTTATTGAAGGAAATTGACCCATCAGATATTCATTCATTCCATAACTATCTGAGCCTACCATGTGATAGACAGCTGGGCTGGTCCCTGGGATATAGCACAGAGCAGCTGAAGATATGGCAGGCTTTTTTGGAGTTCACAGTTTAATGGGGGAAGAAATACACTATTGAAATGATATGCAAATAAATGTAAAATTACATTAGCATGCACTGAAGGAAACGTATACAGTACTATGAGAATGTATTTAAATATCCTGGCCTAGGGGCTGCTGGGGAAAACTTTCTTGAGAAAGTGTTTGAACTAAGAGCTGAGAGTTGAGTTAAATAGAAGCTTGGGGTTGTGTGTGAGTACTTAGGTTAATTAGTTTATTGTTTCACTTAATTATGTATCATTATTAGATTTTGCTGTATCCATTTTCCACATTGTAGTTCCTATTTTCATACTTAATTTGGCCCATTTGTTGAAACCTCAGTACATTTGAGGCACTTTAAACTGATTGGTTAAAAGTCATTACTTAATAGCTGAAGAACTGGCAGTAGTTTGACTTCCACATCTCTTCCACAGGTGATTAGCCAGTCAAGAGCTAGGTTTAATCCCAGTATCAGCATGATTAAGAAGTGTATTGAAGTTCTGATAGACAAACAATACATAGAACGCAGCCAGGCGTCGGCAGATGAATACAGCTACGTCGCGTGATGTCGCTCTCCTCCAGCGTGGTGTGAGAAGATCATTGCCATCACCATTTGGTGTGTTCCTGTGGGAAAAAGCAGGACTGTGCCTCCATAATTTGGTCATTTGGCAGCCCCTGTTTTCTGCTGTTTACAACATCACCAGTGCCACGTCATGAGCGTCAAAGAAAATGCCTAGAGATATTTCAAGCTCATGTCATTATGACATTTCTTAAAACTTTATTAAAAGAATGAGTGAAGTATTGCTGAAAAGTGGAAATTCGGTTGGGTACCATGCTTTTTCTCCCCTTCACGTTTGCAGTTGATGTGTCTTTTTTTTTTTTTTTAATGTATCTTAAAGGACATAAAATTTAAAAACTTAAATATTGTAATATGACAGATAACCTAATAATTGTATCTACATTAAAATGACAAACATGATACTGCTGCTTGTCAAATAAAAAAAAAATAAAGAAATAGAATGCCTTTTTTATGTGGATGGAGTATCAGGTTGACCACAAAATATATTGACTCAAAGCAGCTAATGCATCTTTAGTTGCGTTTTTATCTGAATGGTTTAATTCACTTGTACTCCTATTTAAATCCTACATGAAAAATGTCTAGATTATTGTTCTTGACTGCATAGGACTGCATTCAGCATAAAGAATGCTTTATTTTTATGGATTAGATATATTGGATCTAAACATTTTGAATCTTGAAGATGTAATTCCATCAGCAGTTTCTGGTGGTGTGCTACTCCACAGACATCGCAGAGTGTGAGCAGGATGCTTGGTGACCTCAAGTCTGGCACAGAGAGAGCTTTTCATTCAAAAGTTGTCTTTCTTCGGTTGCATAATCCATTAATTCTAGCATAGACTAGTACCCTAGCTCTGTGGCCTTCCCTGAGTCTTAGGAAATCTATGATACCAACATATTCCTTCTATATGCCTCCCCTACCTGTTACCCTTACAACCCTCCTCCAACAGTTTAGATACTAGAGTCACTCTCATCAATCACAGATGTGCTTAGCAATGCATAACCTAAATACTTTTTTAAAAAAGAAAATTGTACATTGTACTGGGTGCCACATATATAAATCCCATTATTTTGTTTATTTTATATATATATATATATATAATATATATATATATATATCTCAACAGCAGTGTTAAGAGTACTGCGATCTATTATCATATTTATTGTCTATCCACACCATCACCACCACCACCACACCCCTCCTCCCTCAACATACAATTTTTCTTTATTTTAAAAAAAATAAGAGACGGGGTTTCGCCATGTTTCCCAGGCTAGTCTGGAACTTCTGGCCTCAAGCAATCCTATCTCTGTCTCCCAAAGTGCTGGGATTACAAGCATGAGCCACTGCATCCATCCAACACAAAATTTTTAAAATCGGAATATTTTAAAGCAAATCACACAAATTATTTCACTTATAATACTTCAGTAAGGCCTTTAAAAAATCCACAGTGATATTATTACTCCTAACAAAAACAATAATTACTTAGTATCATCTAATATGTGGTTCATATTTAAATTTGTTGTTTTGAGATGGGTCTTACAATTGGTTTATTCAATTGCATTTTTTCTAACTCGTGTCTCAAGTGTTTTAAAAATCTACTGAACTTATAATGACTTATATAATGTATTTCTCATTTTACCTTTCTTCCAAAAGAGGAAATAATGGCAAACCATATAATATTGTACATTCACTGTCAAAAAGCAAACCCTTGTTTTGATAACTTGTTGATTGATAAAAGTTTTCCAAATTGATTCCTTTTTTTCTTAAATATTTATAAATGTTAAATTAAGTCTTATCCTGGTATCTAATTGTCAAGAAAATATACTGAAAAATGGACAAAATACTTGTGCGGAGGTCTACAGAGATGGCTTACAAGAGTTTTCTTCACATCCTTTCTCCATTTTATCTGAAAGGAAACATCTCTCGCATGAGGAAGAGAGGCCAAATCTGTTCAACCAAGGCACCATTCAGAAAGGGAGCAATGTTTGGAATTCATTGCAGCGCACACCTTCCCCTGCAGAGAGTGCTGGGAAGAGTTGCAGTCTTGTCAAGTTAGGTCAGGAGATTGAAGTCATCACTGCAGAAGCTGTAGCACACAGCCCAGAGCTCTGACCTGGCCGCCCTGCTGTGCAGTAACTAGTGCGAGTGGGCAAAACAGCTCAGAGCTATGAAAAGGAAAAAGGAGCAAGGAGAGGAGGATTTTCTATGCTTCACTGCAGAAAACACAAGTAAGCAAAACCCTCAGAAGTTTTTTAGAAGTCATTAATACTAAGGTAGTTTACGTATGTGAGTCAGTGATGCATTTTATAGCCAGCCAGCATGAGGCCTTGTCCACATGCCAGTCCTTTCCCTTTGAAAGCAAATATTTAATTGCTACTGAAGGTGCAGACTTATTTTAAGGTTTAGTCCAATATTTTATGACCATTTGCTTTAATATAAACAAGCACTCTGGGGGTTGTGTGTTTGTTTTGTTGTTTTAAGACAGGGTCTCGCTCTGTCACCCAGGCTGGAGTGCAGTGGTGCAATCACGGCGCACTGCAACCTCGACCTGCCAGGCTCAAGTGATCCTCCCACCTCAGCCTCCCAAGTAGCTGGGACCACAGGCACATGCCATCACACTCGGCTAATCTTTGTATTTTTTGTAGAGACGAGGTTTTGCCATGTTGCCCAGGCTGGTCTCAAACTCCTGAGCTCAAGCAATCCACCTGCCTCGGCCTCCCAAAGTGCTGGGATTAGAGGTGTGAGCCACTATGCTTTATTTTCTTTATAACTTACTATCTTTTTAGGATTTTGTAACCTATGTACGCTACCATGCTATCCCATGTCTGTTCACTTTTTTAAAAAACCTTTTTGAGTATAAATGATGACAGGTGCTTCCACCTATGTTATTTTGTTTAATCTTCAGGTAATCCTGTTTGATAGGCAATGCTTCTCTTTTTCATAGGTGAGGAAACTAAATGAGACTTTTCCAGGAGTTACTGTTGTAAACTGCAGAACCTGAATTTAAATGCCAGTCAAATCCATGGATGTTATAAGTATGGCCTCTCTGTATAGGTATATAGCCTCTAAAATAAGTAGAAATAACTTCATTTCATACATAAAGAATAGTTTTTCCTGACCTTTTAGAATAACAATTTGTTTCTAGTTAAATAATGTATGATAAACACATCATATTTTTCTTAAGATACTTAAGATGATGTAAACACGGTTAAGGAATTTGTCTTGGCACATAGCTGATTCATGACAAAGCGTATTTGTGAATTTAGTGTTTTACATTCACATGTACTATTACAGAACATTTATTTCACAGTGTATATATACTTAAAAGTTGTTATCAGTTAATTTTGTTGAGCTATGTACTAGAAAAGGATAATTATTCACCTCTTGATTTTTGGTTCCAAGAATAAATTCTTGGTCGAGCAAGGTCAAAGTCAAGATGCGAACTTTAAAAATACTAGTCCTTGGCTGGGCACGGTGGCTCACGCCTGTAATCCCAGCACTTTGGGAGGCTGAGGTGGGTGGATCACCTGAGGTCAGGAGTTCAAGACCTGCCTGACCAACATGGAGAAACCCTGTCTCTACTAAAAATACAAAAAATTAGCCAGCCATGGTGGCATGCGCCTGTAGTCCCAGCTACTTGGGAGGCTGAGGCAGGAGAATTGCTTGAACCCAGGAGGCATAGGTTGCAGTGAGCCAAGATCGAGCCATTGCACTCCAGCCTGGGCGACAAGAGCAAAACTCGGTCTCAAAAAAATAAATAAATAAAAATACTAGTCCTAAGGTCTGTTGCAGATGGGCGATAGCGAAATGAGTGGAAATTAATATGGAGAGACCCACTAGTAGAAGATTGCTGTGTTCTTGAAGCGTATCAAGGCCAAAGCAATTAAATTAGGCAATCCTTTGAAATATATGGCCCCATAGGCTAGAATTCATTAAAGGTAGGATTTACTGATGGGGAAGAATGATAATTTTCATAAGGAATGGCTGTGCTACCTATGAAATTGTAAGAGATTTTTTTTTCTTCCACTGGCCCCTATCCACAACCCAGGAAATTCCTCTTCGTTTTATCATCTAGCAAACAGGTACTGGTGCCAGGGCATTACGCTGGGTACAAGATATGCGGTGATGAGCAGAAAAGATGCTGTCTGTGCTCACATGGAGCTTCCGGTCTTTAACAATCAGTCAGAACTGTGTCATTCCAGATGTGGTAAGTGCTTGTGAAGGAAATCGTGACTACTCAGGAGGATTTCATAAGAGAGGTTAACGGGTGGAGAATGAAGGTGGGAGAGCACATTCTTAACGGAAGTGACAGCAAAGATCCTAAGATAAGAGGCAGCCAGAACTGGGAAATCGAAAAGACCAGTGTGGCTGAATTATGTGCATTGTAAGCAAAGAGTGATTTGGTTATATTTACATTTTTAAAAGATGATGGTAATGTTTTCACAACTTGGCTAGTCAGTGTGTGAATGTTCATTTTGTTAACATGCTTTATGGTGTGCATATTTATATATTATTTTGCTTTGGCGTTTGTGAACTATGTCATAATATTTGTAATTTTTTTTTTGAAAGAGTCTTGCTTTGTTGCCCAGGCTGGAGTGCAGTGGCACGATCTCAGCTCACTGCAGTCTTCGCCTCCCAGGTTCAGGTGACCCTCCTGCCTCAGCCCACCTAGTAGCTGGGATTACGGGCACGCATCACCATGCCCGGCTAATTTTCGTATTTTTAATAGAGACGGGGTTTCACCATGTTGGCCAGGCTGGTCTCGAACTCCTGACCTCAGGTGATCCACTCGCCTCAGCCTCCCAAAGTGCTGGGATTACAAGGTGTGAGACACCGCACCCAGCCAATATTTGTAAATTTTAAGGGAAAATGCATCGGAAGAAATTAGGCGGTAATTTTTTTGGAGACAGAGTCTCGCTCTGTTGCCCAGGATGGAGTGCAGTGGTGCCATCTCGGCTCACTGCAAACTCCGCCTCCCAGGTTCAAGCAATTCTCATGCCTCAGCCTCCCAAGTAGCTGGGATTACAGGTGCATGACCACGGTCGGCTAACTTTTGTATTTTTAGTAGAGTCGGGGTTTCATCATATTGACCAGGCGGGTCTCGAACTCCTGACCTCAAGCAATCTGCCTGCCTCAGCCTCCCAAAGTGCTGGGATTACAGGCGTGAGCCACCGTGCCCGGCTCAGGAGTGATCCTAATGACAGTGACTACTTCTAGAGGGATAAAGTGGATGAACCGGAGTGACTTATGGATTGTGACAGGGTGAGTGGGGGAACAGATGAGTCAATGATGGCAACCTAGATTTTTGGCTTTCACAACTAATGCCATTTAGTGAGTTAGGGGGATCCTAGAAGCCCGAAAGGAGAAGGAAGTTAGTAGGCTTGGTTTTAGACAGTGTGTACTTGATGTGCTTTTGAGATGTCCAAGTGCAGCAGGTGGTTGGTCGTAAAGGCTGAAAGTTCACTGTGCACATGTTCCCATCCTGATTCTTAGAAACCAATCTGTAGAAGCTGTTTGAACTATTCTCCTTTCTCTTACCCTAGCCCATGAGTCAACACTTTCCAGGTTCATCGTGACTAGAGAATACCAAACATTTACTACCACATGAATATGTTGCAGACATGTTAAGTCATAAAAGCAGGAATGAAGAGGAATGAGATTTTTCCTTTAGTTATTTATATATTAATACATTCTAGGATTTGCCTTCCTGTGTTTCAGTGAGTGGTCTTGTCACCCCCGCTTTGAGGTGAGGACACATTTACAGAAGCGGGGTCATTGTGCCCAAAGTGAACCTGCCAGAGTCTCACTCTGTCACCAGGCTGGAGTGCAGTGACGCGATCTCGGCTCACTGCAACCTCCACCTCCAGGTTCAGGTGATCCTCCTGCCTCAGCCTCTCGAGTAGCTGGGACTACAGGCATGTACCACCACGCCCAGATAATTTTTTTGTATTTTTCGTAGAGAGGCCAGGATGGTCTTGATCTCTTAACCTCGTGATCCACCTGCCTTGGCCTCCCAAAGTGCTAGGATTACAGGCGTGAGCCACTGTGCCCGGCCAGTTCTTTCTTATATTCATAAATCTTTGCCCACTACTGCTTTTGCACTGCACTCCTGGCAAGCTTAAAAGGAATCATCAGCAAAGGAAGAGATCTTTGGGAACTAACTTGTGGAAAAGAATTTGAATAACAAAGGGCGGTATTAGATGTTTTGTTATTGTTTTCTTTTTCTCCATTGTTAGTAACTTGCTATTTACAGTTCTAGTAATTGAAGAATTGTAGACTGTGTTGAAGTTTGCAGCCTCGGGTAAGGAATAAACTTAGTGGATTGCTGTTTTTATACTTGGATGGCCAGGCTGATATTTTCCTTGGAGGAACTTTGGTGTTGCAGAAAAAAGATGAAAATTTTCTGTGACTTTCATAAGCAGCCCTGTTCAGGTATCAACTAGCTTATGGGGCTGTCCCTAGCTCAGTACTCAGTCCTATGCAGAGAGCCTCAGCATTCTTAAGTGGATAGTTTTCAGGTTGTTTGTCTTCTAGGGGAAAAAACAGATATGATAAGCTCAGATCTACTTTTAGCAGAAACAAAGCTGGTCTAGTGGCCGGGCGCAGTGGCTCACACCTATAATCTCAGCACTTTAGGAGGCTGAGGTGGGCAGATCATTTGAGGTCAGGAGTTCGAGACCAGCCTGGCCAACGTGGTGAAACCCAGTCTCTACTAAAAATACAAAAATTAGCTGGGCGTGGCACACACTTGTAGTCCCAGCTAGTTGGGAGGCCGAGGCATGAGAATCACTTCAATCCAGTAGGCAGAGGCTGCAGTGAGCTGAGATCCTGCCACTGTGCTCCAGCCAGGATGACAGAGCCATCTTAAATCACGCACACACACACACACACACACACACACACACACACACACACACACACACAAAAGAACGCTGGTCTAGTTTTGGCCTGAGGAGGTCAGTGATGCGGGAGAAGTATGGTGATGTTAAAGGAAACTCGCCAAATGCAAATCAATGCAGTGCTACAAAGTAGATATCTGAGACACCTTGTTTAAATTGTACATTTTATTGTTTTTGTTTTTTGAAACGGAGTCTCACTCTGTCGTCCGGGCTGGGGTACAGTGGCGCAGTCTCAGCTCGCTACTGCCTCCACCTCCTGGGTTCAAGCAATTCTCTTGCCTCAGCCTCCAAGTAGCTGGGATTGCAGACGTGTGCTACCACGCCCAGCTAATTTTTTTTTTTTTTTAGATGAAGTTTCACTCTTGTTGCCCAGGCTGGAGTGCAATGGCGTGATCTTGGCTCACTGCAACCTCCACCTCCCAGATTCAAGCGATTCTCCTGCCTTAGCCTCCCGAGTAGCTGGGATTACAGGCATGCACCACCACGCCCGGCTAATTTTGTATTTTTAGTAGAGACAGGGTTTCTCCATGTTGGTCAAGCTGGTCTCGAACTCCCGACCTCAGGTGATCCACCTGCCTCAGCCTCCCAAAGTGTTGGGATTACAGGCTGAGCCACCACACCCGTCCTAGATTGTATATTTTAAAATAATCGTCTCTTAACTGTTGACAGCCAAGAAAGATGAGGACCTGCAGCCACTTGGTAAATTGGAAATACATCCTGTCAGCACTCAGGAAGGTGCATGTGCCTTCACTTGTAAATTACTTACTTGGCTTTGGTTTGGGCCGCCATCTCCACTGCTCCGTAAAGCAGGGAAGAGAGCTACTCAAATTAAGGAAGAGGCTTCCATAGCCAGCCACCACTACTTTTCTGAACTATTTCTGGCATTTGGCCTCCAAGTCTAAATGGAGTGAGCCACTTTGCATTTCTTGGGCGGTTGCACCCTTAGTGGGGGTCAACCTTAGCTCTCCAAAAGTCAGATCAGGCTCACTGCTGACGCAGTAATTAAAATCCAATCTAATTAGATCTGAAAGTTCTGACAGCAATTGGAAGTCCTTGCAGCAACCAATGTGGGATTCTTTAGGAAGCAGAGATGAAGGGAAGGGTCAGAAAGCCAGCTCATTTTGATCCCTGCTAGACCATCAAACCCACCAGGGACTATCTATAAAAGGGCAAGTATGTGGCCAACCGAGGAATCTCCTGGGATGCAGCAGAACACAGTATTATAGTGCTATGGTTTCCAAAAAATACACTTGAAAAATACAAGTGTAATGTGAAGTGCAATGTGAACTCAAAATTAGGGTATTTGCAGTGGGTGTGAATGTTCATTTTTATGAAAATCATCTAATACCCTGTGTATTCGAGTTTTCCAGAGAAACAGAACCCACAGGAGATATAAATATATATATATATACACACACACACATATGCATAAATAAATACACACACACATGCACACACACAGTTGTCTCTCAGTATACATGGGGGATTGCTTCCAGGACCCCTCACAGATACAAAAATCCACAGATGCTCAAGTCCCTTATACAAAATGATGTAGTATTTGCATAGAACCTATGCACATTTTTCTGTATGCTTTAAATCATCTCTAGATTACTTATAACCTCTAACACCAGGTAAAGGCTATGTAAGTAGTTGTTATACTGTGTCACTTAGGAAATTATAAGAAAAAAGTCTGTACATGTTCAGTATAGATGCAACTATTCTTTTCTTTCTTTTTTTCAAATGTTTTTTTATCTGTGGTTGGTTGAATCCATGAATGTGGAACCCATGAATACAGAGGGCTGACTGTATATGTAAAATGAAATTTATTTATTTTTATTTATTTATTTATTTTTGAGACGGAGTTTCACTCTTGTGGCCCAGACTGGAGTGCAGTGGCGCAATCTCAGCTCACTGCGGCCTCCACCTCCAGGGTTCAAGTGATTCTCCTGCCTCAGCCTCAGCCTCCAGAGTGGTTGGGTTTACAGGTATGCTCCACCACACCTGGCTAATTTTTTGTATTTCTAATAGAGATGAGGTTTCACCATGTTGGCCAGGCTGGTCTCGAACTCCTGACCTCAAGTGATCCGCCCACCTTGGCCTCCCAAAGTGAAGGGATTATAGGCGTGAGCCACCGTGCCCAGCCCAAAATGAGATTTATTATAAGGAATTGATTCACAAGATATTGGTGGTTGACCAATCCCACAATCTGCTGTCTGCTAGCTAGAGACCCAGGAAAACCAATGGCATGAATTCCAGTCTAAGTCTGAAGGCCTGAGAAGGAGGAGTGCTAATGGCATAACTCACATTCCACGATAAGGAGGCTGATGTCTCAGCTCAAGCACTCAAGTAAAGAGACAGAATTCAACCTTCTTTCACCTTTTTCTTCTACTTGGGCCCTCAAAGGGTTGAATTATGCCTACCCATATTGGAGAGGACAATCTACTTTACTCAGTCCACTGATTCAAATGCTAATCTTTTCCAGAACCTCCTCACAGACACACGCAGAAATAATGTTTAAGCAGATATCTAGGCATCCTGAGGGCTGGCCAGTAAAGTTGACATGTAAAATTAGCCATCACAAGTCCACCTCTTGTCAACTTCGCACCCACATGCCTCCCTGTAAAACATATTTAATCTCCAAATGAAAACAGTAACAGGCTGGACATAGTGGCTCATGCCTGTAATCCCAGCACTTTGGGAGGCCAAGGAGGGCGGATCATTTGAGGTCAGGAGTTTGAGACCAGCTTGACCAACATGGTGACACCCTGTCTCTACTAAAAATACAAAAAATTAGCCAGGTGTGGTGGCACACGCCTGTAATCCCAGCTACTCAGGAGGCTGAGGCAGGAGAATTGCTTGAACTCGGGAGGTGGAGGTTGCAATGAACCGAGATCATGCCACTGTACTCCAGCCTGGGTGACAGAGTGAGACTCCTCAAAACAAACAAACAAAAAAGTCAATAACAAGGTCATAGATCCACCTAACATGATACAACTAACTATCCTATATGCAACTGAAAATGCACCAATCCCTTCCCCAAAAGAGGAGGTAAAATCCTTCAGTGATGTTTATTCTTCTTTTGATAGTCCATAACTTAAATACTGTGGTGTAAAATTAATAAATACTATGATATAAAGTCCGTATATCTTATGTTATATGATAAGGGAATAAGAGATGAAAAATAGAAACACAAACATTCATAACAAGATGAGGAGGAAATAGGATAATTACAGTCCTTGTTTTTATAACTGGTCACATGACCATAGCTGATATTTGTAACCACCTTGTTTCTACTACCCACTATATATTCCCTTTGCAGCTGGTTGTAGCTCTTCATCTGGTGAGGTGACCCAAACCTTTATTTCTGAAGAGTCTAGGCCATTAATAGTCCTGCCTGAATTGGGTTGTTGTAGTTTTCCATTGACCCTAATCATAGGTGGTACCAAGGGATCTTAAGGGATCTCCTGTATTCCAGATATACTCTTCCTGATCATCACTCTGGAGTAGTTGTCCAATTTCCTCCTGGTATTCAGGATCGGTCACCCCAGCCATCACAGGAACTCCCTTCTTTGCCTGTTGATTCAGAGCCATGAGGAGCTCAAAGTGGCTGGGGACACTCTTAACTTCCAGTTCAATGAAATCATTGCTGTGTTTCCTGGTTGAAGCATTCCTCCCTCTGGAACTAAGACCTCTAGGTCACCAGAGCATAAGGTCACGGGGCCAGGAAGCAAGATTTTGCTAATGGGTTACCAGGGATAATAGTGAACAGTGACGCTCTCACTTTCACCCCTTGATTCCTGGACCTGCGAGTCCTGCCTGCGTGGAAAGGCTGATACCACTGTGAAGAGAGAGGTTGATACCAATAGGGGTGTAGAGACCTCTTCCACTGGCAAAAAGACTCATCAGAATTTAGGGGCTCAGTGTCCCCTGCTTTGTCAGGATCTTGACACACATCCCCACCTCAACTGACAAGGTGCCATTCTTTCTCAATCAATGCTCTCAATTTAATAGTGGGCACTCTGCAAGGCCAGGAGTACAACTTGCAATGATATTCAGCCAGACACAGGGTGAAATTCTGTGTTTGATTTTCAGCAATCTCAGCCCTGCAGCTATAGGGAATAAGGGTGAGAAGGCACCCTTATCTATGAAGCAGAGCAAGTGAGCCCTCACCAGACACAGAATTGGCTGCTGCCTTGATCTTAGACTTCCCAGCCTCTAGAACTGTAAGAAATAAATTTCTGTTGTTTATAAATTATGCAACCTAAGGTATTTTGTTATAGTAATCTGAGCTAGTCAAGACAATCTTCCTCCAGCCTTGCCCATCTCGGTTGATGGCAACTCCTTCCTTCCAGTTTCTCAGGCCAAAACCCTTGGAGTTTTTCTTTACTCAGGTCTTTTTCTTTTTTTGGACGGAGTCTCTCTCTGTCACCCAGGCTGGAGTGCAAGGCATCTTCGGGTTCAACTGTTATCCTGCCTGAGCTTCCCAAGTAGCTGGGACTATAGGCACACGCCACTGCACCCGGCTAATTTTTGTATTTTTAGTAGAGATGGGGTTTCACCATGTTGGCCAGACTGGTCTGGAGCTCCTGACCTCAGATGATCCGCCTGCCGTGGCCTCCCAAAGTGCTGGGATTACAGGCGTGAGCCACTGCGCCCGGCCCTTTACTCATGTCTTTCACAATCTACATGTAATTCATCTTGAAGTCCTGTTGGCTCTACTTTCATTTTCTTATTTTTTCAAGAGGCTATGTTGCCCAGGCTGGTCTCGGCCTCCCAGACTCAAGCGATCCTCTCAGCTTGGCCTCCCCAGAGTGCTGGGATTACTGGCATGAGCCATCATGCCTGGCCAGCTCTCCTTTCAGAACATATTCAGCACCTGGCAGACAGGTCCCGCCAGAGACAATGATGGTAGGCCAGCAGAATAGCAGATGTGTGTAAAGCAGTAGGCTGCCAGATCAGTATATCAGGATGACTAGAGGCAAGAGATGTTCAGCAGGGTGGACAAGCAGAAGGTGCCATCAGGAAGGAAGTCCATGGTTACCAGAGCCCCAGCTACTGAGCCCGGAATGGGCAAGCCAGGCCCAGGGCTGGAGGAACTGAGGCACCAGGCAGGTTTCCATGACAGAGATCCAAGTGGAGGAAGCAAGGCAGATGTCTAGTTCACCCAACTGGGGCCTGAAGGTCTCCAAAGCAGGAGGAAATTCATGCATCATCGATGGGTACTAAACAAGCCTGAATGAGCAGGGCTGGGCTATGGGCCTCTTACCCCAAAGCAGGGAATGGACCCAGAGACTAGAATGGAGCAATGCCTGCAAGGGAGGTCAGCAGGTCCCAGCCTGGGGAGACTGGGAAGCTGAGCTGGCAGTCAAGCTGACTTGCCACCATTCAAACAAGAAATGCCACAGGATCCTGCTTCTGAAGCATTCGGCTCCCAAACAAAAAGCATGGAAGACAGTTGGATGACTCTAGTGAGGACCTACAGATGGTACTTCCTGGGTCTTGTGTCTCCTGGGCTCCAGGAGGATGGAGGTTGACTTGAGTCTTAAAGGTTTAACCTTTCGCACACCGAAAAACCTGCTTCCCAGCAGCCTGACAGCAAGTTCTCTGACCTCTGTAGGAACTTTTCTGGTATTTAAGTCATTATCACCTCCCAAACTTGCCTCTTCAGTGGACTCTGCGTTGTGGTCCCTCCCTCTGTCTTTCCTGGTCTTCCCCAGCTCCGCACGTTGCACTCCATTCCCCAGACCCATGTGTTCTGCCACACCTCTCACCAGCCCCTAGGTACTTTAACACAGGAATATCTGTTGTTGCTACATATCCCTATGTCAAACTTTTTTCTTTTTCTTTTCTTTTTTCTTTTTTTTGAGACAGTCTCACTCTGTCGCCCAGGATGGAGGGCAGTGGTGCGATCTCAGCTCACTGTAATCTCCACCTCCCAGGTTCAAGCGATTCTCCTGCCTCAGCCTCCTGAATAGCTAGGGCTGCAGGTGTGTGCCACCACACCTGGCTAATTTTTGTACTTTTAGTAGAGATGGAGTTTCACCATGTTGGCCAGGCTGGTCTTGAACTCCTGACCTCAGGTGATCTGCCTTCCTTGGCCTGCCAAAGGGCTGGGATTACAGGTGTGAGCCACGGCGCCTGGCCTCAAAAATGTGTTTTCTAATACTATTTTGACAAAAATCTTTCAGTGTTGTTGGTTTCCTTTATAATCCTGGGTATTTTATTTCAAGCATTGAAAAACGTTACTGTGAGAAGTTCAGAGATTCCAGAATGCCACGTGCTCTGCCACAGCTCTCACAGCAGGACACCACAGGCCTCGTGCATCCTGGGCCGTGTGAAGCAACCTCAAGCCACAGTGTTCCTCATGCTTCTCCTTCTTGCCTAATCCTCCTGTTTTATTGGCTGAGTCGACCAGCTGGGCTTTAACCAAGAGTCTACTCCCTCAGTTCCTTTTTCTTTCTTCTTTTTTTACAGACAAGGTCTCGCTCTGTCTCCCAGGCTGGAGTACAGTGGTACCATCATAGCTCACTGCAGCCTCAGGCTCCTGGGCTCAAACAATCCTCCCACCTCAGCCTCCCGAGTAGCTGGGACTACAGGCACACACCACTAGGCCCTGGCTAATTTTTTTATAGAGATGGGGTCTCCTCATGTTGCCCAGGCAGGTCTCGAACTCCTGGTCTCAAGAGATCCTCATGCCTCAGCTTCCTAACATGCTGGGATTATAAGTATTAAATCAAATTTAGCCTAAAGCTACCTCCTTACATATTTTAAGTTCTACCTAAAGGTTTCTCTGTACATTGTGGACTATAAGCTAAAGGAAATTGTAAACAGACTGTAGCCTACTCTTGTGCCAATCACCAAGTTTTGGCCAATCAAATGTGGTCAACTGTTCCAACCATATTCTAATAAGGCAAATGCCAAGCTATAACCAATCCAGCTGTTTTTGCACCTCTCTTCCATTTTCTGTATGTCACCTTCCTTTTTCTGCCCTTAAATCTTCTACCACGTGGCTGCGCTGGAGTCTCTGAGCCTACTCTGGCTCAGGAGATGGCCCAATTTGCCAGTCATTCTTTGCTCAATTAAACACCTTTAAATTTAATTTGACTAAAGTCAAATTTTAATTTTTTTTTTTTAACCACAGGTTTGAGCCACTGAACCTAGCCCCTTAGTTTCTGTTCAGTGACCTAGCTTCCTGCCAATACTGGGGGCCTTGTCCTGGTGATGGAATGCTGGTACCATGCATTCTCTTTTTTGCCTTCTGCCCTCCACATTCCCCACCACCAGCTGTGACGGTCCTTTGAGGAACGATCTTTGGAAAGCTTCCTAGCATCCCTTGCCCTGCCTGCTGGAGTGGAGTGCCTGGTCCCAGTGATTGCCCCAAATGGTGCTGAGTTTATTACATCCTCTGACACTAGGCTTTGAGCTGCCTAGAAGCCCTGGCTAGAATCAGACTCTATCTGCATTGTTTGTTTGTTTGTTTGTTTCCATTCTCTGGTTCTACTACTTCTCCACAGACCTTTTCCCTACCTAGTTCTCCTCATGCCTCATGCCCAGGACCACCCTTTGGTTCTAGTCTAGTTCTCGAGCAGCAGGAAAGACATGTAATTCCCCTGCTATATGGTAATTATTCATAATTTTTTCCCTGCAAGCCCAACATTCCTCCTTTGTGATAGTTTCTAACTCATTTTCTGCAGCAGTGCATACACTTCTGCTCCCTGAAGTCCTGCTGGAAGGACCACTTGTTAGAACCAGACAAATTGTTCACATGCTTACTGCTTAAGAGGCTCATGACTTGTCCCTAATGACTAGAAGCAAAGGAAGAAGCTGTTTTAAGGGGAGAGTCTGCTTTTGAATCCAGCCCCCACTTATGTTTTGGCTTAAATGAAATAGCTTCTTTCTTAATGCACATCAGAAATACCCAGGAAACCACCTCAGTTCTCTGGGTTAGAGTATAAATGTTCTAGGTGTTTCCTCTCTGAGCCAAATAAAAGGAATCCCCAGAATTCCTAGAGGAATTTGATATGTAAGAGTTAACACATGCTACCCTGCTTTTTCCAGATGAAAGAGGACGGAGGGCATCTTCCTCCCTGACACCAGGCTGGAATCGCTTGGGCGATTAGCAAGCAGGTTGCCAGCATCTATGCCACTGTGAATCAAAGGGTCTGGAAAAATCTGGACCAAGACACTTTCCGAGCACCACCCTTACCTCAGTGTCCAAGATTTCTCTATTCAAGATTCGCATGGGCTTAAGGTGTCAGAGTTCCTGGTCATTGTGCAAACTGGTTTTCTGGAAGGGCTCTCGTTTCTGAATGCCTCTGCTTTTTCCCCCAGAAGATGCAAGTCACCTTTCTGTCACCCTCAAGGGGCCAGGTCCCAAGTCCTGAGCTCCAGTTGGGAGGAGATAGTTTGAGGAGCTCTGAAAGAGGAAGGGTCAGCCTGGGAGACTGGGCAGAGGCCCTTAGTGTGGGGAAAAGGCGGGAGCGCTGGGAGGCAGCAGCATTTGGAATACAGACAGATTCCCCCGCCTGTGGCAATCTCTGTCTCCCTCTGGTGGTTTAAGCTCTCAAAATTACAGGTGTTCTTTGTAAGTGACTCATACATTCCAGTACCGGGGTGAGTTTTTACTCTTTTGGCTCATGTCATTTCCTCCCAGCAGCTAGGGTCTCTGCATTTTGTCCTGTTGTCATGGCAACTGGTACTCTGCAAGCTTTGGGAGCTGAAGCTGTAGAGCTGGCTCGTTAGGGAGGCTGCCCTCTCTCTCCAGCTCAATGGGGAACTGTAGACATTTGGAAGATGAATCATTCTAGTCCATTGAATAGCTTGCCAAGGTGACCCCGAGCAAGCTCCTTCCATCTCTTAACGAACAAAAACTATAGTGTTGTGAAGATTGTATGAGATAACTTATCTGAAGTTCCTAGCGCCATGCCTGACATACTATTTTAAGTGTTTGATAAATAATATTTGCCTTCCCATTGATTCAGACTCTACAGGCAGCAATAAAAAATTACTGCTCTAAATATTTCTCATTTTCTCTCTGCAGCCTTTCATGGAAGTTGCCATGGTTCTGCATCCCTAAACCAATGAGACACAATGGCAAGTTTCTCTTCCTACATCTATTTCAACCACCAGCTTAACTCCCCTTCCTGAGTGCAGCTAAAGCTGTGGCCATCAGGCAGGTGAAGCTTGGTGCCTCCTGTTCAACCAACAGGAATGACTGAAGCAGGCTGGGGGTGGGACCAGCAGTAAGAAGCCCAGAGCAATGACCAGAGCTCCCTTTCTCTGGAGAGCTGGGCTGGAGAAAATCTATGCACTGCTGATCTCCTAAGGAGAGAGCTTCAAGGGTGAAAAGATGGTGTCCCACAGGCCTGAGGCTGCACAGATCTAGCTTTTGCCATTGAGGACAGCAGGGACAGTAAAGCTTCCCAGATCCCCTTTCAACCTGCCAGCTGGCATGTCACCTACCATAGAGGAAGCCAATCCTAGACCTTGTACTACTTGAGAGATTGCAAAAGTATCCTGTTAGCTGGGTCTGGACCCCAATGATAAATAGACTCATGAGTGAGCTAAGGAAGGGAACTGGCCCATCTAAAAGGAACCGGCCCAAGGAAAAGCAGGAATCTATGAAGGCATTCAATAACTTGGACCAAAAAGGAACAAGAAGGTAAAATTGAATACTTGGGTGATGGTTACACTAAAAACCTAGATTTCCCCACTACAAGATATATCCATGTAACAAAACTGCACTTGTACCCCTTAAATTTATATACTTAAATAAAATAAAATAGAAGAGATTCTTTTTTTTTTTTTTTTTTTTTGAGATGGAATCTCACTCTGTTGCCCAGGCCTGGAGTGCAGTGGTGCGATCTTGGCTCACTGCAACCTCCTCCTCCCGGGTTCAAGCAATTCTCCCACCTCAGCCTCCCTAGTAGCCGAGACTACAGGCACTTGCCATCACGCCCAGCTAATTTTTGTATTTTTAGTAGAGATGATTTCACCATGTTGGCCAGGCTGGTCTCGAACTCCTGACCTCAAGTGATCCACCTCCCTCAGCCTCCCAAAGTGCTGGGATTACAGTTGTGAGCCACTGTGCCCAGCCAAAATAGAAGAGATTCTATTACAGCATAAAATACTTTGTGGAAATAAGAAACAAGGCCCGGCTCGGTAGGTCATGCCTGTAATCCCAGCACTTTGGGAGGCCCAGGTGGGCAGATCATGAGGTGAGGAGATCGAGACCATCCTGGCCAACATGGTGAAACCCCATTTCTACTAAAAGTACAAAAAATTAGCCGGGCGTGGTGGCACGTGCCTGTAGTCCCAGCTACTCAGGAGGCTGAGGCGGGAGAATCACTTGAACCCAGGAGGCGGAGGTTGCAGTGAGCCGAGATCGTGCCACTGCACTCCAGCCTGGGCGACAGAGCGAGACTGTCTCAAAAAAAAGAAAAAGAAAAAGAAATAAGAAACACGAGTTTTTCATTTTAAATTTCAGTTGATGACTGAAGAAGAGGATAGTTGCAGGCTAAATTAGTGGCCCAGGAGATTCAGTGAGAGAAAAATCTCAAAACATAAAACAAAATTACAAGCAGATGGAAATATTGAAGAAACTGACAAAGTATTTGAAGTCTGGATTCAGACAATCTTACATGTAAACAATAAAATGCCTAGAAAGGTTTTTTAAAAAGAAAAGTAGAAGAGAAGCTGTAATTAAACCAAACCAATAATAATAATAATAAATCATACGTACTAAAAAGAAATTGAGTATTCGAAGTGAAAGAATTCACCAAATTCCAATCTGGATTAATAAAACACTTAAGGAATATCCTGGTGAGCTGGGCGCGGTGGCTCATGCCTGTAATCCCAGCACTTTGGCCAGGCTAGTCTTGAACTCCTGACCTAAAGTGATCTGCCTGCCTCAGCCTCCCTCAGTGCTGGGATTACAGGCGTGAGCTACTGCGCTCAGCCTATATAACTGTTAAGGTAAAAGAAATATATTCAAAATTACACAAGATTTAGAAAATAAATCCTATACCTACTTCTGTTTGATGAAAATATTCCAGAAGAACTCTAATCAAATGATAAGTAATCAGAAAGAAGACCACAAGATTGCCGTGATGAGTAATGAGTGTGTGTGTGTGTGTGTGTGTGTGTGTGTGTGTGTGTGTGTGTTGCAATACTGGGTAAGGGAGCAGAAGGATAGTTACAGCATTCTTAAGATATTATCTTACAGGCCAAGTAATGGAGTGTCTTGGTGAACAGAAATATTTCATACTGTGCTTTTTTCTTTTCACAGGTAATGGTAGAGAAATATTTGTTTATGTGTATCCAGTATAGAATGGAATCATTACTGATATGGAAAATTACATAAGAACTTTGCATTTTTCAGGTCTGTTAAGGAATGACAGAATGACACACCCATTCCTTGCTCCATCCCCACTTCCAATTTCCACATCCATACACTGGAAATTCTTGATTTCTTTAGCCAAGGACACAGCTTAATAAATTAAAGATATCATGCAGGACTAAAAAATATGTGTTTTTTGGTGCTGATAGAATCTTGCCTGATTTGAGAGGTTTAATTCTAGGGTGTTTAACAGACCTTTATTTTTTAGAACTTGCATTCTGTTCAGGAAAAATTTATATAAATGACCTTAATACTTCCATGTAATGAATGGATACAAACATGAGGAGCTGCTTGTTTGTGTGTGTGTGTGTGTGTTTGTATGTGTGTGTGTATATGTGTGTGACAATCTGTCTTTTTATTGGAGTATTTATGACATTAATGTTTAATAAAAGTATTAATCTATTTAGGTTTAAATGTACCATCTAACTAGTTATGAGGGTCTTTAAATTTTAATTTGTTTTTATTTCATTTTTTTTTAGAGACAGGGTCTCCCTCTGTCACCCAGGCTGGAGTGCAGTGGCATGATCATAGTTCACTGCAGCCTCAAACTCCTGGGCTCAAACAGTCCTCCTGCCTGAACCTCTGAGTAGCTGGGACCACAGGCATGTGCCACCATACTTGGCCAATTATAAAATTTTTTGTAAAGATGGGGTCTTGCTATGTTGCCCAGGCTGGTTTTCAACTCCTGGCCTCAAGTATTTTTTCTGCCTGGGCTTCCTAAAGCCCTGGGATTATAGGCCAGGTTCGGTAGCTCATACCTGTAATCCCAGCACTTTGGGAGGCTGAGACAGGCAGATCACCTGAGGTCAGGAGTTCAAGACCAGCCTGGCCAACATGGTGAAACCCTGTCACCCTGTCTCTACTAAAAATACAAAATTAGCAGGGTGTAGTAGCACTTGCCTGTAATCCCAGCTACTCGGGAGGCTGAGGCAGGAGAATTACTTGAACCCAGGAGGCAGAAGTTGCAGTGAGCCAAGATCCCACCATTGGACTCCAGCCTGGGCGACAAGAGGAAAACTCTGTCTCGAAAATAAATAAATAAATAAATAAATAAACAAATAAATCAACCAACCAACCAACCAACCAACCAACCAACCAACCAACCAAAGCACTGGGATTACAGACAGGAGCCATAGAACCTGACCTAATCTTATTTTATTTAATTTTTAATTTTTTTTTTTTTTTTTTGAGATGGAGTTTTGCTCTGTTGCCCAGGCTGAAGTGCAGTGGCACGATTTTGGCTCACTGCAACCTCCGCCTCCCGGGTTCAAGTGATTCTCCTGCCTTAGCCTCCTGAGTAGCTGGGACTACAGGTGCCCGCCTCCATGCCCGACTAATTTTTGTATTTTAGTAGAGACGGGGTTTCACCGTGTTAGCCAGGAGGGTCTTGATCTCCTGACCTCGTGATCTGCCCACCTCAGCCTCCCAAAGTGCTGGGATTACAGGTGTGAGCCACCATGCTGGGCCCCTAATTTTAATTTTAATTGACAAGTAATAATTGTATGTATTCGTGGAGTACAATGTGATTTGATACATGTTGATGATGTGGACTGATTAAATCAAGCTAATGAACATATCTATCACCTCACATACTGTCATTCCTTTGTGGTGAGAACGTTTTTTTTTCTGAGACAGATCTCGCTCTCCGCCCAGGCTGGAGTGCAGTGGCGCTATGTAGACTCACTGCAACCTCTGCCTCCCAGGTTCAAGCGATCCTTCCACCTCAGCTTCCCGAGTAGCTGGGATTACAGGCATGTGCCACCACACCCGGCTAATTTTTGTATTTTTAGTAGAGACAGGGTTTCATTATATTACCCAGGCTGGTCTTGAACTCCTGACCTCAAGTGATCTGCCTGCCTTGGCCTCCCAAAGTGCTGGGATTACAGGCATGAGCCACCATGCCCAGATCTTTGTGGTGAGAACATTTAAAATCTAATTTTGGGGGTCTGCATTTCTTGAGTCAATTTTAGAGCCAGGAAGGCCACATCTTTGGAGTGAGAGCGGGAGTCAGGGTCAGTTCCTCAGCATCACTAAGTGGTCCCTCACCATCCATCTTTCCAGCTGGAAAGCAACTTGCTGGCCACTCACCAAAATAACAAGTAGGAAAGGTAAAATAAAGGAGGATGTGATCACATCAGCAAAAAAACAAAAAAACAAAAAACAACATTAAAGAGAGGAAATGCCAGTGTAAAATAAATGAAATAAATAGTAAAGAAGTAATACTGTTGCTGGTGAATAGAATGCATTGTCGCATATTATATGTGGATCTTCTGTTTATCATCTTGCTAAACTCTCTCCTTTATATATTCAGTCTTCTAGGAGAGGATTCATACAATCACAAAATAATTACAGTTTTATTTCCTCCCTTTCAGGCCTTTGACTTGAATTTGTTTTCCTTGTATTGGCCGAAATATATGGAATAGACATGGTGATCTTGGTCTTCTTCCTGATTTTAAAGGATACTAATTATTTTAATGGAATTTATATGGGCCTCATGAAATGAGTTGGGAAGTAATCTTTTTTTCTCTACTCTCTAGGAAAATCTATAAAATTAGAATGACATTTTTCAAAAAAGTTGACTTGCCTGTGAAACTAACTGGGCTTGGTGTTTTCTTTGTAGGAAAGGAGCCCATTTCTGACATTCATCATACTGTTTAGCAAGCCACTAATTTTACAAATGAAACCGATTTATGACATTCATTTTGCTGCTAAAACCCCACTCCTATTGATCAACGTATGTACAGTGAAGCCTTTGTGGTAGCTGACTCTGCTGTGCAGCCTTAAGGTGAAATGTTAGCTGACCACTCTTGAAGAGCAAGTTCCTGATTAAAGACATTGACTTCCCTGAAGTGTATCTTAAATGAACATACACACACACACATATGCAGGCATGCCTACATACATCACATTATCCTTGCCAAAGTATCTTAAAGAAAGTTACAGTATTTTAAAGTAAATTGATCTCCATGCATTGATTTTTTAAAACCTATTTTTGGGATCCTGGGCTGACTTCTTTTTGACACCAAATTAACGTCAAATCATTTGCTTCCTGACTTGTTGAAACATGAATACCTGGAAAGAAAAGCTCTCTGTGAAGCAGAGATTAGCTCTATGAGAAAGCAGAAGAAAAGCATCTACGGCAAGCCTGAGCAGGCTCTGTAGGTTCAATCCTTAAGATTCAGTCCTTGAAAAACAGATTGAACTCTTGCTCCCAAAGATAAGATCACCTTTTTGGAGGAAATGTCAAAATTTAAGAAATCAGAATAAATCCTTTCTTAACCATTCCTTCATTCACATAGCAGTTATTGGATGTCTCCTAGGTGCAAGGCACCATGATAGACACCACGGATACAAAGAGTTACTTGCCCTCAAGTAACTCGCTGTCTAGATAGGATTAAATAGAGAATTAGCCAGGTGTGGTGGCTCATGCCTGTAATCCCAGCACTTTGCGAGGCTGAGGTGGGTGGATCACTTGAGGCCAGGAGTTGGAGACCAGCCTGGCCAACATTGTAAAACCCTGTTTCTACTAAAATACAAAAATTCGCTGGGCATGGTGGTACGTGCCTGTAATCCCAGCTACTCAGGAGGCTGAGGCAGGAGAATCGCTTGAGCTGGGACCCGGGAGATGGAGGTTTCAGTGAGCCGAGATCACGCCACTACACTCCAGCCTGGGCTACAGAGCAAAGCTCTGTCTCAAAAAAAAACAAACAAACAAACAAAAAAAAACTGTAATGACCAACACAAAATCAGATCCAATTTACTGCTTGAGGAAACAAGACCAAATAATGAGAATCAGTATCAGCAGACAGTAGGGACAGACTCACAGCTACTCCTGATAGTGCAACTACTAGTTACAAACTGTAAACTCACTATGCCTATTATGTCATGGAGCTGGAAACCAACATTTTCAGGAAGGAACTATAACTATAAAAAGTTACACTGGGCTGGGCACAGTGGCTCAGGCCTATAATCCCAGCAATTTTGGAGGCTAAAACAGGAGAATCACTTCAACCCAGGTGTTCAAGGCCAGCCTCAGCAACATAGTGAGACTCTGTCTCTGCAGAAATTGTTTTTTTTTTTTTTTTTTTTTTTTTTTTTTTGAGACAGAGTCTCATCATTCAGGCTGGAATGCAATGGCGTGATCTTGGCTCACTGCAACCTTCACCTTCCAGGTTCAATCAATTCTTGTGTCTCAGTACCCCAAGTAGCTGGGATTACAGGGTCACACCACCATGCCTGGCTAATTTTTGTATTTTTAGTAGTGATGGGGTTTCACCATGTCGACCAGACTGGTCTCGAACTCCTGACCTTAAGTAATCTGCCCGCCTCGGCCTCCCAAAGTGCTCGGATTACAGGCACGAGCCACCACGCCAGGTCAAAAAATGTTTTTAAAATTAGCTGAGCATAGTGACTCACTCCTGTTATCCCAGCATTTTGAGAGGCTAAGGTGGGAGGCTCACTTGAACCCAGAAATTTGAGGCTGCAGTGAGCTATAACTGCACTCCAGCCTGGGGGACAGAGTGAGACCCTGTTTCAGGGGGAAGAAAAAAGTGACATTGCATATTTGAAAAAAAATATTATATCTGCCTAGGTCCAAATACAAGAGAGAAAACACATTGTAATTTAAACAGGGATACTTAATATAAATAATTATTGGCCAGGCACGGTGGCTCACACCTGTAATTCCAGCACTTTGGAAGGCCAATGCAGGAGGAGCGCTTGAGCTGAGGAGTTTGTGACCACCCTGAGAAACATGGCAACTCCTCATCTCCACAAAAAAATACAAAAATTAGCCAGGTCAGGTGATGTATGGCTGTCATCCCAGCTACTCAGGAGGCTGAGGTGAGTGGATTGATTGAGCCCGGTCAAGGCTGTAGTGAGCCATGATCATACCACTGCACTCAAGCCTGGGTGACAGAGAGAGACCTTGTCTAAAGAAAAAAAAAATTACTATAACAAAGGATTAGAAAAGGATTAGAGCTGGGTGCAGTGGCTCACGTCTGTAATCCCAGCACTTTGGGAGGCTGAGGTGGGTGGATCACCTGAGGTCAGGAGTTCAAGACCAGCCTGGCTAGCCTGGCCAACGTGGTGAAACCCCGTCTTTACTAAAAATACAAAAAATTAGCAGGGCGTGGTGGTGGGCACCTGTAATCCCAGCTACTCGGGAGTCTGAGGCAGGAGAATTGTTTGAACCCAGGAGGTGGAGGTTGCAGTGAGCCGAGATTGTGCCACTGCACTGCAGCCTAGATAACAAGATCGAAACTCCATCTCCAAAAAAAAAACAACAACAAAAAAACCAAATCATTAGAGTAGCAAGGGATTGACTAGTATGAAGTAAATGCCTCTAAAAAAAATATAGAGCTGGCAGATTTGAAGAGCAGTCGCTAACTCCAGGGCTGAGATTGAGCACCTTAGCCCACGCCCAGGGCTCAGATTCTGACCCTGTTGAGAGGCCATGGACAGCTCTGGCTCACTGGAAGGCAGAGAAGTTGCTGAGCTGCTGCACTGGTGGAACTGCTGGAAATCTGCCTGATATGATTTGGCTGTGTCCCCACCCAAATCTCATCTTGAATTCCCACATGTTGTGGGAGGGACCCAGTGGGAGGTAATGGAATCATGGAGGCAGGTCTTTTCCCATGGTGTTCTTGTGACAGTGAATAAGTCTTACGAGATATGATGGTTTTAAAAAGAGGAGTTCCCCTGCATAAGCCCTCTTCTATTGTCTGCCGCCACGTGAGACGTGCCTTTTGCCTTCTGCCGTTATTGTAAGGCCTCCCCAGCCACATGGAACTGTAAGTCCATTAAATCTCTTTCTTTTGTAAATTGCCCGGTCTCAAGTATGTCTTTATCAGCAGTGTGAAAACAGACTAATACACTGCCCTTTAGGGTGCTGGGGAAAGCTGTCCACAGGAAAGGACATCACTAGAGATGAGATGCTCTACTACAAAAGTGCCAGGGGAGGGAGTACTGGGTCCATTGCTGGAGCTGGGTGCTGAGGAAGCTGCACTCACTGCAGAAGCCTGCACGAGAAAAGCTATGCACTCTGCAAGAGCCTGCCCAGCCCTGTACACTGGGACCTTCACCTGCAGTGTCTGTCCATCATTCTGTACTTAGAAAGCCTTGGTGTCTGCTAGCATGGGAAAAAAATACTTAAAGGACAAGATCCACTTTCACAGAGTATCGAAAGGGGTGAGTTTGTTTTGTTTTGTTTTTGAGATGGAGTTTCACTCTTCTTGCCCAGGCTGGAGTGCAATGGCACGATCTCGGCTCACTGCAACCTCTGCCTCCTGGGTTCAGGTGATTCTCCTGCCTCAGCCTCACAAGTAGCTGGAACTACAGGTGCCCACCACCATGTCCAGTTAATTTTTGTATTTTTAGTAAAGACGGGGTTTCACCATGTTAGCCAGGCTGGTCTCGAACTCCTGAGCTCAGGTGATCTGCCTGCATTGGCCTCTCAAGTGCTGGATTACTCGCGTGAGCTACAATGCCTGGCCTAAAAGGAAGAATTTGGAGGCAAGAGGCAATACATTGATAACCAGCACAAGAAATTAGAAGAAATTTTAGAAGTGAAAAATAAAATAGATAAAATTCAGAACACAATAGAAGTGTTTAACAGTAGATTAGACACAACTGAAGAGAGAATAAGGGCACTGGAAGATAGATGGGAAGGACAGAACATACACAGGAGAGATCAAGAGACATTTATGGCAGAGTTGGAAGGTTCTAAATCTGCACTGTTTAATAGGGTAGCCACTAGCCATATGTGGTTATTTAAATTTAAATTAATTGCAGTTAAATAAAATGTAAAAATTCAGTTTCTCAACTGCACTAACCACATTTCAAATGCTTAATAGTCACATACCAGTATATAACACAAATGCTTAATAGCCCCAGCATGGACACAGATTCAGCAGGTTGTATTAGTGCTGGTCTAAATGGATTTAATTGGAGTTCCACAAATAAAGGAGAAAAGGGAGCAGAAGCAATATTTGAGGAGTTTTAGCTGAACACTTTCCAAAACTAACAAAAGACATAAAGCCACAGTTTTCAGAAGACCGAAAATTCCCAAATCCAAACAGGATAAATAAAAAAGAAATCCACAGCCAGACCTAGTAAATCTCTGGGAATACCAAAGACTTAATGGCAAAGAGTTGAAAGCTTTCTCTTTAATGTCAGAAACAAGATAAGGATACCCGCTGTCACCATGGCTATTCAACATTTCTTGGCCAGTGTCATAAATCAAGAAAAGGAAATCAGAGGCACAACAATTGCAAAGAACAGACCAACTGTTATTTGAATACAATGCTATTATATACTTAGAAAATCTTTTAAGATTTATAGAGAACTTATTAAAATTAGTAAGTTGCTGAATACAAAGTCAGTATACAAAAGTTTAGTTACAAATGCTGGTTAAATGATTTGAAATAGGATACCCCTTATAGTGATATGAAAAATACAAAGTACCTAAAAATTAACCTTATAAAACATGAGTAAGATCCCTATATAGAGAACTGTAAAATAGCTTTTCAAGAAACTAAAAACAGCTAAATAAATGGAGAGAGATATACCATGCTTATGAATTGAAAGACTCACTATTGTAAAGATATAGGTATCCCTAAATTGATGTATAGATGCAGTGTTATTCTATCTTAAGAGATTTTTTTTGACAATCTGATTTTTTTTTTTTTTTGAGATGGAGTCTCACTCTGTCGCTCAGGCTGGAGGGCAGTGGCATGATCTCAGATCACTGCAGCCTCTGCCTCCCGGGTTCAAGCAATTCTCCTGCCTCAGCCTCCCGAGTAGCTGGGACTATAGGCATGTGCTGCTGCGCCCAGCTAATTTTTGTATTTTTAGTAGAGATGGGGTTTCACCATGTTGTCCAGGATGGTCTTGATCTCCTGACCTCGTGATCCACCTGCCTCAGCCTCCCAAAGTGCTGGGATTACAGGCCAGAGCCACTGCACCTGGCCAAAATATTTTTTTAAAGTTAGCTGGGCATGGTGGCACATGCCTGTAGTCCTAGCTACTCAGGAGGCTGAGGCAGGAGGATTCTTGAGCCCAAGAATTCAAGGGTGCAATGAGCTATGGTTGCACACTGTGATCCAGCCTGGGTGACAGAGTGAGACCCTGTCTCAATAAAGAAAAAAAAAAAAAAAAAAAGAGGGCTAGGTATGGTGGTTCATGCCTGTAATCACAATATTTTGGGAGGCCAAGGCTGGTGGATCACCTGAGGTCAGGAGTTGGAGACTAGCCCAGCCAACATATTGAAAGCCTGTCTCTACTAAAAATACAAAAAATTAGCTGGGTGTGGTGGCGGGCATCCGTAATCCCAGCTACTCAGGAGGCTGAAGCAAAAGGATCGCTTGAACTTGGGAGGCGGAGGTTGCAGTGAGCCGAGATCTTGCCACTGCACTCCCGCCTGCTGGGTGACAAGAGTGAAACTCCATCTCAAAAAAAAAAAAAAAAGAAAGAAAAGAAGATCCCTCTTTGAAGTAAAGCAAGATGGAAAGACTCTTCTAAGCATCAAGACTTATAAAATTGTACAATAATAAGCCAATGCTATGATGGTCTAACAATCAGCAATAGAACAGAATAGAGGGCACAGACACAGATCCTTAAATGCATGGACATTGATCCTTTTTTTTTTTTGAGACAGAGCCTCGCCCTGTCGCCCAGGCTGGAATGCAGTGGTGCAGTCTTGGCTCACTGCAACCTCCACCTTCCGGGTTCAAGCGATTCTTGTGCCTCAGCCTCCCAAGTAGCTGGGACTACAGGTGTGTGCCACCATGCCCAGCTAATTATTTGTATCTTTAGTAGAGACGGGGTTTCACCATGTTGGCCAGGCTGGTCTCGAACTCCTGACCTCATGATCCGCCCACCTCGGCCTCCCAAAGTGCTGGGATTACAGGCATGAGCCACCGTGCCTGGCTGGACATTGATTCTTCACAGAGGTGTCACTGCAAAGAAGTGGGGAAAAGATGTACTTTAAAATAAATGATCCTGGAATAACTGGACATCCATAAGGAAAAAAAAAACCCGAAATTTGTCCCCCACCTAACACCATGCATAAAAGTCAATCCTAGAGAGGCTGTAGAAAAAAATATGATAGGCAGAAAAATAAAGCTTTTAGAGGGTGATATAGAATTTCATGATCTTGCATTAATGCTATTTTTTTTAAAAAAGATCAATACATTTGCCTACATTAAAGAGTTCTCATGAAAAGACACTATGAGCAAAATAAATAAGGCCAGCCAGCCACAGACTGGGAAAAGATACAACAGGTGTAACTGACAAAAGGATTATACTGAGAATATTGAAAGAATTGCTACAGGCCGGGCGCGGTGACTCACGCCTGTAATCCCAGCACTTTGGGAGGCCGAGGCGGGCGGATCACGAGGTCAGGAGATCGAGACCATCCCGGCTAAAACGGTGAAACCCCGTCTCTACTAAAAATACAAAAAATTAGCCGGGCGTAGTGGCGGGCGCCTGTAGTCCCAGCTACTTGGGAGGCTGAGGCAGGAGAATGGCGTGAACCCGGGAGGCGGAGCTTGCAGTGAGCCGAGATCCCGCCACTGCACTCCAGCCTGGGCGACAGAGCGAGACTCCGTCTCAAAAAAAAAAAAAAAAAAAAAAAAAGAATTGCTACAAATCATTAAGAAAAAGACAGATAACCCAATTGAAAATTTGGGAAGAGACTGAATTTTATAAAAGCAGAAATCCAGATGGTCAATAAACATATGAAATGATGCTCAACTTCATTAGTAATTAGGGAAATAAAAATTTAAATCACAATGAAATACCATTACCCACTCACCAGAATGGTTAGAATTTTAAAAACGGGCTATTTGAGGAGTGAAGCAACTGAAAATTTCATGCATTACTGGTGGGAGTTAGTTGGAACAGTCTCTTTAGGAAACAGTGTGGCACTGTCTTCTAAAGTTGAAAATGTGCATACCCTATGACTCAGCAGTTCTACTCCTAGATATACACCCCCCCAAAATATGCTCATAGCAATGAAAAGAAGTGGGCAACATAGTGAGACCCCGATCTCTACAAAAATTTTAAAAATTAGCTGAGTATCATGGCACTTACCTGTAGATAGAGCAAAACCCCATTTCTAAAGAAAAAAAATTAATAAAGATAAATTTAAGAACACACACACACACAAAAAAGAATATACATAGCAGCATTATTTGATATATCCCAGGACTGGAAGGAACTCAAATGTCCATCAACAGCAGAATGGATAAGTGGTGCAATGAAAATTGTATTCATCGGAAGCAATGAAGATAAACTCCAGCTACGTGCAGCAATGTGGGTGAATGGGCTCCAGTAACAACCAAAGCCACAGGAGGAGCCTCATGTGAACTAGAGAAAAGTGAACACGCCGCATGGAGAAGCACTTATTTGGAGATGCCTCTGTTTCCAGCCCCCAAACCTGCAGTCCTACCAGCTTCTGCCTGGTTCACACCACCTCCTCTTTCTTGGAATAGGAGGGGGATTCATTTTCCCATCTCTCATGCTCTGGATTCCTTCCCATTCCTGTATCTTCAACTCGCCCTCTTGATGGGTGCCCCCTCTTCTCCCAGGGTTCCTTATCTTAGCAGTTATTTACTTACTGTTTGTTCCTGCTGACCTGAGCTGTGCCTGGCCACAAGGATGGGGCTCAGAGACCGCTGTTGTCTGAGGCATGCAGGGTTTGGGACACTTTACCATGGTCTTACTCTTTCCTCTGTTCCCATCATTCCCATCTCTACTCCAGAATCCCACATTCTCCCAGTTACTGCCTCTGGCCTCTGTGATATAATACCCAGAGTGCTAGGAAGCATTATTTAAAATTTTTGCTGGGCATAGTGGCCCACGCCTATAATCCCAGCACTTTGGGAGGCCAAGGTGGGGGATCATTTGAGGTCAGGAGTTCGAGACCAGCCTGGCCAACATGGAAACCTTATCTCTACTAAAAATACAAAAATTAGCTGGGTGTGGTGGCATGTGTCTGTAATCCCAGCTACTCAGGGGCTGAGGCAGGAGAATTGCTTGACCCCGGGAGGCAGAGGCTGCAGTGAGCTGAGATCGCACCATTGCACTCAAGCCTGGGCAACAGAGCAAGACTCCATCTCAAAAAAAAAAAAATTTTTTTTTCTAATTTTTTGATTTTTTTAGAGATAGGGTCTCACACTTTGTCACCCAGGTTGGAGTGTAGTGATCATAGCTTACTGCAGCCTCAAACTCCTGGGGTCAAGCGATCCTCCTGCCTCAGCCTCTTGAGTAGCTGGGACCACAGGTGCACACTACCACACTGGGCTAATTTTTAAAATATTTTTTTGTAGAGACAGGAGTCAGGCAATGTTGCCCAGGCTGGTCTCAAACTCCTGGCCCCAAGCGATCCTCCTGCCTTGGCCTCCCAAACAGCTGGGTTTACAGTCATGAGCCACTGTGCCTGGCCCTAGATTTCTTATCTAGAATGCATCTTGTGGAACTTCTCTTAATTGGTCCTTCATTTCTCTGTTCAGAAGGTACAATCTGGGAAGAACAAAGGTTTACCTTAGTTTCTGATGGCTCATAAGGTGACACTCAGAACATCAGACCTCTACTCAGGCCAGGATTGTCCTTAGAGCACCCTCTCAATGCAGGTCTCTCCTCACCCACTTCCTCCACCTCTGTTTTGAAAGAGAGATGCTCAGCTAGAAAGAGTTGCATTGAGGCTAAGCTATGGGAGCTCCTGACAGTGGCGGCCTGGCCTGTGGTCACTGCAGGGCCCTACATGTGGTGAAAGTTGATAGTGAGGGCTCAGGGAGCCAGGCTCAATGGCTCACGCCTGTAAACCCAGCACTTTGGGAGGCTGAAATGGGAGGATGGCTTGAGCTCAGGAGTTTGAGACCAGCCTGGGCAACATAGTGAGACCCCATCCTCCACAAAAAATAAGAAATTTAGCCAGGTGTAGTGGCACACACCTGTGGTCCTAGTTACTTGGGAGGCTAAGGCAAGAAGATCACTTGAGCCCAGGAGTTCAAGGCTGCAGTGAGCCAAGATTGCACTAATGCACTCCAGCCTGGGTGACAAAGTAAGACCGTGTCTTAAAAACAAACAAACAGACACGTTCAGGGAAGTTTAGAGGAGGAGGCATGGTTCATATTCTGGAAGGAGATGACGGGATTTCACTGTTTCAGAAAACCCTCTGTACTCTAACCCAGCGGCTTAGGGCCTGACTCCACACACTTCCCTCCATGCTATTCGGGGTCTAACAGCATCTGAGGTCTCTGCTTCTGGGTGGAGGCCCTCACAATCCTAAGGACCACAGCACACAGCCGGGGCCTCAAACCAGGGCATCAACCTGTATCCTATGCCCAAGGTCACGGCCTTATCACCAACCCTACCCTTGCTGGTCCTTCCTGCCTTCAGGGTCTTCTCACTGTTTTAGTCTATTTCCCCAGCTGAACCCCTGTGCCCGCCTGATTCTTTTTTATTTCACAAACCTTCTTGGCTCAGAATTTGGGTTTTCTGGGGAGTGCTCATTTGAATTTGACAAACATTCCTTGAGCTTCCAAGACAGGTGTGGTGTCAGCTTTTGAGGAGGCTTTAACTTTGTAGTAAAAATCAGCTGGCCAGGCGCCATGGCTCATGCCTGTAATCCCGACACTTTGGGAAGCTGAGGCGGGTGGATCACCTGAGGTCAGGAGTTTGAGACCAGCCTGGCCAACATGGTGAAACCCCATCTCTACTAAAAGTACAAAAATGCAGCAGGGTGTGGTGGCATGTGCCTGTAATCCCAGCTACTCGGGAGGCTGAGGCAAGAGAATTGCCTGGACCTGGGAGGCAGAGGTTGCAGTGGGCCAAGATCGCGCTACTGCACTCCAGCCTGGGCAACAAAATATGACTCTGTCTCAAAAAAAAAAAAAAAAAATCAGCCATAAAAAGTACTTTTTTTTTTCTCCACAAGAAGTACAATGCAGAATGTGGTGAGTGTTTCCTCAGGTGGAGACGCAACTTGCTAGAAGATTTGTTACAAAAGAGTAGTGGGAAGGAGGGGAGGGCTGGCGCCCCAAGGCTTTCTTTAGAGATGTGGCATTGGGCTGGGCTTGAAGGATGGAGATGCTTTCAGAAGCCCAGGTATGAGGAGAAGGACGTGAGATGAAGGGACAGCATGCCCAGGGAATCACCAAATTCCAATGCACTTTAAGTACAAGTAGAGAAGGGAAAGAGAGAGAGATGACAAAGCAAGGTTGAAGTGATGCCATTGAGGATCCCCATGCCAAGCCCAGAAGCCTAAATCTTTGTAAAGGAGGGCCAGTGAGGAATCTTGAATCAATAAATGCCCAGGCCTCCATGTGTGAGCCATTCTGATCCCCATTCAGTTACCGATTCTATATCTGTAGCCTCTTAAAAATCCACCCATGTCCCTCCATCCCTACAACCTTAGTTCACGCCACTGCCTTGTCTCTCTGGGATACATGCAACAGTCCCGTAACAAATTCTCCAATCTCCAGACTCCCCTCCGCCTCCTCTACTCCTAATGGTTTACCCCCAGCAGCCAGACTTGGTCATTGTCAGAGTGCAAATCCAATCGTGTCAATTTCCTGCCTTGGAACTTTCAAGAGCTTCACGTTACCCTCGGGATCAAGTCAAAATTCCTTGTACATTACACACCTGGCCCTTCCCAGCTCCACTACACTAAACTATCTCTACTTCTGCAATCCCTTCTGCAGGAATGCCCCTCCAGCCATCACCTGCTGATCACGACTCAGCTCTGGGCCGTTCCCCCAGGGGCCTCTCTGATCCCACCTCCTTGTAGGGCTTCTTCAGCCCGCTGTGCTTTCTCACTGTCTGTCCTAGCACCTGTCGCAGTGTTGAAATGGCCAGTTCCTTCATTTTTTCTCTGCTCTCAGTTTTTTATTTTTTACTTATTTATTTATTTATTTTTTGAGACAGAGTCTCACTCTGTCACCCAGGCTGGAGCGTGATCTTGGCTCACTGCAACCTCCACCTCCCAGGTTCAAGCAATTCTCTTGACAGCCTCCTGAATAGCTGGGATTACAGGCATGCGCCACCACACCCAGCCCTGGCTTTATCTTAGCATCTATATTTTCACAATGCAGGTACTAGGGGCTCAAAAAAAAAAAAAAAAAAAAAAGAGGTCCTCAAAAGGATGGATGAAACACCGACTTTCTCAGCTAACCTCTCCTGGCTCACATCAGTCCCACACCCACTGGACATATTTGCTTCTTTCTTTCTTCTCTTCTTCCCATTTTTTTTTTTTCTCCCTGAGACAGGGTCTCACTCTGTTGCCCAGGCTGGAGTGCAGTGGCACCATCATGACCCACTGCAGCCTTGGCCTCCTGGGTTCAAGCAATCCTCCCATTTCAGCCCCCCAGAATTACAGGTGTCCACCACCATGCCCAGTTAATTTTTTTATTTTTTAAAGAGACAGGGTTTCACTATGTTGCCCGGCCTGGCCTTGAACTCCTAAACTCAAGGGATTCTCCTGCCTCAGCCTCCAAAATTCCTGAGATTACAGGTGTGAGCCACCTCACCTGGCCCCATTGTCTTTCTGTCCCTAGTTCTGCCCCAAGAGGTGACTGTGGTATAGCAGAAAGAGTCCATACAAAATCATTTACAAACAAAGCCTGAAGTGAAACAGCAAATGGTTAACAGTGGTGGCTTTGCGGGGCAGGACAAAAGACAATACTTTATTCTTTCCACCTTTTTTTTTTTTTTTTTTTAGTATTTATTGATCATTCTTGGGTGTTTCTCGCAGAGGGGGATTTGGCAGGGTCATAGGACAATAGTGGAGGGAAGGTCAGCAGATAAACAAGTGAACAAGGGTCTCTGGTTTTCCTAGGCAGAGGACCCTGTGGCCTTCCGCAGTGTTTGTGTCCCTGGGTACTTGAGATTAGGGAGTGGTGATGACCCTTAATGAGTATGCTGCCTTCAAGCATTTGTTTAACAAAGCACATCTTGCACCTCCCTTAATCCATTTAACCCTGAGTGGACACAGCACATGTTTCAGAGAGCATGGGGTTGGGGGTAAGGTTATAGATTAACACCATCCCAAGGCAGAAGAATTTTTCTTAGTACAGAACAAAATGGAGTCTCCCATGTCTTCTACTTTCTACACAGACACAGCAACAATCTGATTTCTGTATCTTTTCCCCACATTTCCCCCTTTTCTATTTGACAAAACCGCCATCGTCATCATGGCCCATTCTCAATGAGCTGTTGGGTACACCTCCCAGACGGGGCGGCTGCTGGGCAGAGACGATCCTCACTTCCCAGATGGGGCAGCTGCTGGGCGGAGGGGCTCCTCACTTCCCAGACAGGGTGGCTGCCGGGCGGAGGGGCTCCTCACTTCTCAGACCGGGCGGCCGGGCAGAGATGCTCCTCACCTCCCAGACGGGGTCGCGGCCGGGCAGAGGCGCTCCTCACATCCCAGACGGGGCGGCGGGGCAGAGGCGCTCCCCACATCTCAGACGATGGGCGGCCAGGCCGAGATGCTCCTCACTTCCTAGATGGGATGGCGGCCGGGAAGAGGCGCTCCTCACTTCCCAGACTGGGCAGCTGGGCAGAGGGGCTCCTCACATCCCAGACGATGGGCGGCCAGGCAGAGACGCTCCTCACTTCCCAGAGGGGGTGGCGGCCAGGCAGAGGCTGCAATCTCGGCACTTTGGGAGGCCAAGGCAGGCGGCTGGGAGGTGGAGGTTGTAGCGAGCCGAGATCACGCCACTGCACTCCAGCCTGGGCAACATTGAGCACTAAGTGAACGAGACGCCGTCTGCAATCCCAGCATCTCGGGAGGCCAAGGCTGGCAGATCACTCACGGTTAGGAGCTGGAGACCAGCCCGGCCAACACAGCAAAACCCCGTCTCCACCAAAAATATACGAAAACCAGTCAGGCGTGGCGGTGTGCGCCTGCAATCCCAGGCACTCGGCAGGCTGAGGCAGGAGAATCAGGCAGGGAGGTTGCAGTGAGCTGAGATGGCGGCAGTACAGTCCAGCTTCGGCTCAGCATCAGAGGGAGACCGTGGAGAGAGAGGGAGTGGGGAGATGGAGAGGGAGAGGAGGGAGAGGGAGAGGGAGAGGTCTTTCCACCTTTTTTTGTATTTATCAAATTCACTATATTTTCTAATGGGAAAATACTTTTTTTTGTAAGAAAGAGCAGTCCGGGTACAGTGGTTCATGCTTATAATCCTAAAATCCAACATTTTGAGAGGCCAAGAGCCCAGGAGTTTGAGACCACCCTGGGCAACATAGCAAGACCTTGTCTCTAAAGAAAATTAGCTTGGCATGGTGGCACATGCCTGTAATCCTAGCTACTCTACTCAGGAGGCTGAGGTGGGAGGATCACTTGAGCCTAGGAATTCGAGGTTACAGTGGGCTACAATTGTGCTGTAGCAGGACGGGCCACAGACAAAACTCCTCAGACACTGGATTGAAGAAGGAAGAGGTTTTTATTTGGCTGGGAGCGTTGGCAGACTCGCATCTTAAGAGCCGAGCTCCCCGAAGACAGAGTTCCTGGCCCTTTTAAGGGCTTACAACTCTAAGGGGTTCCACATGAAAGGGTCGTGATGGATTGAGAGCACATGTGGTTAGAGGAGAGGGGGGTGGTTAACCTTTTAACCTCAGGCCAGGTCATCAGTGGCACTGGCTGGTCTTGCCACTGACTTCCTTCCTGTTGTTTTTCAACTTTTACTTCCTCCTGTTCTTCAGAGACAGGAGACAGTAAGAGAAATGGCTTCCCTCCTCATTCTCCCCTTTGAGAACCTCACTCACTAGTGGGAGTTCTCACTTCCACCTACATTACCTAGGTCTTCCTGCCAGTCCAATTCCATTGACTCCTAGAGTTACATACTCTCTTGTTTTCCAATGGGGATTAAGTAGTTCTACTGGGTTGTAGCACACTTGAGTCTGGTCACTTCCTGAGCTGCATACCTTGTACTGGGTGGCATTATACACACAAGTCCCTTTTAAACAGAAAGACTGTTTTAACTTTTTGCCCTACCTCAGTCTGAGGAAGGTCAGTTGAAGTCCTTACTGTACAAGTCCAAAATTTAAGAAAAATGAGTTCCACGATGAGCTTCCTCATGCTTCGGCCGTGCATGGACTAGTCAGCTTCTGGGTGTGACTGGAGCAGGGCTTGTCATCATCTTCAAGGTCACTCTGCAAGGGTTGTCCGGGCTTGGTCTTGCCTCCCAGGTTTCAGGCGCTGCAGGTTTTACATGGCTGTGGTGGATCCAGGCTGGGATTCCTTCTACCTTCACAGCGGTGAGAGTGGTCAGGATGACAATCTGGGGTCCTATCCACCATGGGCACAAAGAAGCTACATTCCAGTCTTTAATCCATACTTGATCACCTGGGGAGAAAGGGTAAACTGGGGAGAATAAGCTAACAGGGCATCTCTCATTTACCCAGGCTGAGATTGTTTGTGCAATTTTTCCTAGAGCCTGTAGCTGTCACTGTAACTCAATTTCACCTAACTCTCGGGGAGTGCCTGGAAGTCCCCGCAATATGGGAGGGGGCCTAATATTTTATAAGGGGAATATCCTGTTCTTTTAGAAGGGGTACATCTAATTTTAAATAATACCATAGGGAGAGCCTATATCCATTTTAATCCTGTATCCTGACATACTTTCCCTAAACTATTTTTGATAGTCCGATTCATCCACTCCACCTTTCCGGAATTCTGAGGCTGGTAGGCGGCATGCAGTTTCCATGTGATCCCCAATACCTTTGCTGTCTTCTGTATCAAGTCAGCCACAAATGCCGGCCCGTTATCTGAGCCGATCCGTAAGGGCAGTCCAAATCTAGGAATAAGATCTCGAAGAAGCACACGGGTTACTTCACGAGCTTTCTCAGTTCATGTTGGATAAGCCTCCACCCACCCAGAGTAGGCACACATGAGAACTAGTAAATACTTGTTACCTCCACACTTTGGCATCTCTGTGGAATCTACCTGGAGATCTTCAAAGGGGGCTGCTCCATAAGCCTGTATGCCGGGTGGAATGGCTGGACCTTGCCTCGCATTATGCTGTCAGCAGGTAACACACTGCTGCGTCACTATTTTGGCAGGGGCTGACAAATGTGAGATGTAGAAATACCAGCCTAACAACTTTTCAAGTGACTCCTGGCCTAGATGGGTGGTTTTATGCACAGCCAGTACAACTGCAGCTCCTAACAGCTGTGGCACAGCTACTCTCCCATCTGGTAACCAAATCCATCCTTCCTGCATCACTTGTCCTCCATCTTCCTGGAGAAAGTCCTTTTCTTTAGAATAAGTAGGTGCAAGATCAGGTGCTTGAGGGAGCAGAGGGGCTGTGACTGATGCCCGGAAGGGGGCAGTTGCTGCTTTTCGAGCCTCTGGGTCAGCGAGGGAATTCCCCAAACCCACCAAGGTGGAAGCTCGCTGGTGTCCTCTGCAATGCATAACTGACACCTTGTGGGGTTTCCATACTGCTTCTAATAATTGCAAGATTTCTTGTTGATATTTTATGTCTTTTCCCCCAGAGTTCAATAGGCCCTTTTCTTTATATCATGTTCCATGCACTTGAAGGGTTAAAAAGGCATACGGAGAATCAGTGTAAACGTTTACAGTCTTACCTTCACTGAGTTCTAAGGCCCGAATTAAAGCAATGAGTTCAGCTTTCTGGGCTGAAGTGCCCTAGGGCAATGATCTGGCTTCAACAACAGTGTCCAGGGTTACCACCGCACACCCTGCACCTCTCTCTCCTTGTGGGTTGATGAAGCTGCTCCCGTCCACGTGTAGTTCCCAGTCTACTGATGCCCAAGGCTGGTCCCGGAGGTCAGGTCTGCTAGAGTAAACTGAGTCTAACACTTCTACACAATCATGCTCGACAGTGCTCTCTGATACCGGGAGCAAGGTGGTGGGGTTCAGGATGTTACAAACTTCAGCGGTTATATGGGGATTTTCACAGAGCAAACTTTGGAACTTGGTGAGTCTAGCATTCATTAGCCAATGATGTCCTTTAGTATTCATTAAAGTCACAGCATGGGGGGCCTTTATGTTCAGGTTTTGCCCAAGAGTCAGCTTATTTGCTTCTTCACTAGCAGGGCAGTTGCTGCCAAGGCCCTCAAACATGGGCCATCCTTTAGACCCCACAGTTTGGGTTAAAACTCCAACTGCCATCTTTTCTCTCTCTCTGACACATACAATGTAAAAGGCTTTGTCAGATTGGGTAGCCCCAGGGCTGGGGCTGACGTAAGTTTTTCCTTTAACTCATGAAAGGCTTGCTGTTGTTGGGATCCTCATTCAAAAATTTCCCGGTCCTCCCTCTTTGTGACCTCAAAGGCTTGGCTAATACTGCAAAGTTTGGGATCCACAGTCTACAAAACCCCACAGCTCCTAAGAATTCTGTCAACTGCCTTCTGCTCTTAGGCTCCAGTAGATTGCAAATAACCTGCTTTCTTTCTGACCCCAGGCTGCGCTCCCCCTGTCGGATAGTAAATCCCAAGTAACGTACCTGCTGTCGGGAGATCTGAGCTTTTTTCTTGGACACCTTATACCCACAGTCCTCCAGGTGCCGGAGTAGGGCATCCATTCCCTTGGCGCACCCAACTGCTGTGGGGTGTCCCAGCAAAAGGTCATCAACGTACTGGAGCAATACACAGCCTAGGTGTCTGGTGGGAAATTCCTGGAGGTCTCGAGCCAATGCCTCCCCAAAGATGGTGGGGGAGTCCTTGAACCCTTGGGGAAGCCGGGTCTAAGTGTATTGAGTAGTGATAACTGACTCCAGATCTTCCCACTGAAAGGCAAACAGCTTCTGGCTCTCACGGGCTAATCTGATACTAAAGAAAGCGTCTTTCAGGTCCAAGCAGGTGAACCACCTGTCCTCAGCTGGCAACAACCCCAACAATGTGCACGGGTTAGATACTGTTGGATGTAAAGTCACTGTAGCTTGATTAACCAAGCGCAAATCCTGTACCAGCCTGTAGTCCTTGGTCCCTGGCTTGGGAACAGGCAGGAGGGGAGTGTTCCATGGAGAATGACAAGGAACTATAATTCCAAAAGTTTTTAGGTGCTTGAGATGGACCTGGATACCTTTAAGAGCTTCTCTGGGGACCGGGTACTGTTTTTGCCTAACCAGCTGGGCCCCAGGCTTAACTTCTACAAGTACGTGGGCTTGGTTGACTGCCAACCCTGGAGGGTTGTCTTCTGCCCATACTCTTGGCCACCGCTTAGCCAGAGCTGGTCTTATCTCTTGGCTTGGCTCAGTTAAGAAAAGTCTCCGTTCCTCCTCTCGGGGAACCGTAAGGGTCATAATGACTCCCGTTCTGGGTAATGTTAGCAGCAAAGAGCCATGCTCTGTAAAAGAGATAGTGGCTCTCAGCTTGCTAAGCAAGTCCCTTCCCAACAAGGGCAAGGGACAGTCAGGCATGTACAAAAACTGATGAATCACTTTATGTCCTCCTACAGCACGAGTCCGGGGCCAGCAGAAAGCTTGCTTTGCTGAAACCCCCATGGCTCTGATTATGTCAATAGTCTTTTTGGATAAGGGGGTGACTGGGGCGGTTACTACTGAATGTTCAGAACCGGCATCTAAAAGAAAATCAATGTCTTTACCCCCGACTATCATTCTAACCATAGGCTCTTTGGGGGCACTTGAGCCCGGTCCCCCTCAGTCCAGTAACCCTTCTGCCAGGTTGAGCAGGGCCCCTTCCTCCTTGTCTGGGGCCTCCTGCTCTGAGTCACCTTGTTTTCTTTTTAGCTGAGGGCATTTGTTCTTCCAATGTCTTTTTTTTTTTTTTTTTTTTTTTTTACAATAAGCACACTGGTTACGCTGCAAACTCTGACAGCCAAGCTGAGTTTCTTTCCCAGGACCCCCCTTCCCTTGCCTCTTTGTGGGGACCCCTCTGATTGCTGCAGCTAACAGGTCAGCATTTCGCCGGGCCTGACATTCATTCTCTTTGCGGTTTTCCTTATGGCTTACTGCATCCCTGTTTACAAACACCTGGTTAGCTATTTCTAATAACTGATGTGTTCATCCCTGCAAACCCAGCCTGTTTCTGCAGTTTTCTTCTAATGTTTTCTGCGCTTTGACTAAGTAAAGCCATGTTAATCATGCACTGATTTTTAAGGCTATCAGGATCAAAGGGAGTATACATACGATAGGCCTCACACAGTCTCTCATAGAATTGTGCTGGACTTTCTTCTTTTCCCTGAATGACCTCAGAGACCTTAGTAACGTTTGTAGCCTTCTGGGCTCCCCTCTTTAATCCTTCCAAGAGAGCTTCCCTGTATCAGTTTAGCCTTTGCTTATCCTTTCTTTCATTTGGGTCCCACTGGGGGTTGGTTCCTGGTAACGGGGTCCTTACATACCCTTGGGGGTTTTGGTAATCAGCTGGTGCATGTTCCTCTAGCCACTTAGTTGCTGCTTGGAGCACTCTCCACCTTTCATCTGTGTTAAAGAGGAACATGAGCAACTGGTGGCAATCAGCCCAGGTGGGGTTGTGGGTCTGGATAATAGTTTGGAGCAAATCAATTAGAGCTTGTGGCTTTTCAGTATAGGATGGGTTTTTCCAGTTGAGAAGGTCGGCAGAGGTGAAGGGCTGGCACACAAAAACACGCCTCTCCACCATGTGACCATCTTCATCTATCCCAGTATACCGCTGCTCTCTCAGGGGCATTTGTATCCCAGTTTTGGGTCATAAAAGAGCTGCTAAGGGAGGGGTTTCTCCCAAGTCTTCACCTCCTCTCTTGTCTACTCTGGGTGGCCTACGGATATGCTTGTTTTGCGGAGGCACAAGCACTGTGGGCTCTACTGTGGGGAGCCTCTTTCCCTGGTAAGGGGAGGACACCACTGGGATCACTGGTGCCATCTCCTGCAATGGATCTTCTGATGATGGGTCGAACAGAACTTCTGGTGTTGATTTCCCTGGGCGGGTGGAGCGGGATCCTTCCTTAGCTATCTGTCCCTTTGCTACTAGCACTGCTGCTGTCTGCCCTCTTAGTCACTGTGGGGGGTCTAGCACCAGCTGTAACCAAGTGTCTATGTATGGGAACTGGTCTAGGTATCCTTTACCAGTTACCTTGTGCCACACCTTAGAAACAAGGGACCTGTCCAGGCTTCCTTCTGATGGCCAACCCACTTCTAATGTTGGCCAATCTATTTCACACGAAGTTCTATGTTTCCCTGGTGTCATAGTAACCCCATAGTCTCCACTAAATCCTTCCTTGGAATTTTTCAACATAGCTCCTTGTGGAGTGGGCTTACTTTTGTCTGACCCATGTTTCCTGAAGACAAAACACCACACTCATACCACACGCACACCACAGAACAAAGAATGGGTAAAAAGGACACACACACACTTTTTCAGTTTACACCAGGCCAGAATCAAAACCAAAATCAGAGTATCCAGAAATCCAAGCCAGGTCAAAACCAAAACCATAGTATCAAGCAATTCAAGTCAAGTCAAAAACAAGAACCAAAGTGCCGGTACAGGCACACCGTGGGTGATCAGGCCATGCTTCCACTCAAATGGAGCGAGCAAGTTCCAAAGACCAGTCTTACCAAGTTTCAGATGTCCGGACTCCAAGTGCCCATTCCTTCCCAGTGTTCAGCCACTGCGTTGATCCTCCGCGGGGGCCTGCCACACACTGCTCTGATGAGGCGTTCCACCGGGGCAATTGCTTACCCGGGAGCCCTCTCAGGATCCACCTCGCTCGAGCTGGTCAGAGTCCCCTGCAGGGATGTTCCACAGGGCAGGCCTAAGGGGCTGCCTCGACCCGTCCCTTAATCACCTCGCTTCCTGGTCAGGGAACCAAGAAATGTAGCAGGACTGGCTGCAGACAAAACTCCTCAGACGCCGGATTGAAGAAGGAAGAGGTTTTTATTCGGCTGGGAGCGTTGGCAGACTCACGTCTTAAGAGCCCAGCTCCCCGAAGACAGAGTTCCTGGCCCTTTTAAGGGCTTACAACTCTAAGGGGGTCCACGTGAAAGAAAGGGTCGTGATGGATTGAGAGCACATGTGGTTAGAGTGGGGGGGCGTTAATCTTTTAACCTCAGGCCAGGTCATCAGTGGCACCGGCTGGTCTTGCCACTGACTTCATTGCTATTGTTTTTCAACTTTTACTTCCTCCTGCTCTTCAGAGACAGGAGACGGTAAGAGAAATGGCTGCACTCCAGCTTGGGCAACACAGTGAGACCCTGTCTCTAAAATAATAATAATAATAATAATAATAATAATAATAATAATAATAAAAGATGGAGCACTAGATCAAGACTGAAAGACCTTGATTTAAGTGAGAATAGCAGAGTAGTGTGTATAGTAAATATCATCTGTCTAAAAAAAGAAAAGCTGAAAAATATGTATTTATAAAATCTCTCTGGGCTAGGCGTGGTGGCTCATGCCTGTAATCCCAGCACTTTGGGAGGCCGAGATGGGCAGATCACCTGAGGTCAGGAGTTCAAGACCAAATTGGCCAACATGGTGAAACCCCGTCACTAATAAAAATACAAAAAATTAGCTGGGCGTGGTGTCGGGCGCCTGTAATCCCAGCTTCTAGGGAGGCTGAGGCCAGAAAATCACTTGAACCTGAAAGGCAGAGGTTGCAGTGAGCTGAGATTGTGCCCACTGCACTCCAGCCTGGGTGACAGAGCAAGACTCTGTCTCAAAAAAAAAAGAAAAGAAAGAAATCTCTGGAAGGTTACTTAAGAAATGAAAAACATCAAGGGCTTCTGCAGAGGAGAGGCAGGAGGCTGGGGCCCAGGGAGACAGGATTTCCACTATATCCCTAAGTATATTTTGGGTTTTGAACCATGTGAATATATTACCTATGCAAAAAATAAATTAAAAAGTATAATATATTTATTATAAATATAAAAAAGTATGAATAAAAAAGGTTTGAGGCTGGGAGTGGTGGCTCACATTTGTAATCCCAGCACTTTGGGAGGCTGAGGAGGGAGGATTGCTTGAGGCCAGGAGTTTGAGTCCAGCCTGGGCAACATAGCAAGACCTCCCCCCTCAACAAAACAAAACAAAACAAAAAAAGTGTTGAGTTTGAATTCTAAGCCACTAGATAACTTTGGAAACATCACTTTCCCCGTCTGTAAAATGGAGAAAACAGTACCTGTTTCAGGCAGTCTTTGCAAGAAGTGAGTGGCTTGTGAGTGTTGGTGACCCTCTGAGGCACCCCACAGAGGTAAGGGCTTGTCCTCTGGCCTCCCGATTCCCCCGGGCCCTCCCTCCTTCTCACCCTGTCTTGCCCTTCAAATGAAGCTGTCAAGGCCAAACTGTGCGCCTGCCAAGATGGCCCCCACTGGAATTCTTCCCTTGGCTCTCTGCCTGTTGGAACACAGCTAATAGCATGAAGGAAAAGCCACACTTCGAGGATCTGGGCATTTCAAAGCAGTCAAGCAGCTCTTTTTGTTTTCTCAGGCTCTCCGCTTGCCAGCTAGTTCCACACATTAGAAATATTTTGGGTCAGCTCTGCAGTTCTCAACCATAGCGCATCCGTCTTGTTTCATGACTACTTCCCTATAATAGCTCTGGGAAAAACTGCACTGGGCCTCGTCCCAAACCACGCTGCTGGCATCCCAAGCTGCATTCAATATGGTGCCTTCGGGTAGTAATTATAAGAGAAGTCGAAAACTCCTGCGACTTCCTCGGGTTTGGTCTGGAGCTGTTTGGGTTGAGTTTCTAGAGAGTTGTCGTCACTATGACCTTCAATGCTTGAGGCAGGAAGAGGAGTTTAATTTACCATGTTTCTGCTGGTTCCAATAACCCTGCTCTTCTCTGCAGCCCGGTGGCTTTTTTTTCCTCCTTGATGTGGATATTTATTGAGTGTCGATGCAAAATGTGATGCTGAAGGAGGTACTTTTTTTTTTTTTTGAGACGGATTGCAGGCATGAGCCACTGCACCCGGCCGAGGTGCTTTCTTTGTTGCCTGGGATATGGCTGCCAGATTTGGCAAATGAAAATGCAGGATACCCAGTTATATCAGAATTTCAGGTAGTGAAGAATTTTTTAGTATAAGGATGTCCTGTGCAATTTTTAGGATATACATTGGAATTATTTATTGTTTTAGTATATAAATATGTCCCATGCAATGTCTGTTTTTTTGTTGGTTTGATTGAGTTTTTTGTTTGTTTGTTTGTTTGTTTGTTTTGCCTTTGTTTTTTGAGACAAGGCCTCACTCTGTTGCCCAGGTTGGACTGCAGTGGTGTAATCTCAACTCACTGCAGCCTCGACCTCCTGGGCTCAAGCAATCCTCCTGCCTCAGCTTGTCACGTAGCCAGAATTACAGGCGCACAACACCATGCCTGGCTAATTTCTAAATGTTTTCAAATATAAGGTCTTTCTATGTTGCCCAGGCTGGTCTCTAACTCCTTGGCTCAAACACTGCCTCAGCCTCCCAAAGTGCTGGGATTACAGATGCGAGTCATCATGCTCGGGCCTCCCATGGAGTATTTGCACATACTTACATTATAAATTATTCACTGTTTATCTGAAATTCAGATTTAACTGGTTGTCCTGTATTTAATTAATTAATTTATTTATTCATTTATTTATTTTCTGTCCCTAATACTTTATTGGTCATTTCCAGGTCTGTGTGCAGCTGGGTGGGTTTTGGGGAGGGTGTCACTATTCACCAGCTCCCAGTTGGAAGCATGAGAAGGCCTTGGCCTAGCTCTCCAGGGTCCCAGGCTGTACAGTTTAGAGAGGAAGATCTGGCCTTTCCTGGGTCAACACAGGGCACTCATGGAGGGGCACAAGCTCATGATCCATCAGCCAGCCTAGTTGTGTTTGGAGAAATATTCCTTGCTGTCATTCACGCTGGGCTTGATCATGTCACTGCCAGGCTTCCAGCCAGCAGGACAAATTTCCGGGTGCTCGTCTGTGTACTGGAAGGCCTGGACCAGCCGCAGGGCCTCATCCACAAAGTGTCCCACAGGCCAATCATTAACAGCGATCTGGGGAAGGACATCCTTGCCATGGATGATAAAGAGGTCCCTGCAGGCCAGGCGTGGTGGCTCACAGATGTAATCCCAGCACTTTGGGAGGCCGAGGCAGGCAGATCACCTGAGGTCAGGAGTTCGAGACCAGCCTGACTGACGTGAAGAAACCCCGTCTCTACTAAAAATACAAAAATTAGCCAGGCGTGGTCGCGCACTCCAGTAATCCCAGGTACTCGGGAAGCTGAGGCAGGAGAATCACTTGAACCGGAGAGGCGAAGGTTGCAGTGAGCCGAGATTGCATCATTGCACTCCAGCCTGGGCCACTCCGTCTCAAAAAAAAAAAAAAAAAGCCCCTGCAGACAATGCCCTCGTCTGTTTTCAACACGCCGTAATTCTCAGACAACTTCAGGTCACGTCAGCAAGCAGAGGGGTGTCCAGGGACTCAAAGCCTCCCTCCTTCCGGGGGATGTTGATCCAAGCCAGGTGGGTGAACTGAGCCCACCGAGGTCCCCAGCACTTTGCAGCTTTCGGAAGCCCTCAGCATGGTCGCTGAATGCGATGATCTCTGTGGGGGCACACGAAAGTGAAGTCCAAGGCTCAGTGGCTCACACCTGTAATCCCAGCACTTTGGGAGGCTGAGGCTGGCAAATCACCTGAGGTCAGGAGTTCAAGACTGACCTGGCCAACATGGTGAAATCCCATCTCTACTAAAAATACAAAATTAGCAGGGCAAGGTGGCATGTGCTTGTAGTCCCAGCTACTTGGGAGGCTGAGGCAAGAGAATCGCTTGAACCCACGAGGCAGAGGTTGCAGTTAGCTGACATCGAGCCACTGCACCCCAGCTTGGACAACAGAGCTAGACTCTGTTTAAAAAAAAAAAAAAAAAAGTGAAGTCCAGAGGATGGAAAAGAGGACCACGTGCTTCCCTCTGTAGTCCAACAGCTTTACCTCCCTGTAGGTGCCATCCACCACGGCAGTGGCCTTGAAGTCAGGGGTGAGCTTTCCAATGTGCATGTTACCGGAGGCCATGACTGAAAGCTCCACGGGCAAAGGCCAGATGCAGGATAACCGGATGCGTGGACCCGTGCTCTCAGTGCCCTGGGCATCCTGTATCTATTTACCCGGCCACTCTGCCTGTGAAAGACATGAGCAGAATTCTCTTCAGTCATGCAGAGGAGATAAGAGGCCCATTCCTCTTGTTCTCTGGCCTGAGCCTGCTTCTTTATTTTCTTATTATTTTTTATTATTTTTATTTTTTAGAGATGATCTCACTCTGCTGCCAAGTCTCAAGTTCAGTGGCATGATCATGGCTCACTGCAGCCTCTAACTCCTGGCTCAAGCGATCCTCCCATCAACCTCTGGAGTAGCTGGGACTACAGGCGCACACTACCATGCCTGGCTAATTATCATTATTTTTTAAATTTCTTCTAGAAACAAGGTCTTGCTCTGTTGCCCAGGCTGCTCTTGAACGCCTGGACTCAAGTGATCCTCCCACCTCAACCTCCCAAAGTACTGAAATTACAAGTGTGAGCCACTGTGCCCAATCTGGCCTGAGCTTGCTTCTTTAGCCCAACTCTCCACCCTTGGGCCACAACATGAGAACTCCCCACAGGGACAAGTCCCCAGTGCGCTTGCTTTGACTGACACTCTCTACTGCGCACGGGGCCTTGCCCTGCCTGGCACCCACTTCCAGAGCCCACCTAACCTCTGAGTCCTGCGGCTGCCGCTCTGCCTGCACCTGGGATCCGCCCACGCGGCTCGGCTGGGGCTGCCTTGCTCCCTCTTTAGCCACACATCCACACTTGGTTTCCACCTGGGTTTCTTCTGTGTCCACTCTGAGGAATAATTCAGGCTGATTCCTGATTCCATGCAACCTGAGACCCTGCTCGGGTTCTGGATCCTGTGACCCTAGCTCTCAGCAGATCTGTCCTGTCCTGTTTTTTTTTTGTTTGTTTGTTTTGTTTTGTTTTTTTAGACGGAGTTTCGCTCTGTCGCCCAGGCTGGAGTGCAGCGTCGTGATCTCTGCTCACTGCAACCTCTGCCTCCCTGGTTCAAGTGATTCTCCTGCCTTAGCCTCCCAAGTAGCTAGGATTACAGGCACACGCCACCATGCCCAGCCAATTTTTGTAGTTTTAGTGGAGACGGGGGTTTCACCATGTTGGCCAGGCTGGTCTCGAACTCCTGACCTCAAGTGATCCACCTGCCTCGGGCTCCCAAAGTGCTGGGATTACAGGTGTGAGCCACCATGCCCTGTCCTCTTAAAATGGTTCTGCCTGCTGACTTGATGTTAGAATCTAGCTCAGAGAGGATTTTTTTTTTAAAGAAGAAGCAGCCGCTATCAGTCTAGAGGCCCTACTTCCATAAACCCAGACACTCTCCTTGAAATCCTGTTATCAAAAGCCCCAAGCCAATTCTGAAGGCAGGAGTCCATGTGCAGCCGGGCAGAGTCCCAGCCAGCACCCTCTCCATGGGCTTTCTCTTCTCAGGGGAGGCAGCGATTGGGGTGCACTTTCTGCACTTTTATTCTGGCTCAGCAGGTGAGTCCCCAATACAGTCTGGGCCAGAGTCCTTAAAGAGAGCTGTGGCATCTGAGAAAACAGAATTCAAACTCACTTCTGGATGTCTTTGTGATGCCAGATGCCCTGCTGGCTCCTGGGAGCACACACTCACTCAATGACCTAAATGCCCTGGGACCCTCTTGCAAGACGGGCCATGTGAATGGAGCCATCCTGCCAGCTGGTGGCCTCCAAGATGGCACACAAAGCTGCCTCCCTGTGACTTCTTAAAGTCCGACCTTTGGCCAGAGGACATAAAGTATCAAATCTGTGTTTGTTTGCTGGTCTGCCATGACAAAACACCACCAACTGAATGGCTGAAAGCCACAGAAGTCTATTGTCTCCTGGTTCTGGAGCTCAGGAGTCCAAAATCAAGGTGTTGGCAGGGTCGTCCTCCCTCTGAAGCCTGCAGAGGAAAACCCTTCCTTGACTCAGCCTAACTTCTGGTGGTTTGCTGGCCATGTTTGGCATTCCTTGGCTTCTGACAGGTCCCTCCCACCTTCTGTTGTCACATGGCGTTCTCCCCTGTCTTGTGGGCCAGAGGCTGCCCATGAACAAAATATTTTAACACACACTGGTTGGTTTTTAACAGACAAAAATCAGAAAAGTATGCACAAAAATCTGGATTTCCATAGGCCTTTGTAACTGTGACCACAGCTTAGGCTTTGCTGGGGAGCAGGTAACAGTCTTATCACCAGCATGAGTGTACATGGGTTTGTTGTGTCTTTTTCCAAGAATAAGCACAGAAGAAGGGTGGAGGGAATAGCTTCTGTGCATGTGAGGTGGGATGTGAGAGTGGGGACAGAGGGAGAAAGACAAAATGCCCACAGGCAGGCTGGACGCGGTGGCTCATGCCCGTAATCCCAGCACTTTGGGAGGCTGAGGTGGGTGGATCAAAGCCTGGCCAACATGGTAAAACCCTGACTCTACTAAAAATACAAAAATTAGCTGGTCATGGTGGTGCCCGCCTGTCATCCCAGCTACCCGGGAGCCTGAAGCAGGAGAATTGCTTGAACCTGGGAGGTGGAGGTTACAGTGAGCCAAGATCACACCACTGCACTCCAGCCTGGGCAACAGAGCAAGACTCCATCTGAAAAAAAAAAAAAAAAACATTATCCAGAGGCAGGAGCTGGTGGCAAAAAATGCCCTGGGTGGTTTGGGGCAGGATAGCTCTGTGTGAGGAGCTGGAGGCCCAACACTCATCCCCCTATGGCCCTGGCCCCGGGCTGTGTTCCTGAAATTCACATCAACTCTCCTCACCTGCCGAGGTGGGCAGATCATTTGAGGTCAGGAGTTTGAGACCAGCCTGGCCAACATGGCAAAACCCTGTCTCTACTAAAAATACAAAAATTAGCCAGGTGCGGTGGCACGCGCCTATAATCCCAGCTAGTCAGGAGGCTGACCCAGGAGAATCGCTTGAACCCGGGAGGTGGAGGTTGCAGTGAGCTGACATCGCGCCATTGCACTCCAGCCTGTGCAACAGAGCAAGACTCCATCTCAAAAAAAAAAAAAAAAGACAGGATTTTATTATGTATTTATTTACTTTTAGAGACGGGTGTCCCCCTGTCACTCATCCTGGAGTGCTGTGGTACAATCATAGCTCACTGCAGCCTCAAACTCCTGGGCTCAAGTGATCATCCCACCTCTGCCTCCCAAGTAGCTGGCACTATAGGCATGTGCCCCTGCACCCGGCTAATTTTCTTATTTTTTGTAGAAATGGGGGACTGGCTATGTTGCCTAGGCTGGTCTCGAGCGTCAAGACAAGTTTATTTATTTATTTATTTTTAAATTTTTTAAAACAGACATAGGGTCTTTTATGTTGCCCAGGCTGGTCTTGATTTCCTGACCTCAAGCGATCCTCCTGCCTTGGCCTCCCAAAGTGCTGAGATTATAGGCTTGAGCCACCACACTCAGCAAGACATGAATTTATTAAGAAATATCGCCAGGCGCAGTGGCTCATGCCTGTAATCCTAGCACTTTGGGAGGCCGAGGCGGGTGGATTGCCTGAGCTCAGGAGTTCAAGTCCAGCCTAGGCAACTCGGTGAAACCCCATCTCTACTAAAATACAAAAAATTAGCTGGGCGTGGCAGCGTGTGCCTGTAATCTCAGCTACTTGAAAGGCTGAGACAGGAGAATCGCTTGAACCCGAGAGACGGGGGCTGCAGTGAGCCGAGATTGCGCCATTGCACTCCAGCCTGGGTGACAGAGCAAGACTCCATCTCAAAAAACAAAAAAAAAGAAAAAGAAAAAGAAAAAGAAAATAAAAACAGAAATATCTACAGCTGCAGGACTCATGGGGAGACCTGAAGAGGGAGACTCTAGGCTGTGCTTCCACACAGGTTCCTAAGTGCACTCAGAAATAGCCACCAAGGGAATGACAGCCACTACCAAAACCAGGGACCGCTGTGCCAGATGGCCACTGCCCCAGCCGTCAGCGGCAGGCCAGCCTGCACTCCACAACCAACACCTGCAAAACGCAGGCCTCTCACGCTGCCTCCCTCCACTCAGTTCCAAATCAACGAGGGACAAAAGTTCAGGTGATAGGTGAAACCTACCCCCCAAATCCATCCCTTAGTGGTGAGAGATGCTGGGAATGGAAGTGGTTTTAAATGCTCTGTTGGGAAAGTGGCTTTACCTTATGGGGAACTATTCAATAGAATTTTATGCAGTGTGGTGGCTCATGCCTGTAATCCCAGCACTTTGGGAGGCCAAGGAGGGCGGATCGCTTGAGGTCAGGAGTTCGAGACCAGCCTGGCCAACATGGTGAAACCCTGTCTCTACTAAAAATATAAAAATTAGCCAGGCATGGTGGTGCACACCTGTAATCCCCACTACTCAGGAGGCTGAGGCAGGAGAATTGCCTGAATCTGGGAGGTGGAGGTTGCAGTGAGCCGAGATTGCACCACTGCACTCCAGCCTGGGTGACAAGAGCAAAACTCCGTCTCAAAAAAGAAAAAAGTATAAAAAAGAAAAAGGTTTTGTGGGCCGGGCGTGGTGGCTCACGCCTGTAATCGCAGCACTTTGAGAGGCCAAGGCAGGCAGATCACGAGGTCAGGGGTTCGAGACCAGCCTGGCCAATATGGTGAAACCCCATCTCTACTAAAAATACAAAAAGCCGAGCGTGGTGGCGGGTGCCTGTAGTCCCAGCTACTCGGGAGGCTGAGGCAGGAGAATTGCTTGAACCCAGGAGGCAGAGGTTGCAGTGAGCTGAGATGGCACCACTGCACTCCAGCCTGGGTGACAGAGTGAGACTCTGACTCAAAAAAAAAAAAAAAAAAGGTTTTGTGGTTTTTAAATAGAGCCAACTTCTAGCATTATCAAGCAATAGGATGCATTGCCATTTTCATGAGGGGTAGGCGGAACATTCTCGGAAACTTTGGTTTTCCTCTTACTCCTTTATTCTAAGGGCTGCAGAGAAGCCATCTCACTTGCCGCACCTAAGTAGAGGGTAGGCAGGGAGCTATGTCTTTAATTAGGAAAGAAAGGCCCTTGGAAAGCTGGTGCCTTCTTCCCCAGGGCCTTCTTACAAGCTCATACCCCTCACTTCCCCTTTCCCAAGGGCCCTGAAGATCCAGATCTGTATCAACGTTTGAAACTTGATGATCCTAACAGCAGTCCTCTGAAATTGCACTGAGTCTTTGGTCAGAGAGCTGGCTGAGACTCTCCCCAGGGAGAGGTGGCCATGAAGGAAGGCAGAAGTTGCATACACCCAGTGGCATTTTTATAGCAGTTTTGCAGCTAAAAAAAAAATTATATATATATAAATATAGATAGATAGGTAGATACACACACACATATGTATGCATATATATATGTGTATATATATATATATATATTTTTTTTTTTTTTTAACAACCTGCCTAATCTAAAGCTTTGTGTTTGGTGTGAGAAGCTCTGTGATGAACCAGCCCTGGAGAGCAAAGGAACAGAACGGGGGCAGGAAGAAAGGACCGTTTGTCACAGAGAGCTCTAAAGGGCAGCATCAGCCCAGCAGGGGTCTGTGTTACCTTTGAAAACGGACACACTGGAGTGAACTGGCCACAGGCAGCCGGGGCTCCCTTGGGCATGTCTGGCTTCCATGTCAGCTGGATGGCAGATCACGGAACACAAAGTGGAAGCCCAGGAGGAACTGCAAGGATTTTTTTTTTTTTTGAGATGGACTCTCGCTCTGTCACCCAGGCTGGAGTGCAGTCGCGCGATCTCAGCTCACTGCAACCTCTATGTCCCAGGTTCAAGCAATTCTCCTGCCTCACCCTATGGAGTAGCTGGGATTACAGGCACGCGCCACCACACCTGGCTAATTTTTGTCTTTTTAGCAGAGACGGGGTTTCACCATGTTGGCCAGGCTGGTCTTGAATGCCTGACCTCAAGTGATCCGCCTACCTTGACCTCCCAAAGTGCTAGGATTACAGGTGTGAGCCACTGTGCTCAGCCAGGAATGCTTTTAATGGAATCTGCAGGGCAAGGGAGAACTTTCCAGAACAACTTTATATTTAATTAACTTTAGAGGTTCACAGTTTTTTGTTTGTTTGTTTGTTTTAATGGTATAAAGATCACTGATCGGCCGGGTGCAGTAGCTCACGCTTGTAATCCCAGCACTTTGGGAGGCCGAGGTGGGCGGATCACCTGAGGTCAGGAGTTCAAGACCAGCCTGGTCCAACATGGTGAAACCCCGTCTCTACTAAAAATACAAAAATTAGCCAGGTGTGGTGACATGTGCCTGAATCCTAGCTACTGAGGAGGCTGAGGCAAGAGAATTGCTTGAACCTGGGAGGCCGAGGTTGCAGTGAGCCAAGATCATGCTATTGCAGTCGAGCCTGGGAGACAAGAGTAAACTCCATCTCAAAAATAAATAAATAAATAAATAAAAATAAAAAAATAAAGATCACTGATCAATGGGGACACCATACAGTGTCAAGTCCACATTCACTTTCACTGTCCCAGAGTGGAAAGGCATGAGTTCCTTTTCTCCTCGTTGACTTGCTAACTACCCTCACTCTGGCACTCAGCAGAGAGAGCAGCCCCCACCACATCCCAAATGCACACAGGGCCTGACCCCAGTCCAGTTACTCTTTTATTCACAAATTAGACCCTGGGCACATTGGTGACTGATGTACGTTGTGTTTTTTTCTGTTGAAATTCACTTTTGGAAATGGATGGTTAGGGAAAAGAGCTTCCATAGTGAAAACATTGCTGCAAATTATAAAAATCACTTTCTGAAGAAAGAAAGAGATTGGGCTGAGTGTGGCATCTCAGCCTATAATCCCAGCACTTTGGGAGGCTGAGGCAGGAGGATCGCTTGAACCCAGGAGTTTGAGACCAGTCTGGGCAATATAGCGAGACTCCCTCTCTACAAAGATTTTTTTTTTTAAATTAGCTGGGCATGGTGGTGCATGCCTGTAGTCCTAGCTACTCGGGAAGGCTCAGGGGATCCCTTGAGCTCAGGAGGTTGAGGCTGCAGTGAACTATGATTGAGCCACTGCACTACAGCCAGGGTGACCGCAAGACCCTGTCTCCAAAAATAAATAAATAAAAATAAAAGAAAGAAAAAGAAAATGGCTAAGAGGAGAGGCAGGGGAAGATGCCTCTTTTGGAAATGGGGTGTTGCCATACTGTCCAGGCTGGGTTCAAACTCATGATCCTCCTCCTTCAGCCTCTCGAGTAGCTGGGACTACAGGTGCATGCTGCTGTGTCCAGCCACTGTGCCCCTTTTCCCCAGCTGCCTCGGACTCCAGTGCAGAATGAGCACTGTATCCTGGTGTGGTCAGGGACCCAGGTGCCAGGCGGGCAACCGGAGCTCAGAGGCTGTCAGTCACGCCTGGACTCACTGCATGCACAGCCAGAAAGGGCTCCTGAGAGGCATCAGCAGCTGGCCACTTCCACCACCATCCAGGGAGTGAGGCTGGGAAGGCCTGAGCCCTCAGCCCACATGAGGCTGCCTCTGGGAGTGCCTGGCTGGGCCTGCCTTGGGAAATCGGACAGGACTGAGGAGAGGGAGAATCTAGAGACCACTCCTGACCCTTGAAAGTGTGTCCTGAGACTATGCGGTGTAGAATCCTTGAAGAAGTAATATCAAGACAAGAATAAAAAAGAAAGGTGGGATGCAGTGGCTCACGCTTGTAATCCCAGCACTTTGGGAGGCCGAGGCAGGGAGATCATGATGTCAGGAGTTCGAGACCAGCCTGGCCAACACAGTATAACCCCGTCTCTACTAAAAATACAAAAATTAGCTGGGCATGGTGGTGTGTGCCTGGGTCCCAGCTACTCAGGAGGCTGAGGCAGGAGAATCGCTTGAACCCAGGAGACAGAGGTTGCGGTGAGCCGAGATCGTGCCACTGCCCTCCAGTCTGGGCAACAGAGCGAGAGTCAGTCTAAAAAAATGAAAAAAAGAAAAAAAGAAAGAGAGCTAAAAGGAAGCTCATTAACAGGAGACCTGGGTATAAGCAGGCATCTCTCCTTTCCCTGGGTGTAAGTGGGTCTCTCCTCTTCCTCTGGGTTCTGTGCACTTCATCAGGTTGATGACTCACGGTGGCTGGGTTATGGCAGCAGGGTTCATCCTGGCGAGCTGGACAAGCACAGCTTTGAGGGTTAGACAAGATAAAGAAGGACTGCACCCATGGGTACCTCTAGTGGCTAAGAGGGAAAGGAGAAAACAGAAGCTCCTCCTCAAGCTGATGATGGGCTGGGAGCGGTGGCTCACCTCTGTAACCCTAGCACCTTAGGAGGCCAAGGCAGCAGGATTGCTTGAGGCCATGAGTTCAGGACCTGCCTGGGCAATATAGTAAGACCCCAACTCTATAAAAATAAATTGAATTATTTATTTATTTATTTTGAGACATAGTCTTGCTCTGTTACCCAGGCTGGAGTGCAGTGGCATGATCTCGGCTCACTGCAACCTCTGCCTCCCAGGTTCAGGTGATTTCATGCCTCAGCCTCCAGAGTAGCTGGGATTACAGGCGTGCGCCACCACACCGAGCTAATTGTTGATATTTTTAGTAGAGACAGGGTTTCACCATGTTGGCCTGGCTGGTCTTGAACTCCTGGCCTCAAGTGATCCACCCGCCTCGGCCTCCCAAAGCGCTGGAATTACAGGTGTGAGCCACCCTACCTGGCCTGAACTAAATTTTTTGTTTTTGCTTTTATTTTTTAAGACAGAGTCTCGCTCTGTTGCCCAGGCTGGAGTGCAGTGGTGTGATCTCAGCTCACTGCAACCTCCGCCTCCCGGATTCAAGTGATTCTCGTGCCTCAGCCTCCGAGTAGCTGGGACTACAGGCACGCACCACCACGCCTGGCAGATTTTTGTATTTTTAGTAGAGACGGGGTTTCACTATGTTGGGCAGGCTGGTTTTGAACTCCTGACCTCAGGTGATCCGTCCACCTCGGCCTCCCAAAGTGCTGGGATTACAGACATGAGCCACTGTACCTGGCCTAAACTAAATTTTTAAAAAACCTGATGACTAATTGGAAAAAACAATGTTCCCAGAGACCCTGACCAGAGAAGAGAATTATGTTTATCAAATCTTGAGTCCTCTTCTCTTTTTCCTTACCCCACCTTTCCTTGCCCAGGCTAGTTTATAGACATAGAGTGCTGAAAAAAAATTCGAACTAGATTTTCAAGTCCCCCTGCGTACCCAGCCCTATTTATGCTAATTTTGAAGTGGTTAAATCAATGATTCCCAGCCTTGATTTTAGGACACCCCCAGGCGTCTTGAATTATTCCAAGAGCTATTGTGAAATTCCAAAAATAAAATCGTTTTAATTTCCTGCATTTTAAAATAAGTACACACCTTGTGCTCTCTAAAATCACATGCTTTTGGAGGAGAAAGATTGTGAAATCCTGCGGAAAAACTCATTTGGATGCCAGCAGTTTGGCCACAGCAATCAAAATACCACTTTATATTTGGGTAATGCTCTGTGGCTTTGAGAGCACTTTCTGATAAGTAGGTTAGTGAGGACATGTGTGAATCAACACAAAAGATACTTCTTCTAGCCTGGATGTTGCACTAGAGGTAGGAAACAACCACACAGCCTTCCTTTGGAGCAAATACTGGCTCCTCTGGGACACTTCAATTTGTCACCGACTGGTGGAGGGGGAGTCTGGAAGGAGGCTGGTGACACAGGCTTGGGCTGCAGTGGCCCAGTATGGGTGAGGCCAACTGGGTGATGGGGGCATCCGGTCACTGTCAAAGCAAAGGAAGAGGAGGCAGCTCCAGGCTGGCTATCTCCCGAGCCCCAGTGAGTCTCCAAGTCAAAGCCTGAGGCAGCACCACAGGATGGCCGGGTCCCCAACTCCAGAACTTTCCCTGGCTGCCAGATGGGCAGCATTCTTTGCTTTATAGTGAGAAAGTGAGGCCATCAAACCTTATATAATTGATGTCACTGTTGAGGGCCCTGTGACTACCATGGCTGTTGTCTCCAATGTGTCTTCCCTGTACAGTGTCCCCGGGGTCCTGGGGAGGCCCAGGGGTGAGGACTTTCTCTGGAGCCTGAGGAAATGGACGTGGGACCTGAGTCAGGGTGTGGGAGAGAACCTGTGAGCTTGCTGAGCTTCCAGTGGAACCAGGCGAGCAAAGAGCAAAATGCCAAGGTATGGAGCATGCCATACTCTAGGTGGCAACTTTTCTTAAAAGCCACTTTAGGCCAGAGCGGCAGTGGACACCTGGAGCCCCAGCACTTTAGGAGGCTGAGGCGGGTGGATCACTTGAGCCCCGAAGTTCGAGACCAGCCTGGCCAACATGGTGACACCCCGTCTCTACTAAAAATACAAAAATTAGCTGGGCGTGGTGGCGAGCTCCTGTAATCCCAGCTACTTGGGAGGCTGAGGCACAAGAATCACTTGAACCTGGGAGGTGGAGGTTGCAGTGAGCCGAGATCATGCTACTGCACTCCAGCCTGGGCAACAGCGTTGAGACCCTGTCTCAAAACAAAAAAAAAAAAAAAAAGGAAAAAAAATCCTTATCTACAAGCCATCAGAAAGGTGGGGACTCCCTTTCCTCCTCACTTGGCTCCCTACAAATAAACACTTTGCTTTCTCCCACTATCCAGGTCAATATAAATATCTGGTCTTACCACACCAGGGAGCCAACCCCAGTTCAGTTCTACAACACTACAGCGACTTCTGCCATTTTTGCAGATTAGAGCATGAGCCTCAGGCTGTCAGCGGAGAAGGCAGGAACCTGTTTCTCCGGCTCTGGCTTGGCTCCGTTCTGGGGCTGCTTCCTCCTGCCAGCAGCCCAGGTGAGCAGCCTGAGTTCGGGAGTGGTTTCTTGGCAGTGAACCAGGCACTTGGGGACTGAAGAGAGCAATTTACCTTTTCTAGGTTCTTCCACCTCAAGGGCCTCCCAGCAGCCTAAATAAGTTGCTACTAAAAAGTTCCTATAGCACTTTACAGTTTACAAGATGTTTGAGCAAATATCAATTCAGTCCTCCAAACGACATTATGAGGCAATAATCTGATGTTAATGTACCTACTGTGGGTTGGCAGATGCTTCCTTACCTTAGTGATCAGGTTTGCTATTTTGCAGACAAGGAACTGGGAGGTCCAGCAAGTAACAGAGCTGGTGAGCAGCAAGGATGGGACTGAAGTTCAGCTCTGCTTTATTCCGAAGCTCATGCTCCCCACCAACCCAGTGTGCCGCCTCTCTGTATAATTCTCGGAACTCGGTTAGTTCAGACATGCAAGGGTCTGCTCCCATGGGAGGTGGGGTACCTGCATCCATAATAGGTTGATAATTATTTTACTTATTTTATCTTTATTTTTTTGAGACAGAATCTCAGATTGTCACTCACGCTAGAGTGCAGTGGCGCTCACTGCAACCTCCACCTCCCAGGTTTAAGCGATTCTCCTGCCTCAGCCTCCTGAGTAACTGGAATTACAGGCACCCACCACCATGCCTGGCTAATATTTTATATTTTTAGTAGAGACAGGGGTTTTACCATGTTGGCCAGGCTGGTCTTGAACTCCTGATCTCAGGTGATTCGCCTGCCTCAGCCTCCCAAAGTGGTGGAATTACAAGCATGAGCCACTGCGCCCTGTCTGATAATTATTTTAAACCAATACCATGGAAATTGAATATCTAAGAGCAAACTTGGTTTTAAAAAAAATAAACATAGTCCAGATGCGGTGGCTCACACTTGTAATCCCAGCACTTTGGTAGGCCGAGGTGGACAAATGACCTGAGGTCAGGAGCTCAAGACCAGCCTGGCCAACGTGGTGAGACCCCCATCTCTACTAAAAAAAAAACAAAAAATTAGCCCGGTGTGGTGGCGCATGCCTGTAATCCCAGCCGCTCAGGAAGCTGAGGCAGGAGAATCTCTTGAACCTGGGAGGCGGAGTTTGCAGGGAGCCGAGATTGTGCCACTGCACTCCAGCCTTAGCTGGAACAAGAACGAAACTCTGTCTCAAAAAAAAGATAGATAAACATAAGACAAAAACCGAGAGAAAATACTTCTAGATACTTCTAGTGGAAATAAAATTTGGAGAGGTTCAGGAAGGCCTCTACTTAACTGAGAATGCTCTTCCCTCCTCTTGCCTCCGGGATCACCCTGCTCAGCACTGCGCGCACCTAGTCTATTTCCATGTGCAGGGCTAAATCAGGCATTGTCCTTGTGCTTTTGATGTCGTGGTGGACAGGATGGCTCAGGGGTCTCAGGACTGAGCAAATGGCTAAGGGTGGAGGAAGTACTCAAATGACTGATAAGACCAGCTAGAAAAAGTTAGCAAGGGATATAATTAATGAGGTTTTGGGTATTTGTCCCCAGAAATCTAGTCCAAAGGGCATACTTAGCGTTTAATGAGTGAATTAAAGTTGAAACATAAAACTGCGTATTAGGCTGGGCACATTGGCTCAACAAATCTGTAATTCCAGCACTTTGGGAGGCCAAGGCAGGAGGATTGCTTGAGCCCAGGAATTTGAGGCCAGTCTGGGCAAGAGCAAGACCCTGTCCTATTAAAAGAAAAAAAAAATTTAAGTAGCTGGATGTGGTGGTGTGTGCCTGTAGTCCCATCTACTGGGGAGGCTGAAGTAGGAGAATCACTTGAGCCCCGGAGATCAAGGCTGCAGTGAGCTAGGATCACACCACTGCATTCTAGCCTGGGCGTTGGAGCAAGACCCTGCCTCAAAAAAATAAAAATCAATTAAAAATCAACAAAAATTAAAAGTAAAAACGCATATTATACCAATAATTAATGTGACTCATGCATGAAATTCACACATAATGTGTATAATGGTAATGTTACCGGAAAGGGGTCCCAATCCAGACCCCAAGCGAGGGTTCCTGGATCCAGCACAAGAAAGAACTCAGGGCAAGTCCATAGAGTAAAGTGAAAGCAAGTGTATTAAGAACGTAAAGGAATAAAAGAATGGCTACTCCATAGGCAGAGCAGCACCAAGGGCTGCTGGTTGCCGTTTTTTTTTTTTTTTTTTTTGAGATGGAGTCTCGCTCTTTTGCCCAGGCTGGAGTGCAGTGGCACAATCTCAGCTCACTGCAACCTCCCAAGTTCAAGTGATTCTCCTGTCTCAGTCTCCCAAGTAGCTGGGATTACAGGCGCCCACCACCACACCTGGCTAAATTTTGTATTTTTAGTAGAGATGGGGTTTCACCATGTTGGCCAGGCTGGTCTTGAACTCCTGACCTCAAGTGATCTGCCCGCCTCAGCCTCCCAAAGTGCTGTGATTACAGCACAGTAAGCCACCACGCCCAGCTGGTTGATCTGCCCGCCTTGGCCTCCCAGAGTGCTGGGATTACAGCGTGGTAAGCCACCGATCCCAGCTGGTTGCCTATTTTTATAGTCATTTCTTGATCATATGCTAAACAAGTGGTGGATTATTCATGAGTTTTCCAGGAAAGGGGTGGGCAATTCCCGGAACTGAGGGTTCCTCCCCTTTTTAGACCATATAAGGTAACTTCCTGACATTGCCATGGCATTTGTAAACTGTCGTGGCACTGGTGGGAGTGTCTTTTTAGCATGCCAATGCATTATAATTAGCATATACTGAGCAGTGAGGACAACCAGAGGTCACTTTCGTTGCCCTCTTGGTTTTGGTGGGTTTTGGCCGGCTTCTTTACCACAGCCTGTTTTATAGCAAGGTCTTTGTGACCCGTATCTTGTGCTGACCTATCTCATGTTGTGACTTAGAATGCCTACCCTCCTGAGAATGCAGTTCCTAAAATAGGTCTCAGCCTTATTTTACCCAGCCCCTGCTCAAGATGGAGTTGCTCTGGTTCAAACGCCTCTGACAGTAATAAATACAATTTTCCGATCCATAGGTGAAAATCATTTGGCAAATTAATAATAATGATAATCAGCTGGGGAAGGGGCAGAAGCAAATAAATTAATTAATTAAATAATGATTCAGCTGTAGATAACCAACACATAAATCCACACAGACTCTTAGAATTTGGCATAGTTTATTTGTATTTGTGAAAATCATAGCTAAAGCTGTATAAGTACATAAAGGTTCACTTTATCATTTGAAGAATTGTCCTATTATGTTTTTGGTTTTTTTTGAGACAGCGTCTCGCTCTGTCACCCAGGCTGGAGTGCAGTGGCATGATCTCGGCTCACTGCAACCTCCGCCTCCCTGGTTCAAGTGATTCTCCTGCCTAAGCCTCCTGAGTAGCTGGGATTACAGATGTCTGTCACCATGCCTGGCTAATTTTTTGTATTTTCAGTAGAGACAGGGGTTTCACCATGTTGGCCAGGCTGGTCTCGAACTCCTGACTTCGGGTGATCCTCCAGGCTCAGCCTCCCAAAGTGCTGGAATTACAGGTGTGAGCCACAGCACCGGCCTTATTATGTTATATTTTACTCTCAAAAAATAAGACTATAGTCTTTTGAATAAAAAAACACTTCAGAAAAGTATTTCTTTCCTCTTTGAATAGATCATATCTGACTGTGTGCTTTTAATGTATTTCAGTATTATTGCCATGTGAAGTTAGATCTGAATAAAAAAGAACTGTCATTCCCCAAGATATAATATACAAGATAGAAAATTACTGTCTTTCTGCCTTTATACTGACAGACAATTACTAAATGAAAGGTCTGGGATTTAGATTTTACTTCATTTTCTGCAGTTGTCATGAAAAGCAAACGTCTATTTTCATTTTGGAAATAGGATACATTTAAAAAATCAGATTAAAAGATGCATATGGTTGAAACCGTGTGTAGCTTCAAACACTGGAGAATATTCTTAATGTAATGTTTTATTCTTCCTCATTATTAGCTTCCATTATCAGATATGAATGAAAGGAAAGGAAAATTTCTGAAAATTACTTTTTCAGAAATGATGTTGCCAGGCGCAGTGGTTCATGCCTGTAATCCCAGCATTTTGAGAGGCTGAGGCAGGCAGATCACTTAAGACCAAGAGTTTGAGACCAGCCCGGGCACTATAACAAGACCTTGCCTCTACTAAAAAATAAAAGAATTAGCTGGGCATGGTGGTGTGTGCCTGTAGTTCCGGCTACTTGGGAGGCTGAGGTGGGAGGATCGTTTGAGCCCAGGAGGTGGAGGCTACAGTGAGCCATTATTACACAACTGCACTCCAGCCTGGGCAACAGAGCAAGACCCTGTCTCCAACAAACAAGCAAACAAACAAACATAGTCAATGCTACATGAAAAAATTCGGACACTCTTGGTCATCTAAATTAATGGCAATTCCATTTTTCCACTTGCTCAGGTAAAAAACTTTGGAATCATTCTTTTTTTTTTTTGAGGCAGAGTCTCATTCTGTTGCCCAGGCTGGAGTGCAATGGTGTGATCTCATCTCACTGCAACCTCTGCCTCCCGGGTTCAAGCTGTTCTCATATCTCAGCCTCCTGAGTAGCTGGGATTACAGGCGCCTGCCACCACGCCCGGCTATTCTCATGTCTCAGCCTCCTGAGTAGCTGGGATTACAGGCACCTGCCACCGTGCTCTGCTAATATTTGTATTTTTAGCAGAGATGGGGTTTCTCCATGTTGGTCAGGTTGGTCTCAAACACGTCGGCCTCCCAAAGTGCTGGGATTACAGGCGTGAGCCACCACGCCCGGCCTTGGAATCATTTTTTTTTTTTTGAGATGGTTGTCACCCAGGCTGGAGTGCAGTGGCACAATCTCTGCTCACTGCAAGCTCCGCCTTCTGGGTTCACGCCATTCTCCTGCCTCAGCCTCCCAAGTAGCTGGGACTACAGGCACCCGCCACTACACCCGGCTAATTTTTTTTGTATTTTTAGTAGAGATGGGGTTTCACTGTGTTAGCCAGGATGGTCACGATCTCCTGACCTTGTGATCCACCCGCCTAGGCCTCCCAAAGTGCTGGCATTACAGGCGTGAGCCACTGAGCCCGGCTGGAATCATTCTTAACTCCTTCCTTTATTGTGAGATAAAGACATCCTACATCCAAATCCACCAGGAAGTGCTTTTGGCTCAACCTTTGGAGTAGATCCAGAATCTAACACCATTCACTGCTTCTATTGCCATCCTGGAGGCAACAGAAGGGCCTGGGGAAGGCCACCTTGTCCCCAGAGATCTTCCTTCCCTTCGCATGGTCCACCATGAGATTACTTGGGGAGGAGGAAGGAATTATTGAAGTTTATATTAAATCCCAACTGGTAGAGTAACACCTTGATTGCTGACTTTGTTAGCTGAAACCTACATGATGGGAAATAGTATGAAAATACATTAAAGAATGAATTGAAGTTGGTAACATATATAAAATGGATACACCATATTACTGTGATAGCTTTGACGATGCATCTGGCATTCCCGTACACTATGTCTGTACAATTGTACTGAACACAGTTTTTCCTTTAGATGCTTTTCAGAGGCCATGTCAGCCTCTGGTCAGGAAAGGCGGGGAGTGTTATGTGCCAAAGTCTGAAAGGGCAGGAGGTGGCTATGGTGCACCCCAAGGCTGACCCCCTCGCCAGCCTTCCCGGGTTCCTGGAGAAGGGCTGACTTCTATCTCAGGCAGCAGTCCTTGATGTTGCCAGCTTGTAGCCGCACCTCTCCCGGCTCTGCCTCCATCTTTCTTTTTTCTTTTTTTTTGAGATGGAGTTTTGCTTGGTCGCCAGGCTGGAGTGCAATGGCACGGTCTTGGCTCACTGCAACCTCTGCCTCCTGGGTTCAAGCAATTCTCCTGCCTCAGACTCCCGAGTAGCTGGGACTACAGGTGTGCCACCATGCCCGGCTAATTTTGTATTTTTAGTAGAGACGGGGTTTCTGCATGTTGGTCAGGCTGGTCTCGAACTCCCGACCTCAGGTGATCCGCCCCCCTCGGCCTCCCAAAGTGCTGGGATTACAGGCTGGAGCCACTGCACCTGGTGCCTCCATCTTTCCATGGCCTTCCCTATTAGTCTCTGTGTGTCTTCTCCTCTTCTTACAAGAACACTAGTCATTGGATTTAGGGTCCATCTGAACTAATTACATCTGCAAAGACCCTATTTCCAAATAAGATCCCATTCTGAGATTCTAGATGGACATGAATTTTGGGGGGATGCTATTAACCAACTTTCATAGTCATAGGTTTTGATGTTTTCATTTTTTCTTTATTCTTCTTACTATTTTTTTGAGATGAAGTCTTGCTCTGTTACCCAGACTGGAGTGCAGTGGCACGATCTCAGCTCACTGCAGCCTCCGCTTCCTGGATTCCAGCGATTCTCCTCCTCAGCCTCCTGGGTAGCTGGGATTACAGGCACACGCCACCACGCCTGGCTAATTTTTGTATTTTTAGTACAGAGGGGGTTTCACCATGTTACCCAGGCTGGTCTCGAAATCCTGACCTCAGGTGATCCGCCTGCCTTGGCCTCCCAAAGTGCTAGGATTACAGGCGTGAGCCACAATGCCCGGCCATGTTTTCATTTTTTCCATGCACTACCTGTGTCTCAGCCTTCACCCAGAAGGAGGAGTCAGAACAGCCCATTCCTAAGAAACTTTCCATTTATTTTGTTAACAAATATATATTGAGCACCTACTATGTGCCTAGCACATAGATAGGAATAAGCTATGGGCAAGGCTGCTGTGGCCCCTGCCTTACACTGTATAGTATGTGAGGGCAGGGACTATGCCCGCCTCGTTCACCAGGGTATCCCCAGTCTCTAGCACAGTGCCTGGCAATTAATGAGTGCTCAATAAATGAATGAGCGAATGGAGGAATGAGAGATACAGACAGATGAACACATCATTATAATACCTAGTGATGTGATGCTGTGATGGGGGAAATGGGCTGGGGGTATATAGGGACAGCCAAATGAGCAGCCATGATCTAGACACTTGGGGGTTAGGGATGCCTTCTTGGAGGGAGTAATTTCTAAGGAGGGACCTTACTGGAGTTAGTTGAAGGGTATGAGGTGGGAATGGATGAAATGTTCCAAGCAGAGGAAACAGTGGCTTAGCGCCTGGAGGTGAAGCTGTGGAGAGTCAGAAGCCTGTAAGAAGCTCAGAATAGCTCCTGAGCCATCTCCAGGGGAGACAAAATGTCTGTGCCATCCAGCTCCTGGGCCCTCCAGAATAGTGCTAATAGAAACTTCTGCAACGATGGAAGTGTTGGCATGTTCTACATCTGATCTATCCAAGATGGTAGACACGAGCTGCATGTGTTTAGTGAGCACTTGAAATAATGTCAGAGGTGTTTAAACCCGAGCAATTCCATCTTGAATAGGGGATGGGTAAAATAAGACTGAGACCTACTGGGCTGCATTCCCAGGAGGTTAGGCATTCTAAATCACAGCATGAGATAGGAGGTCGGCACAAGACACAGGTCATAGACCGGGAGTGGTGGCTCACACATGTAATCCCAGCACTTTGGGAGGCCGAGGCAGGCAGATTACTGGGTCGGGAGTTCGAGACCAGGCTGGCCAACATGGTGAAACCCTACCTCTACTAAAAAACGCAAAAATTAGCTGGGCGTGGTGGCATGCACCTGTAGTCCCAGCTACTTGGGAGGCTGAGGCAGAAGAATCACTTGAACCCAGGAGGCGAGGTTGCAGTGAGCCAAGATCATGCCACTGCACTCCAGCTTGGGCAACAGAGTGAGATTCTGTCTCAAAAAAAAAAAAAAAAAGATACAGGTCATAAAGACCTTACTGATAAAACAGGCTGTGGTAAAGAAGCCGGCCAAAACCCACAACCAAGATGGCAATGAAAGTGACCTCTGGTTGTCCTCACTGCTCAGTATATGCTAATTATAATGCATTAGCATGCTAAAAGACACTCCCACCAGTGCCATGACAGTTTACAAATGCCATGGCAACGTCAGGAAGTTACCCTATATGGTCTAAAAAAGGGGAGGACCCTCAGTTCTGGGAATTGCCCACCCCTTTCCTGAAAAACTCATGAATAATCCACCACTTGTTTAGCATACGATCAAGAAATAACTATAGGAATGCTTAGTCAAGCAGCCCATGCCACTGCTCTGCCTATGGAGTAGCCATTCTTTATTCCTTCACTTTCTTTTTTTTTTTTTTTTGAGACAGAGTTTTGCTCTGTTGCCCAGGCTGGAGTACGGTGGCGTAATCTTCGCTCACTGCAACCTCCGCCTCCCAGGTTCAAGCGATTCTCCTGCCTCAGTCTCCCACTTTGGCCTCCCAAAGTGCTGGGATTATAGCGTGAGCCACCACGCCTGGCCTCCTTTACTCTCTTAATAAACTTGCTTTCACTTTAGTCTATGGATTCACCTCGAATTCTTTCTTGCACAAGATCTAGGAACCCTCTCTTAGGGTCTAAATCAGAACCCCTTTCCATATCAATAAGGCTACTGTAACCAAGGGACTGAACTTGTAATGTTATGATATTTTCAACAATTTTAATTTAAATAGCCACCAGTACTAGTGGCTATTGTAAACCAAAAATAAAATTCTATGCCCGCCCCCACAACCAGCTGAACAGACCTTTCCTCTTGGTCAAGGGTATTCTAAAATTAACTTGAAACACTAATTCAGGCCATGATGGGAATGGGTGGTCGGACATGCCTCCTTCTACCTTTCTCCCTTTGGAATTCAGGTACAACAACCAGCATTAACATTAAAACAGAGAGCTTAAGACTGACCAAACAGACTCTTAGTAGAAATATAATACCAATGTGATAGATAGCAGGCTCTGAAATAAATTGAAGAATTTTACCCTGAAATACATTTCTTCCATGTATTTGGAAGCGGCTCTGCAAAGCTGTCAGTTGGGAAAATCTACATTCTATAGAGATCCTTTTCCCTTTCCAGGTCTTTTTCCTGATCCAGGAGAAATTAACTAAGAGTCTGGCACATTTTTAAGTCTGATAAGAAACATTTCCCATCTATTCTCTCTGAAGCCTCCCACCTGGAGGCTTCATCTGAGTATTAAGAACCTTGGTCTCCACACTGTCTTGTCTTAACCTCAACACTTCCTTCTATAGATTTCAGGTCTTTAGATAAACTCTTTCAACCAATTGCCAATCAGAAAATCTTTGAATCTGCCTATTCTTACCAGAAAAGGATCTGATCCAGATCCTAAGAGAGGGTTCTTGGATCTTGTGCAAGAAAGAACTCAAGACGAATCCATAGAGTAAAGTGAAAGCAAGTGTATTAGAGAAGGAAAGAAACAAGGGCGGGCGCAGAGGCTCACACCTATAATCCCAGCACTTTGGGAGGCCGGGGCGGGCAGATCACTTGAGGTCAGGAGTCAGAGACAAGCCTGCCTAACATAGCAAAACCCCAACTCTACGAAAAACAAAAAGTAGCTGGATATGATGGCTGGTGCCTTTAATCCCAGCTACTTGGGAGGCTCAGGCAGGAGAATCGCTTGAACCGGGGAGGTGGAGGTTGCAGTGAGCGGAGATCGAGCCACTGCACTTCAGTGTGGGGGACAGAGCAAGACTCTGTCTCAAAACAACAACAACAACAACAACAACAACAAAACAATTTCACAGGCAGAGCAGCAGTACAGGCTGCTCAACTGCTTATACTTATTGTTACTTCTTTTTGGGGGAGAGTTTGCGACAGAGTCTTGCTCTGTTGCCCAGGCTGGAGTGCAGTGGCATGATCTTGGCTCACTGCAGCCTTCACCTCCTGGGTTCAAGTGATTCTCCTGCCTCAGCCTCCCGAGTAGCTGAGATTACAGGCGTCCACAACCACGCCCAACTAATTTTCGTATTTTTAGTAGACGCGGAGTTTTGTCATGTTGGCCAAGCTGGTCTTGAACTCCTGACCTCAAGTGATCCTCCTGCCTCAGCCTCTCAAAGTGCTGGGATTACAGGCGTGAGCCACCACACCTGGCCGTTACTTCTTGATTATATACCAAACAAGAGGTGGCTTATTCATGAGTTTTCTGGGAAAGCGGTGGTCATTTCCCGGAACTGAGGACTCCTCCCCTTTTTAGACCATATAGGGTAACTTCCTGATGTTGCCAGGCATTTGTAAATTGTCATGGCGCTGATGGGAGTGTGTTTTAGCATGCTAATGTATTATAATTAGCGTATAATGAGCAGTGAGAAGGAGCGGAGGTCACTTTCATTGCCATCTTGGTTTTGGTGGAGTTTGGCTGACTTCTTTTTTTTTTTTTTAATTTTTATTTTTAATGCAGTGGCGCAATCTCGGCTCACTGCAAGTTCCGCCTCCCAGGTTCACACCATTCTCCTGCCTCAGACTCCTGAGTAGCTGGGACTACAGGCGTCCGCCACCATGCCCGGCTAATTTTCTGTATTTTAGTAGAGATGGGGTTTCACCATGTTAGCCAGGATGGTCTCGATCTCCAGACCCTGTGATCCGCCCCGCCTCAGCCTCCCAAAGTGCTGGGATTACAGGCATGAGCCACCGCACCCGGCCGAGTTTGGCTGACTTCTTAACTGCAACCTGTTTTATCAGCAAAGTCTTTGGGACGTGTGTCTTGTGCTGATCTCCTATTTCATGCTGTGACTTAGAGTATCCTAACCTCCTGGGAATGCAGCCCAGTAGGTCTCAGCCTTATTTTACCCAGCCCGTATTCAAGATGAAATTGCTCTTGTTCAAATGCCTCTGACACTACCCAGGTAAGTGTAATCCAGGTTTCAAAAACCTGGATTCCAGTTGTCCTGCCTTTCCAGATTAAACCAATGTACATCTTACATGTATTGATTGATGTTTTGTGATGTCTCCCTAAAACGTGAAACCAAGCTGTAGCCCGACCAAGTTGGGTGCATATTCTCTTGATCTCCCACAATTGTGTGTTGGGCCATGGTCACTCATATTTGGTTCAGAACAAATCTCTTCAAATATTTTACAGAGTTTGACTCTTTTCATCCATACTATTATATCAGACAATGCAACTCCAGATCCTAATATCCTAACTTAATCAAAAACCAGAATTTTGCCCATTAGTTCAATTACATTTGATACTAAATCCTTTGTCAGATCTACCTACTGTCAGGAAGCCAAATGGATTTGAGATTTGCCTCCTCTCCAGGTTCACGGAGACCTTAGGGCCAAGAGCTGGATGAGAGAGGGAGAATGAAGGCTTAGATAAGAAATGGAATTAACTTAAACATTTTTTCGATTTGAATTTTATATTGCATGTCATCCTTGCTCAGGAGCCATGCTAATCTCTGTATCATTGCAATTTTAATAAATGTGGTGCCGAAGTGAGCATGAAGTTTAACATCTAAAAAAATGTCTGTAGGGCCAGGCGCAGTGGCTCACACCTGTAATCCCAGCATTTTGGGAGGCCGAGGTGGGCAGATCACCTAAGGTCAGGAGTTCGAGACCAGCCTGACCAACATGGAGAAACCCCATCTCTACTAAAAATACGAAATTAGCAGGGTATGGTGGTACATGCCTGTAATCCCAGCTACTTGGGAGGCTGAGGCAGGAGAATAGCTTGAACTAGGGAGGTGGAGTTTGCAGTGAGCCAAGATCGCGCCATTGCACTCCAGCCTGGGCAACAAGAGCGAAACTCCGTCTCAAAAAAACAAAAAACAAAAAACAAACAAACAAACAAACAAAAAAGTCTGTGGTAGACCTGGAGGCACATAATCACTTTTTGGAATACAGTTTGTCACTTTTAATTGAAAATAACTAAATGTCAGTGTGTAACTGAGGATCAGATGTCAAGGTTGGGAGGAGAGCGTCTTCCCTTAAATGCTGTTTGTTGTGACAGAAGCACATGCTATCATTGAAAGCAAACAAAAGAGACAAACAATAACTCTGGGTGTCAATAGTAAACAGTGGCTACTACAGACCTACAGAAATTGGATTTCCTGTTGGCTATGGGATTCCAGTCAAGCAAGGTCCGAAGTCTTTGACATGTACTTGAATGCATTTACAGTAAATGAGATTTAGAAAGCTAATCTTTTCCCAGAGGTAATGCTGCCTAACTATTGTCTGGAGATGCGCAGGGACCATCCCTAGATTCCATTAAGAAGTGGTTTCTTTGGAGGTTGCAGTGAGTCCAGATTGCGCCATTGCACAATACCCTGGGCGACAGAGCAAGGCTCTGTCAAAACAACAAAAAAAGCGACTCCTTAAAATGTACCCACTGCAAAATGAGCCCTGAGTTGTGACTCCTCTGAAATGTTACTGGGGAAGGGAGACTGAATCACAGCTGTGAAAATGTGGTCACAAAGGACAGAGTCAGGGTAAGAGTTTGCCAGGTGACTCCAGTGATGCGCCACGTCAGAGCGGTCACCGGGGCAGGCTGACACACCTCCTCCCACCAGCTAGGCAGGGGTGGGAGCCGGCCCCACAAGGGAGGCTGCTGTCTCACTAGGCTATCGCTTTGATAATAGGTTCCTCTAAGGATATGGGGTTTCCTTTGTTCTGTCTTTATGTTCAATAAGTAACTTTCCCATCTTAATTTGCATTTCCAAGTGAGTTTTCTCACTGGGGAGAGGCTGTGATGACTGGTTGAAACAAGTCGTGTGGTTATACACGGTTATACATGCCTTCCAGGGAGATGAATGCATTTGCACTGGCCACTGTCTACACTCAGTCTTGAGACAGTGTGAATTTGTGGAGCCTGTGTCTGTATGGAACCATCACAGGCTTGGAATGAGACACGTCTGGGCTCCATTCTTAGCCTCCCCACTCACTAATGTGTGATCTTGACCTTGTTGCTTAACACTTCCTCCTGTGTCAAATAGAACTGATAGAGTTTTGCAGAGCTTGGGTGAAAACTGAGAAACTCTAGGCAAAGCACTTGAGATCATGCAATGCAGTAGACACGGGATAAATAGTGCTACTAATAAATGCCACCCAAAGGAAGGCCTCACTCCAAAAATAAATACATAAAATAAAATAAATGGCACAATTGTTCCCCTGAGTGAGCTGAGGGTACAGGCCGCTCCTGGCATTGGAGTGACCCCAGACCTAGGCAGTGACCTCTGAGCCCCTCAAGAACCAGCCCGCCAGCTCCCTGCTGAGTTTATTCAGGTTTGGGGCATCAGATAAAGCTGTGAAGGCAGGAGCCTGGATCTACACCCGGTTCTTCTACGAGCAGGCTCAGTGACTGAGGCAGTGAGATAACCTCCCTGGGCCCCAAGAGTCCCCATCTATGATGTGAAAGGGACTTGGACTAGATTGAATTTCTTTCTTTTTCTTTTTTTTTTTTTTTTTTGAGACAGGACCTGGCTCTGTCACCCTGGCTGGAGTGCAATGGCATGATCACGGTTTCGAACTCCTGGGCTCAAGTGGTCCTTCCACCTCAGTCTCCCAAAGCGCTGGGATTACAGGCATGAGCCAATGTGACCAGCCCCATTTCATGATTTTAGTCAACTTGGCCTCCCGAGAGACAAAGAGAAAAGTATCACAAACCACAAAAGACAAAAGATGGGAGTAGCGGCAGAGGAAAATGTACCAAGTCAAAGACAATAGAATGACTGGTTCCATTTCCTACATGCCCTTTCTCCTCTCCGACTCGTTTTTCTGGATGCTGACTGACGACACCTGTGATTGTTCCCCAGCCTTCAGCGGGGTCAGCTTCAGAGCAGGTGCCCTTGGTGCGGAAGGAAAGGGCCTCTGTGAGGATGGGCAGTGAGTCTGTGCCCAGGGCAGGGCTGCGCCTGGCTGGGAGTGCCTCTGAAGTCAGACAGGAAGCTCCTTTCAAGTCGTCTGCTGAAGAATTTGAAAATGCTTTCCCTGAATGAAAGACAGGTCCCTTAAAAGAAAACATTTTCTGGCATTTAGTGAAAATTTTATAACTGAAGTTTTGTATCAGAAGCAAGATGTAAATGATATAAGATCCTATGGGAAAGACTAAATTCAGTTTCCCTGCTTCACAAAACCCAGGGAAGAGAGTACAATGGTGAGGGCTCAGATGGGTGAGACACTTTGGGAGGCCAAGGTGGGTGGATCACCTGAGGTCAGGAGTTTGAGACCAGCCTGGCCAACATAGTGAAACCCCGTCTCTACTAAAAATACAAAAATTAGCCAGGTGTGCTGGCGGGCGCCTGTAATCCCAGCTGTTCGGGAGGCTGAGGCAGGAGAATCGCTTTAATCTGGGCAGTGGGGGCAGTAAGCCGAGATTATGCCACTGCACTCCAGCCTGGACGACAGAGCAAGATTCTGTCTCAAAAAAAAAAAAGAAAAGGAAAGGAAAAAGGCTGGACGTGGTGACTCACACCTGTAATCTCAGCACTTTGGGAGGCCGAGGTGGGCAGATCACCTGAGGTCAGGAGTTCAAGACCAGCCTAGCCAACATGGTAAAACCCTGTCTCTACTAAAAATACAAAAAATTAGCCGAGCATGGTGGTGGGCACCTGTAATCCCAGCTACTTGGAAGGCTGAGGCAGGAGAATTGCTTGAACCCAGGAGGCAGAGGCTGCAGTGAGCCGAGGTCATATCACTGCACTCCAGCCTGGGCAACAGAGCAAGACTCTGTCAAAAAAAAAAAAAAAATCCCCAGTGGCCATCATGGGGCTACATCCAAGACTCAATTCCCAGTCCTCCTCTTCCTTGACCTCTCTGGGGCTCTTGGCACAGTTGATCACTCCCTCTTCCCTACATAATTATCTTCATTTGGCTGCAGGGACACTGCATACTCAAAGGTTTCTTCCTATGTCCCTGGCTGCTCCTTTTATGTCTCTTGTCCTGTCCTCCTCACCCCAAACTCTGCCTGTCGGGGTGCCTTGGGTCCTTTCCACTTCTGGTTATCTACTCTAGTATCCTGGCCACCAATGAGCTGATGCCTCCCAATTTCATACCTTTAGCCAAGACCTGTCCTTTTAATTCCAAACTTTATAACCAACTGGCTTGATGAACAGATATCTCAAGCCTAACATGTCCGACATGGACCTTTTGCCCTTTCTTTCAAAACTCGCTTCTCACTCGACTTCTCATTTCGGTAAATGGCAAGTCCATCCTTTTGGTTGCTGCTATGGACTAAATTATGTCTCCCATCCCAAATGTATATGTTGAATCCCTGACCCCTCATTTGACCATATTGGAGATAGGGCCTGTAGGGAGGTGATTAAGGTTAAACAAAGTCATAAGGATACAGCCCTGATCCAATAGAACTGGTGTCTTTATAAAAAAAGAAGAGACACCAGAGCTCTCCCTCCACCATGTAAGGACACAGGGGAGAAGGTAGCTGTCTGCAAACCAGGAAGAGAGTCCTAACTAGAAACAGACTATCCTGGCACCTTGGTCTTGGACTTCCCAGCCTCCAGAACTGTGAGAAATAAATTTGTGTTGTTTAAACCATCCAGTCACCATATTTTGTTATGGCAGCCTGAGCTCACTAAAATTGTTGCTATAAATAAAAAAGTAACTGAAGCAGATCTCAATTAATTGGAGGTTTATTTTGCCAAGGTTGAGGATATGCTTGGGAAAAAACACAAATCACAGGAGCATCTGTGATCCGTGCTTTTTCCAAAGAGGTTTTAAGCACTTCAATATTTAAATGGGAAGGAGTGAGCAGGAGGAGAAGGAGGAAAGGAAAAAAAGTGGGGCAGGCCAGATGCGGTAGCTCATGCCTCACATCCCACCACCTGAGGAGGCTAAGGCAGGTGAATTGCTTGAGCCCAGGAATTTGAGACCAGCCTGGGCAACATAGCAACATCCCGTCTCTATAAAAAATTTTAAAATTAGCTGGACATGGTGGCGTGTGCCTGTGGTTTCAGCTACGTGGGAGGCAGAGACAGGAGGATGGCTTGAGCCCAGGAGTTTGAGGTTACAGTGAGCTACGATTGCGCCACTGCACTCCAGCCCCAGCCTGGGTGACATAATGAGACTTTGTTTTTAAAAAAGAAAAAAGAGGCCAGACGTGGTGGCTCATGCCTGCAATTCCAGCACTTTGGGAGGCCAAGGCAGGTGGATCACCTGAGGTCAGGAGTTCAAGACCAGGCTGGTCTTGAAATCCCATCTCTACTAAAAGTACAAAAATTAGCTGGGCGTGATGGTGGGCACCTGTAATCCCAGCTACTCAGGAGGCTGAGGCAGAATCACTTGAACCTGGGAGGTGGAGGTTGCAGTGAGCCTAGATGGCGCCACTGCACTCCAGCCTGGGAGACAAGAGCGAGATCCCGTCTCAAAAAAAAAAAAGAAAAAAAGAAAAGAAAAAAGAAGGAAAAACGTGGATGGATGGAGGATAGGTAATAAGGCAAATAATCATTTACATTCTTGTGAGGCTTTGATTAGTGCTCAGTGAATCTACATTTTACACATGAAAGGAGGGAGCAGAGAAAATGGCAATTATGCATTCATCTCATGCTCAGTAAATCTACATTTTGCATAAGATAAAGTAAGCATGTAAAATTACAGCTTACTATTGCTATCTGTTCAGGGACAAAAGGAAGGCAGTTTTTGCATGACTCACTTCCCAAGCTTAACTTTCCCTTTGGCATAGCCAGTTCAGGGTCCTGAGATCTTGTTTTTTTTTTCCACATTGCCAGGGCCCAAAATGTAGGATCATCCTTGAATCTTCTTTTTCTTTCACATCTTACATTTAAATCCTGTCAAGTCTACGTTCATTCTGATTTTTTCTACTACTTATCACCAACATGATTCAGGCTGCTGTGGTCTTTCTTGGATTACAGCAAACACCTCCTAGCTCAACTCCCAGCTTTGGATTCTACACTCTCAAGCCTGCTCTATTATCAAAACAGCAGCAGAGCAGAGCGGTGCTTTTTTTTAATTTTAATTTTATTTTATTTTTGAGATGGAGTCTCGCTCTGTCACCCAGGCTGGAGTGCAGTGGCGCGATCTTGGTGCTCACTGCAACCTCCGCCTCCCGGGTTCAAGCAATTCTCCTGTCTCAGCCTCCCGAGTAGCTGTGACTACAGGTGCCCGCCACCACGCCCAGCTAATTTTTTGTGTTTTTAGTACAGATGGGGTTTCACCGTGTTAGCCAGGATAGCCTTAATCCCCTGACCTCGTGATCCGCCTGCCTCAGGCTCCCAAAGTGCTGGGATTACAGGTGTGAGCCACCGCGCTCGGCCAGCATTTTTTTTTTTTTTTAAGACAGGGTCTTGCTCTGTTGCCACCGCTAGCATGCAATAACATGATCCCGGCTCACTGCAGCCTCAACCTCCCGGGCTCAAGTGATCCTCCCACCCCAGCCTCCTGAGTAGCTAGGACTACAGGTGCACAACACTACACCCGGCTGATTTTTTAAATTTCTATTTCTGTAGAGGCAGCGTCTCCCTATGTTGCCCAGGCTGATGTCAAACTCTTGGGTTCAAGCGATCTCCCTGCCTCAGCATCCCAAAGTGTTGGGATTATAGGTGCAAGCCACGGAGCCTGGCCCAGAACAGTGCTTTTAATGCTAAAATAGATGGTGTGTTGGCCGGGCGCGGTGGCTCACGCCTGTAATCCCAACACTCTGGGAAGCCAAGGCAGGCGGATCACCTGAGGTCGGGAGTTCAAGACCAGCTTGACCAACATGGAGAAACCATGTATTGCCAAAAATACAAAATTAGCTGGGCATGGTGGCGCATGCCTGTAATCACAGCTACTTGGAAGGCTGAGGCAGGAGAATTGCTTGAACCCGGGAGGCGGAGGTTGCAGTGAGCCGAGATCACGCCATTGCACTCCAGCCTGGGTACTAAGAGTGAAACTCCATCTCAAAAAAAAAAAAAAAGATGGTGTGTCACTTCTGTGTTAGAACACCCTATCTTACCCAGAGAAAAGTCATCCTCTTTGGGAAATGGCCTACAGGGCCTGGTAGGATTTGTCTGTGCTCCCCTCCCCCAGCGTGATCCTGCTTTCCCCACCCCCTCCACTTCCCCAACCACCTCCAACTCCAACTCTCTCACTCCACTCCTGTCATGCGGGCCTTCCAGCTGTTTCATACCCAGATTTGCACGTAGCTGTGTCCCTCCCACCTGGGCTCAAATGTTGTCCTCAGCAAAACCTTATCTGACTACCCCCTACTTGGAATTGCAGCCCCTCCATCCCACCTCACCATCACACACACATGCATGCACGCACGCACACACACACACACACCCGCATGCCCACACAGGCTTCCTCTCCTTTCCCTGTTTTGTTCTTTCCCATAGCACTGATGCCATCTAATATTGTGGTTTGCTTGTTTGTTTATTTCCTACCTGTCTTCTGCCACTAGAAGGTGAAAGCCTTGGTTCAAGGAGGGCAGGGATTGTTCTCTCTCTTTCTCTCTGTCCGTCTCTCTGTTTTTTTTTTTTTTTTTTTTTTTTCAGTCTTGCTTTGTCGCCCAGGCTGCAGTGCAGTGGCACCATCATAGCTGACTGCAGCTTCAACCTCCTGGGTTCATGCCATTCTCCTGCCTCAGCCTCCCAAGTAACTGGGACTACAGACACCATCCACCACACCAGGCTACTTCTAAAATTTTTTGTAGAGATGGGGTCTCACTGCATGGCCCAGGCTGGACTCAAACTCCTGGACTCAAGCAATCTGCCCACTTTGCCTCTCAAAGTGCTGGGATCCCAGGCTTGAGCCACCGCACCCAGCTTCTGTGTATTCATAACTGTACTCCAGGCTGAAAATAGTGTCTTCCACAGAGCAGTGCCCCATAAATATATGTTGAACGAATGGATAAACATCCATTTCTTTAGATTTTATTCAGAAAGCACAGCATTTTGAAATGAAGCATTTTTTAAAATATTGGTTTACCATTACTGTCTTTATTATATTTTATTTTTATAGAGATAGGGTCTCACTCTGTTGTCTGAAGTGCAGTGGCATGATTACAGCTCACTGCAGCCTTGACCTCCCAGGCTCAAGTGATCCTCCCCACTCAGCCTCCTGAGTAGCTGGGACTACAGGCATGTGCCTCTGTGCCCACCTAATTTTTTCTTTTTTCTTTTTTGGTAGAGACAGAGTCTAATTGTTGCCCAGGCTGATTTTGGACTCCTGGCCCCAATCCCTCCCAAAGCGTTTGGATTACAGGTGGGAACATCTACCCTGGCCCACATAACTGTCTTTAAATAAAGACTTTTACCCTTTTTTTTTTTTTTTGAGATGAAGTCTCACTCTGTCACCCAGGCTGGAGTGTAGTGGTGTGATCTTGGCTCACTGCAACCTCCGCCTCCTGGGTTCAAGTGATTCTCCTGCCTCAGCCTCCCAAGTAGCTGGGATTACAGGCGTGTGCCACCACACCTGGCTAATTTTTGTATTATTAGTAGAGATGGGGTTTCACCATGTTGGCCAGGCTGTTCTCAAGCTCCTGACCTTGGGTGATCCACCCGCCTCAGCCTTCCAAAGTGCTAGGATTACAGGCATGAGCCACCATGCCCGGCCAAGACTTTCATTCTTTTTTTTTTTTTTTTTTTTGAGATGCAGTCTTGCTCTGTCGCCCGGGCTGGAGTGCAGTGGCGTGACCTTGGCTAACTGCAACCTCTGCCTCCCAGGTTCAAGCAATTCTTCTGCCTCAGCCTCCCCAGTAGCTGGGACTACAAATGCACACCACCACGCCCGGCTAATTTTTGTATTTTTTGTAGAAACGGGGTTTCACCATATTGGCCAGGCTGGTCTCGAACTCCTGACCTTGTGATTCACTCACCTTGGCCTCCCAAAGTGCTGGGATTACAGGTGTGAGCCAGCGCGCCCGGCCGTTTTTTACTCTAAAAAGCATCATCTCTCTTTTAATTTGCCCCACATCTGGCTGAATCCAGGCAGTTTGAACCACATGATCACCCCGAGCAGCATGCTCTTTATTGTAGACAAAATCGTACAAGGAAAAGAAACTTCTTGAATGCTGTGTTTATAAACCTTAAGGAAAAACAACATTATAGCAGTATTTTTAAAAAAGTAAAGGTTGGGCATATTAAAGGATGCTTTTTAAAACAAATTAGTTGAAACACTTGGGTTTATTTAGAAAGAATTAAGCCTGTTCCCTTCCACCTGTTAACTAAAAACGTTTCTATGGGCCAGGTGTGGTGGCTCATGCCTGTAATCCCAGCACTTTGGGAGGCCAAAGTGGGAGGACATCTTGAGACTAGGAGTTCAAGACCAGCCTGGGCAATATAGCAAGACCCTGTCTCTACAAAATAAAATCTAAGAATTAAAAAAAAAAAAGCCTTCTGTGGGAACATGGGAAGTTTCTATTCATTTGGGATTGAATATCCCTTGGAGAAAAAGTCTGTGGGATTCTGACAGTCTCGGTGGTCTTCTTGGGACTTACCTGTAGAAAAAGGAAACTTAACCCAGAAAAGCAGCGGTTCCATGTGTCCCCAGTGCCCGGAGTGGCCTGCTGAGAGCACATTCCCAGGATGCCTGTAGAAAGCATTCCGGTTCCAAGCCTGCTTCATCTTCCCGCCAACTGCACCCTGATCCCCAGGAGGAAGCCTGACAGCTCTCGGGCTGCAGCCAAGGACTGTTATTAGAACACCATGTTCTAATATCCCCTGCGGAGACCGGAGACCGTGGACAGCTTTTGCTTCAGAATCCTCTCCTTCAGGAAGAGCCTTCTGCAGAACACATCTAAAATTCTAGAAGATCACAAAAAATACTCTTTCTGACAAAGAGGATGGAAGAGCCAGGGGGCTGCCTGACCTTTGGTGAGGGGTATCCTCAACTGGCCCAGTCTGCGGCTGCCATGCATCTATTTGCTCCAGCCCAGAAATTAACCCCAGCTTCTTCTTTTTTTTTTTTTTTTTTTTTTTTTGAGACAGTCTTGTTCTGTCTCCCAGGCTGGAGTGCAGTGGCACAATCTCGGCTCACTGCAACTTCCATCTCCTGGGTTCAAGCGATTCTTGTGCCTCAGCCTCCGAGTAGCTGGGATTACAGGCACCCGCCACCACGCTGGCTAATTTTTGTTTTTAGTAAAGACAGGGTTTCACCATGTTAGCCAGGCTGGCCTCGAACTCCTGGCTTCAGGTGATCCTGGCTTCAGGTGGCCTCCCAAAGTGCTGGGATTACAGACATGAGCCACCGTGCCCAGCTGGCTTCTTCCTTTAAGGCCAGAAAATACAATGCGCTTGTGTGACAAATCCACGCTGCCTCCCAGCCTCTCACTTGGCGGAAAGATGGTTCTGGAGAGGCCGGTCTTTGGGCTCAGCTCCTGCCAGCCCTTGGTTGTGAGGTCTGATGGACTCCAGCTCACCCCGTCAAATGTGCTTCTCTTGATGAATGTCTCTGCTCATTTCTGAACACGTTCTCAAACAGACTGCTGAGTAACTGGTGTGACTTCAACCTTCAATGGCAGCAAAGGAATAAGAGCAGAATATAATGGATGTTTACAGAGCACCTTGAATACAGTCCCCAGACTCCAAAGGTTGCTTTCTGTTTAATGCTATATGACTGTGGGTGGGTGTAAATGAATTGTTTAATTATCTTTTAGTATATCGCTTAATTTTGTCAAAATTGTGACAAAATTGCTACATGCACCTGGTTTTAAAAAGCCAAACAGCTTGGCCGGATGCGGTGGCTCACGGCTGTAATCCCAGCACTTTGGGACGCCGAGGTGGATGGATCAAGAGGTCAGGAGTTCAAGACCAGCCTGGCCAAGATGGTGAAACCCTGTCCCTACTCAAAATGCAAAAATTAGCTGGGCGTGGTAGCAGGCACCTGTAATCCCAGCTACTTGGGAGGCTGCTTGAGCCCGGGAGACAGAGGTTGCAGTGAGCCGAGATCGTGCCACTGCACTCCGGCCTGGGCAGCAGAGCGAGACTCCGTGTCAAAAAAAAAAAAAAATTCCAAACAGGTAGGCCAGGTGTGGTGGGTGGCTCATGCTTGTAATCCCAGCACTTTGGGAGGTTGAGGTGGGACAATTGCTCGAGGCCAGGAATTCGAGACCAGGATGGACAACATAGTGAGACTCTATCTCTGCAAAAAAAAAAAAAAATTAGCTACACGTGATGGCACGTGCCTGTAGTCTCAGCTACTCGGGAGCCTGAAGCAGGAGGATGGCTTGAACCCAGGAACTCAAGGTTACAGTGAGCTATGATCACGCCACTGCACTCCAGCCTGGGGGATAGAGTAAGACCCTGTCTCTACTTTTTTTTTTTTTGAGACGGAGTTAAACTCTTGTTGCCTAGGCTGGAGTGTGCAATGGCGTAATCTTGGCTCACTGCGACCTCCACCTCCCAGGTTCAAATGATTCTCCTGCCTCAGCCTCCCAAGTAGCTGGGATTACGGTCACATACCATCATGCCCAGCTAATTTTTTTTTTTTTTTTTTTTTTTTTTTTTTTAGTAGAAATGGGGTTTCACCAAGTTGACCAGGCTGGTCTCAAACTTCTGCCCTCAGCCCGCCTCAGCCTCCCAAAGTGCTGGGATTACAGGCATGAGCCACTGCACCCAGCCCTCTATTATTATTATTATTATTATTATTTAATCCAAACTGCACAGAAAATCTTCATGAAAAGCAACAGCTCCGGGCTCCACCTCTCTCTACCTCCCTCACCCTCCCTGTCACCTTTCAGCAGGGTACTTTTAATTTTACATAGTCATAATTAACTTCCATGTGTTTCTTCTCTAGAAACACAATAATAATCTGGTGTGTTCTATCTACAGACTTATTCCAAACATTTGAGACAAACAGTGTTCGTTATGCAAATATCAAGGCTTTTTAAGATCTTTTGGTTCTAACTCTCTGAAGGCTGTGTCCTTGGGAGATCACAAAACAAAACTCTGGCACAACCCAGCCGGTTATCTTCCAATCATGCCCTTTGGGTTGGCAGATCCCATCACGTAGACTCTCCATCCTGCACGTATGTAAGTGGCTGGAGACCAGGCTTGTGAGGCACAACACAAAAGTTGTGCAATTACCCGGGAGGTAATTACTGACTGTGTCTTGCTTGCTGCCTTGCAATAAAAATCAGGGAGAAGGACGCCACAGCTCCACCATGTTCAGGTTGCCAGAAGGCACTCAGGGATGTTAGGCTTTAGGACAGGAGAGCCAGCAGAGATGGGAATCCAGGCTGCAGTTCAGCTGTTTGTGCCTGATGTCATTCTGCCACAGCAACAAGAAAACTGAAAACATAAGAACGAGGCCAGGTGCGGTGGCTCACGCCTGTAATCCCAGCACTTTAGGAGGTAGAGGCGGGTGGATCACCTGAGATCAGAAGTTCAAGACCAGCCTGGCCAAATGGTGAAACCTTGTCTCTACTAAAAATACAAAAAATTAGCTGGGCGTGGTGGCGGGCACCTGTAATCTGAGTTACTTGGTAGGCTGAGGCAGGAGAATTGCTTAAACCTGGGAGGTGGAGGTTGCAGTGAGCTGAGGTCATGCCACTGCACTTCAGCATGTGCGAGAGAGTCCAGGAGTTGGAGACCAGCCTGGACAACACAGACTTCATCTCTATTTTAAAAAAAAAGAAAAAAAAGGTTTTTAATTTTTTTTTTTTTTTTTTGAGACGGAGTCTCGCTCTGTCGCCCAGGCTGGAGTACAGTGGCCCAATCTTGGCTCACTGCAACCTCCGCCTCCCCGGTTCAAGCGATTCTCCTGCCTCAGCCTCCTCAGTAGCTGGAATTACAGGCATGCACCACCACGCCCAGCTAATATTTTGCATTTTTAGTGGAGACGGGTTTCTCCATGTTGGCCAGGCTGGTCTCAAACTCCCGACCTCAGCTGATCGGCCCACCTCGGCCTCCCAAAGTGCTGGGACTACAGGTGTGAGCCACTGTGCCTGGCCCATGTCACAGAATACTACTCAGGCATAAAAAATAATGAAATCATGTCTTTTATAGCAAGATGGATGGAACTAGAGGCCATTATTCAGTGAAATGTTCAGTGAAATGACTCAGAAACACGAAGTCAAATATTGCATGTTCTCATTAGTGAGAGCTGGACCATGGGTACCCATGAATAGAATAATAGACATTGGAGACTCAAAAGGTGGGAAAGTAAGAAGAGCTGAGGGTTGATCTACTACTCATGGGTACAATGTTCACTATTCAGGTGATGGGTTCACTAGAAGCCCAGACTTTACCACAGTGCAATATATGCATGTTAAGAAATCTGCACTTGTGACGCCTAAATATCTAACAAAAAATTATTTTCAGAAATAGTACTTTTTGCGGGGCGCGATGGCTCACACCTGTAATCCCAGCACGTTGGGAGGCCGAGGCGGGTGGATCACCTGAGGTCAGGAGTTCAAGACCAGCCCAGCCAATATGGCGAAACCATATCTCTACCAAGAATACAAAAATTAGCTGGGTGTGGTGGCGTGCGCCTGTAATTCCAGCTACCTAGGAGGCTGAGGCAGGAGAATTGCTTGAACCCGGGAGGTGGAGGTTGCAGTGAGCTGAGATCATGCCACTGCACTCCAGCCTGGGTGACAGAGCAAGACTCTGTTTCAAAAAAAAAAAAAAGAGAGATACAGTTGGGCTCAATGCGGTGGCTCACATCTACAATTCCAGCACTTTGGGAGGCCGAGGTAGAAGGATAGATTGAGCCCAGGAGTTTGAGACCAACCTGGGCAACATAGGGAGACCCCACCAAAAGTAAAAGTAAAAAAAGCCGGGCATGGTGGTGCACGCCTATGGTCCCAGCTAATCAGGAGGCTGAGGCAGGAGGATTGCTTGAGCCCAGGAGGTTGAGGCTGCTGTGAGCTGTAATTGCACCTCTGCAGTCCAGCCTGGGCTACAGCACGAGATACTGTCTCTAAAAAAATAAAATAAATAAAAAAAGTACAGTTGGCCCTTGAGCAACGTGAGGGCTGAGCTGGCAACCCCCGTAGTGCTGACTCCCCAAAACCTTAACTACTGATAGCCTGCTGTTGATCAGAAGCCTTACCTGTAACATGAACTGTCAATTACCCATGTTTAGTATAAGTATTCTATACTATATTTATACAATAAAGTAAGCTAGAGAAAAGAAAAGCTTATTGAGAAAATCATAAAGAAGATAAAATGTATTTACTATTCCTGAAGTGAAAGTGGATCATCGTAAAGGTCTTTATCCTCATCATCCTCATGTTGAGTAGGCTGAGGGGGAGGAGGAAGAAGAGGAGGGGTTGGTCTTGCTGTCCCAGCAGTGGCAGAGGCAGAAGTTGTGGAGGGAGTGGGAGTCGAGGCAAGAGAGGCAGGCACACTTAGTGCAGCTTTTATTGAAAAAAAATCTGCATGTAAGTGGACCCCTGCAATCCAAACCCGTGTTGTTCAAAGATCAACTGTATTTCTCTAGGGTTTCTTAGTGACACCGGAGAAGGTTCTTTAAAATGCCAGTATGGGCCAGGCATGGTGGCTCACGCCTGTAATCCCAGCACTTTGGGAGGCCGAAGTGGGCAGATCACCTGAGGTCAGGAGTTCAAGACCAGCCTGGCCAACAGGGTGAAACCTCGTTTCTACTAAAAATACAAAAATCAACCGGGCGTGGTGGTGGGTGCCTGTAATCTCAGCTACTTGGAAGGCTGAAGCAGGAGAATCGCTTGAGCCCGGGAGGTAGAGGTTGCAGTGAGCTGAGATCACGCCACTGCACTCCAGCCTGGGTGACAAGCGTGATACTCCATCTCAAAAAAAAGTAATAATAAACAAATAAATAAAAATAATAATAGAAAAATACAAATGCCAGTATGTGAGTATGTGGCCAAAGGAGGGCCATATTTTTACGCAATTTGTGTTAGTCTAGATTCAGTGATGGCATTTGCTGGCTATCACCTTCAGAAGCAGGGAAGGGACCAGGAACACCTACTTCCTGACAGAACGGGAGAGGCTTAGGTGCATAGACTCCCATATGAAGTGCTGAAATGGAGACACACACAGCTTGTTTTGGGGGAGAAGAGCTTATGGTGGTGGGGTGCTCTCTGAGGATAATTTTTTCACTATTTTGCCTAGGGCCTCTAAAATCTAAAACACAGAATTGGAAAATTCCTAGAAAGGCCGTTGTTGCTGTGATGTCATTCACTGTTCGGAAGATTTTTTGGTTATAGCTCTGGTTGAGTAGGATCCAGCTGCTTATCTGTTTACTGTCAAAAGTGTCATCTCAGCTGGGCACAGTGGCTCATGCCTGTAATCTCAGCACTTTGGGGGGCCAAGGCAGGTGGATCATGAGGTCAGGAGTTCGAGACCAGCCTGGCCAACAGGGCAAAACCCTGTTTCTACTAAAAATACAAAAAATTAGCCAGGTGTAGTGGTGGGCACCTGTAATCCCAGCTACTTGGGAGGCTGAGGCAAGAGAATCTCTTGAACCTGTGAGGCAGTGGTTGCAATGAGTCAAAATCACGCCATTGCACTCCAGCCTGGGTGACAGAGTGAGACTCCATCTCAAAATGAATAAATAAATAAAGTGTCATCTCCAGCCTAACATTCTTCAGCTTGAGGGCAATAAATTCTGAGTACTGAAGGCAGATACAGAGGGGCGGCTTATGTACAACTACCTTGGTTCAAGTTCAAGGGCATTTTCTTCTAACAAAACCCATCATCTGTTTTCCAGCAACTGTAATAGGATGTTGATTTTTTCATTTCATCTCCTATAAAGAAATCTGGAAATTCAGCATCTTTATTTCCTTTAGAATTTTTCTGTATTAGTTACATGGTGTCCACTATATTTTCAAAAAATCTGGCCAGGCACGGTGGCTCATGCCTGTAATGCCAGCATTTTGGGAGGCCAAGGCAGGTGTATCACCTGATCTCAGGAGTTCAAGACCAGACTGGTCAACATGGTGAAACCTCGTCTCCACTAAAAATAAAAAAATTAGCCAGGCGCGGTAGCTCACACCTGTAATCCCAGCTACTCAGGAGGCTGAGGTAGGAGAATCACTTGAACCCGGGAGGTGGAGGTGGCAGTAAGCTGAGATTGCACCACTGCATTCCAATCTAGGCAACAGAGTGAGACTCCATCTCAAAAAAAAAAAAAAAAAAGAAATTTTTAATTTTGATGTAGTCCAACTTATCGATATTTTTTTTGTTGTCTGTGCTTTTGGTGCCATATCCAAGAGATCATTGCCAAATCCATTGTCATGAAGTGCTTTCCCTATGTTTTCTTTTAAGAGTTGTATAGGCCAGGTACAGTGGTTCACAGTTGTAATCCCAGCACTCTGGGAGGCTGAGGCGAGAGGATGGCCTGATCCCAGGAATTTAAGACCAGCCTGGGCAACACAGTGAGACCCCATCTCTAAAAAAAAAAAAAAGGTAAGAAAGAAAAAGAAAAAAAAGAGTTTTATCATTTTAGGTCTTACATTTAGGTCTTGGATTCATTTAGAGTTAAATTTTGCATATAGCGTAAGGGTCCAGTTTCATTCATTTGCGTGCAGATATCCAGTTTTCCTGAAATCATTTGTTGAAAATACTTCTTTCTCCACTGACTAGTCTTGGGACCCTAATTTAAAAACTATTGGACTATACGTATGAGGGTTTATTTCTGGACCCTGTATTCTTTTAATTTTTTAAAATAATTTTTGATTTTTGCTTGTCATCCTTGCACAGAGGCCATGTTAATCTTCTCTGTATCTTTCCAATTTTAGTATGTGTGCTGCCAAAATGAGCACTTCTGGGCTCTCTATTCCCTTCCATTAGTCTATATGTCTGTCTGTATGCCAATACTACACAGTTTGTTTTTGTTTTTTGAAACAACATTTCACTCTGTTGCCCAGGCTGGAATACAGTGACACAATCTTGGCTCACCGCAGCCTCAACCTCCTGGGCTCACATGATCCTTCCTCAGCCTCCTGAGTAGCTGAGACTACAGGTGTGCACCACCATGCCTGGCTAATTTTTGTATCTTTTGTAGATAGGGTTTTGCCATGTTGCCCAGGCTGGACTATACTGTTTTGATCACTGTGGGTTTGTAATAAATTTTTTAGAGTTAGGAAGTGTGAGACTTCCAACTTCGTTCTTTTTTTTTTTTTTTTTTTTTTTTTTTTTTTTTTTTACCAGGTCTCACTCTGTCACTCAGGCTGGAGTGCAGTGGTGCAATCTCGGCTCACTGCAACCTCCGCCTTTCAGGTTCAAGTGATTCTCTTGCCTCAGCCTCCCAAGTAGCTGGGATTACAGGCACCCACCATCACACCTGGCTACTTTTTTTATTTTTATTTTTATTTTATTTTTTTCATTTTTGGTAGAGACGAGATTTATTTATTTATTTATTTATTTATTTCTCTCTCTCTTTTTTTTTTTTGATGGAGTCTTGCTCTGTCATCCAGGCTGGAGTGCGGTGGCACAATCTCGGCTCACTGCAACCTCCGCCTCCTGGGTTCAAGCAATTCTCCTGCCTCAGCCTCCCGAGTAGCTGGGATTACAGGCATGCACCACCACACCCTGCTAATCTTTGTATTTTTAGTAGAGACGGGCTTTCACCATGTTGGGCAGGCTGGTCTCATACTTGTGACCTCAGGTGATCCACCCACCTTGGCCTCCCAAAGTGCTGCAATTACAGGCATGAGCCACTGCAATTACAGGCGTGAGCTACTGCGCCTGGCCTCAACGTTGTTCTTTTTCAAGATTGCTTTAGCTATTCAGGAACCCTGGTGTCTGAATTTTAGAATAGGTTTTTCTATTTCTGCAAAAAATGCCCTTGAGATTTGATAGGAATTGTATTAAATCTATAGACTGCTTTGGCCAATATCAACGTCTTAGCAATATTAAGTCTTTTAACCCACAAACACAGTATATCTTTCCATTTATTTGTGTCTTCTTTAATTTCTTTTGGCAATGTTTTGTAGTTTTCTTTTCTTTTCGTTTTTGAGACTGGGTTTTGCTCTGTTGCCCAGGCAGCTGGAGTGCAGTGGTGTAATCATGGCTCACTGTAGCCTCGACTTCATAGGCTCAAGTGATCCTCCCACCTCAGCCTCCTGAGTAGCTGGGACTACAGGCGCAAACCACCATGTCTGGCTACTTTTTTTAATTTTTATTTTTGTAGAGACAGAGTCTTGCCAAATTGCCCAGCTGGTTTCAAACTTCTGGGCTCAAGCAATCCACCTGCCTCAGCGTCCCAAAGTGCTGGGATTACAGGCATTAGCCACTGTAACTGGCAGTAGTTTTCAGTGTGTCATTTTTTACCTCCTTGGCTAAGTTATTCCTCAATATATATATTTTTTGATGTTACTGTTAATGGAATTATTTTCTTAATTTCCTTTTGGATTATTCATTGTTAGTATATAAAAGTGCAACTGATTTTTGCATGTTGAGATTGTATCCTGCAGCTTTGTTGGATCTGTTTATTAGTTCTAACAGATGTTTTTGGTGGAATATTTGTGGTTTTCTACCTAAAAGATCATGTTGTCTGGGAACATAAATCATTTTATTTCTTCCTTTGCAATTTGATGCATTTTTTTTTTGTCTTGCCTAATTGATCTGGCTAGGACTTTCAGTGCTATGTTAAATAAAAGTGGTGAAAGTGGGCATCCTTGCCTTGTTTCTGATCTTGGGGAAAAAGTTCTCAGTCTTTTAGCATTGAACATGATGTTAGTTGTGTGTGCTTCTCATATATGGCCTTTATTATGTTGAGGCAGTTTTCTTTTCTTTTCTTTTTTTTTTTTTTGACAGGGTCTCGCTATGTCGCCCAGGCTGGACTCAAACTCCTGCACTCAAGTGATTCACCTGCCTCAGCTTCCCAAAGTGTTGGGATTACAGGTGTGAGCCACCACGTCCGGTCATAGTTTTCTTCTAGTGTCATACATCTTTAATGTCATATATCACATTGTTTGATTTTCATATGTTGAACTATCCTTGCATTCCAGGAATAAATCTTACTTAGTCATCATGTATAATATTTTAGTTGTTCTATTGAACTCTATTTGCTAGTATTTTCTTGAGAATCTCTATGTCAATATTCACCAAGAATATTGGTCTGTAGTTTTCTTTTCTTGTAGTGTCTGTCTGACTTCCATATCAAGATAGCGCTGGCTTCATATAATGAATTTGGAAGTATTCTTTCCTCTTCAATTTTTTTGAAATTAATTGAAATGCATATAAATCTACTTTTAATAAAGTCTGTGGTTAGCATTCAGTTTGCAAGATTCCTGAAAACTTAACAATGGGCTCTCCTGAGCTTGGATGAACTAGCTCCAGCACCATCCTGAAAGTGATCATGCTTGAGGAGTCCTAAAGTGTTCATTTTTGTTGTTAACAAGATTCTGGACAGAGAGAAGGAAAGAGACTACTTTTTTAATTTTTTTTTTTTTAATTAAGACAGGGTTTCACCATGTTGACCAGGCTGGTCTTGATCTCCCGACCTCATGTGATCCACTCGCCTTGGCCTCCCAAAGTGTTGGGATTACAGGTGTGAGCCACTGCACCCAGCCAGAAAAGGGACTACTTTTTAATTGAGAAAGGGAACTATTTCTTACTTGATGAGAAGAAATGCTTTTCCTAATGAGTTCATATGCCTAACAAAAGGACATACATAGATATTTTTATTGAAACTGTACTTACATTATAATGGTTAAAAGGTGAACGCAACTCAACTCTTCATCTGAAATAAAAGAGATAAGTAAATTGTGGTCTATTTATACAACGGAATACTAACCCACCCATAAAGTGAATGAACTTTAGCTGCATGAAACAGCATGGATAAACTTCATATGCATAATGTTGAGTGAAAAGAGTAAGATGCACACACAAAAATACACATCACTTGATTCCATTTATACAAAGTACAAGAATAGGTAAAACCAATTCATATTGTTAGAATCAAGATAGTGGTTACCTCTGGGGAGCTCTTGATTGGGAGAGGGCAATGAGTGAAGCTTCCAGATAACTGGAAATGTTCTATATCTTGACATGAGAGGTGGTTACATGAGTGTGTACATATGTAAAATCTCATTGAGCTGTATACTTAAGATACGTGCATGTTACTGAAAGTTTATTATATTTCAATAAAAAGCTAACAAAATGCCTTTCTTTATTTTTTAATTGTACTTTTAAATTTCAAGAGCTAAAGGCTTTTAAATAAATTTTTATATTAAAATAAAAATGCCTTCATATTTCTACTTTCTTTCAGTTAGACTGCACTACAGGCTTGTTTTAAGAGGCTAAAAAACAGAGGAGCTAAAAGAAAATTCCTTCCAGCCCCCTGACCCTTTCACTACTCTTTTTTCTAGCATTCACAATTTAATGTCTTCCTTCCACTCATTCTTGATACTCACGAATGCTGGGACAAAAATGGTTCTGTCTCATTCAGCCTTCAGAAAAAGAGCTGAAACCCAGCTCCTTCTCACCATCTCCACTGGTAAGACCAGGGTCCAAGCACAGTCCTCTCTTGTTGGGGTTAGTGCAGTCACTTCCTGTTATGAACTGAATTATGTCCTCCCAAAATTCATATGCAGAAGCCCTAATCCCTGGCATGACTATATTTGGAGATAGTGCCTTTAAAGAAGTGAAAGGAGATGATAATGGTGGAGCCGTGATCCAATACGACTGTTGTTCTTAGAAGAGGAAGAGACACAGGGGTGCACAGACAGAGGACAGGCCATGTGAGGACACAGCACAAAGGTGGCTGTGCACAAGCCAAGGAGAGAGGCCCTTGGTGAAACCAAACCAGCTGACACCTTGATCTGAGACTTCTAGTCTCAGAACTGTAAGAACACAAATGTCTGTTGCTGAAGCTGCCCAGGCCGCAGTATCTTGTTATGGCAGCCCTTGCAGACTAGTACAGCTCCTGACGGGTCTCTCTGTCCTGCCCTTGCCCACGGTAGTCTATGGTAACACAGAAGCTGGGGAGCCCATTAAGATGTAATCGGGCATGTCTGTCTTCTGTGTAAAACTGTTGGCTTCTCCTCCACCCAGCAGTAGCCCACAACCTGACGCTGGTCACAGTCTTGTATCACTCGGCCTCTACTCCCTCTCTGAACTTGTCTCCTATAGTCTCACCTCCTCGCCTGTGGCCTCTTTGCTCTTTCTTGGACATTCCAAGCATAGTCCTGCCTTAGGGCCCTTGGCATTGTCCTCCCACCCCAAACAGGCTTCCTCCAGAGAGCAGCATGACTCGCTATCCACTCCTCCTCCTTCAGGGTGATCCTCAGTGTCCTGTTGTCAGTTAGGCTTGCCTGCCTGCCTGCCTGCCTGCCTGCCTGCCTTCCTTCCTTCCTTCCTTCCTTCCTTCCTTCCTTCCTTCCTTCCCTCCTTCCTTTCTTTCTTTCTTTTTTTTTTTTTGACGGAGTTTCATTCTTCTTGCCCAGGCTGGAGTGCAATGGCGTGATCTCAGCTCACTGCAACCTCCACCTCCCAGGTTCAAGTGATTCTCCTGCCTCAGCCTCCCGAGTAGCTGGGATTACAGGCATGTGCCACCATGCCCAGATAATTTTGTATTTTCAGTAGAGACGGGGTTTCTCCATGTTGGTCAGGCTGGTCTCAAACTGCTGACCTCGTGATCCATCCGCCTCGGCCTCCCAAAGTGCTGGGATTACAGGCTTGAGCCATTGCTCCTGATCTCTTTTTTTTTTTTTCGAGATGGAGTCTTGCTCTGTCACCCAGGCTGGAGTGCAGTGGCATAATCTTGGCTCACTGCAACCTCTGCCTCCCAGGTTCAAGCAATTCTCATGCCTCAGCCCCTTGAGTAGCTGGGATTATAGGCACCTGTCACCACTCCCAGCTGATTTTTGTATTTTTGGTAGAGATGGGGTTTCACCATATTGGCCAGGCTGGTCTTGAACTCCTGGCCTCAAGTAATCCACCTGCCTCAGCCTCCCAAAGTGCTGGGATTACAGGCGCAAGCCACCAAACCCAGCCTTTCAGTCAGGCATTCTGACCAAGCAACACAGAATAACAAACTCTACCCTCACCCTGACATTCTTTTTCTTTCAGGAGTTAGGTAAAGTTATTTATGCTACATCTATTCCATGGAAAACTAGGCAATGATCCCACAATTCTAAATGACTGTGCAGATGTTAAGTGGCATGGGAGAGAAAGTAAACGTAAACAGAAGATATAGAACAAAATGGAGGGTGTCAGTTTGGATGTTTGTCCCTCCCTCAAACCTCATGTGGAAATTTGATCCCAGTGTTGTGGGTGGGTCTAATGGAAGTGTTTGGGTCATGTGAGTGGGACCCTCATGGATAGATTAATCCCTTCCCTGGGGTGGGGGGTTTGAGTGAGTTCTCACTCTTAATTCCCTCAAGAGTTGGCTGTTAAGAAGAGCCTGGTGCCTCCCCTCTCTTTCCCTTGCGCTCTCTCTTGCCATGTGATCTCCGCACACACTGGCTCCTCCTCACCTTCCCCAATGTGTGGAAGCTTCCTGAGGCCTCCCTAGAAGCAGATGCTGGAACCATGCTTCTTGTACAACCTGCAGAACTGCCAGCCAAATAAATCTCTCTTCTTTATAAATTACCCAGTCTGATTTTCCTTTGTAGCAAGACAAACAGACTGAGATATACTGTATGCTCACCCTTTTGTGGGAAAAATATAAACACATGCAAACACATGTAAACACATGCAAACACATGTATGTCTCTAACCAATATTTGATGGAAGCTATTTTTGGTGATGGTATTATGGACGATTTTTTTCTTTTTCTTTCACTTTTTATTTATTTTTCTTTTTCTTTCCCTTTTCACTTTTTGTTTTCAATTCTTTTTCTTTCTTTTCCTTTTCATTTTCTATAGATAATGACTGCAGTCTTTATAATGAATATGTATATGTATATATATATTTCTTTTTTTCTTTTTTTTTTTGAGACAGAGTTTTCCTCTTGTTGCCCAGGCTGGAGTGCAGTGGCATGACCTTGGCTCACTGCAACCTCCACCTCCTGGGTTCAAGCGATTCTCCAACCTCAGCCTCCCGAGTAGCTGGGACTACAGGTGCCCGCCACCACACCCGACTAATTTTTATATTTTTAGTAGAGACGAAGTTTCACCATGTTGGCCAGGCTGGTCTTGAACTCCTGACCTCAGGTGATCCGTCCACCTCGGCCTCCCAAAGTGCTGGGATTACAGGTGTGAGCCACCGCGCCTGGCCAGAGTTTATATAATTTTTATAAGAAGAAAAAAAAAATGTCAAATGAGGGTGACTATTTCATTGTTCTCAGGATTGGATGCTATGTCAGGACAGGCAGATTCTGATCTTCTGTGCCTCTAAATCTTAGACACTAAATGGGTCTAAAAATGAGCTGAAATCACTGTGGGAAGGTCAGGGTTTCTTTGCCTTGGAGATCTTTTAGAGTTGGCTTGCTCATTTTAAAATGTTTTCAATTTCAGCTCTCTTATCATTGCAATCCAGTTGAACCCTCCTAAGGTAACAAAAACATCCTCTTGATCAATTTGAGACTCCAACATTCTTTATTTAACCAAAATTTACTTCTTTTCATGATTCTTCTTCTGATGTTCTACATATTTGCTTCTTTGTTTTCTTTCTTTCTTTCTTTATGTATTTATTTGAGACAGAGTCTCGCTCTGTCACTCAGGCTGGAGTGCAGTGGTGTGATCTCGGCTCACTGCAACCTCCATGTCCTGGGTTCCAGGGAGTCTTCTGCCTCAGCCTCCCAAGTAGCTGAGATTACAGGTATGTTTCACCATGCCAGGCTAAATTTTTGTAGTTTTAGTAGAGATGGTGTTTCACCATGATGGCCAGACTGGTCTTGAACTCTTGACCTCAGGTGATCCACCCCCCCTCAGCCTCCCCAAGTGCTGGGATTACAGGTGTGAACCACCATGTCTGGCCCCAGCCTGCTTCTTTATTGTTTATTGTTTGAATTTGTTTATTGAGTGAATAAATAAATGAATGAAATTTCTTCATGTTCTTCCTACCTGTAGGCATCCTCCTGAGGTCTGATTTTATTCCAAAGGACTTCTGATGCAAGCCTAAGGAGCCTGTTTTTGCAAATAATTAGGAACAAAGTCCTGGCTGCTTCTCAGATGCTCAGGCTCATGATCTTCAGTGGGGATTTATGAGTCTTCAAGGCTCTCGGGACCTGGGACGTAGCAAAAGATAACAGGTCATGAAAACTGGGTCCTTGTTACTCTGATCCTTATGCTTAAGTCAGACAAGCACAAGCCAATTGGCTGCTGTGCTCCCATCTCTCAATAGGGGATAAATATATTCCAATTGCATATCATTAACAAAAAGTTGGTGCTGTGAACTGGGGTGCCAGCTGCCACCGGCCGTCATTAAAATGGAGTGTTATGGTGTTACAATTCCGGTAAATGCAAAACCGTCTTGCGGCTAGTGGGAACACATGAAGAATGAATCTCATTAAACACAAGTACTTACTCAGATGGTTCCATCAAACTCCCTGAAATGCCACTTACTGCGCGCCTGGGAGATGCGGGTGGAAGCGCACACCCTTTGATGTGTGTCACAGAGTGGCAGCTGCCCCAAGCAAAACAAAGCTCCTGCTCCGTCATAGCTTCAGTGCGGATGGAAATTGAGGGAGGATGACACAGCTGTATTTCTGAGCAGTGGGCATTTAGCGACATCCAAGGGGACAAATAAGCCTCTTAAATTCATTAGTATCTTGATAAAACTGATTATGCAGTGAGCGGTGAATGGCTCTGACTTCTCAGGAAAATGAAATGAGAAGAAAGGGCAAGGAGGGAGTGGTTCTTTCCCGGAGCAGCTGTGAAGTCCTCTCAGGAGGTGGTGAACCCTGGAGAGCAACTGATGCTACACAAAGGACAGCAGCTGAAAAGGAGCCTCCGGGGGTCACTGTCTCAGAGAGCCCCTAACCTGGCCAGCCCGGAAGGGCAGAGGAGAGGGCTCCCTGAGCTAAGCTGCCAGGTAACAGCTGCAGCCGCAGCCCCAGTGCACCCTACAGGGTGGTTTTCCAGGGCTGAAGCTGGAAGTGCGGATGGCGGCCCCGATTCAGCTGTTTGGGTAATGCAGAGCATTTGACATCGCATCTGGTGTCAGTGATTTGGTTGCTATTGTAGATATTTCATGTCACGTTGGATATTAAGGATGAAGGCGGTCGCCCACGGAGGCAGGGAGTGTGGAGAAAGAACCCGCTTCTGTGCAAGTCATGGGGTCGCGAGGTTAATACGCTTCTGCGGCTCCAGTAAGAACTCTGCTCATTGAGGCACGGCTGGGGTCCGGGAATATAGGAAGCTCTCCTCCTCTGGTCGCCACTGTATGATGTGGATGCTTCATTTCACCACCTCCTTCTGGGGGTGACACCCTCACCCCAACTACCTTTCCCGGGAGGCTGCCAAGTGCCAGGGCAGCTCTTCCCCAGAGGTGGGTGTGGGTCATGTTTTTAATGTCAGTTGCCAGTAATGGACTATTAGCTCCGTGAAAAGAGAACATCTCTGATGCTTAACTCAAGTCATAGACATGAGATCGTCTCCAAAGAGGATGCAATTCCCTGAGAGTCAATAAACACGAGGTACAGTTATTAGACGAGGTTACTAGACTAACAGGGACAAGGAGGGCTGTTTGAGGCCAAGTGTGGTAATCTCAGTGCTTTGGGGGCCAAGGCAGGAGGATCACTTGAGGCCAGGAGTTCAAGACCAGCTTGGGCAACATAGCAAGATCCTATCTCTACAAATTTTTTTTTTTTTTAATGAGCTGGGTTTGGCGGCGTGCACCTGTAGTCCCTCCCAGCTACTTGGGAGGCTGAAAAGGGAGGATCTTTTGAGTCCAGTTCAAGGCTGCAGTGAACTATGGTGGTGCCACTGCACTCCAGCCTGGGCAACAGAGTAAGACCCTGTCTCTAAAAGCAAAAAACCACAAAAACAAAAAACAAACAAACAAAAAAGCTTAATATAAATGACGTGTGAATATTGTCTTGTTAGGGAATAACGACAAGGAAAGAAAAGCCTATACATGTTTAGTACAGATGCAATTTTTTTCCCCAATATTTTTCAAACTCCTGAGCTCAAGTGACCCTCCTGCCTTAGCAGTGGCGCAGTCTCAGCTCACTGCAACCTCCTCCTCCCAGGTTCAAGTGATTGTCCTGCCTTAGCTTCTCGAGTAGCTGGGACTACAGGCATGCGCCACCATGCCTGGCTAATTTTTGTATTTTTAGTAGAGATGGGGGTTTACCATGTTGACCAAGCTGGTCTTGAAATCCTGACCTCAGGTGATCCGCCTACTTTGGCCTTCCAAAGTGTTAGGATTACAGGTGTGAGCCACCGCACCCAGTCCTTTCCCTAATATTTTTGATTGGTCGTTGGCTGAATCCATGGATGTGAATCCACTGATGCAGAGGGCATGACTTCCTGCACCTTGCGTCTGTCTGGTATTTATGAGTTACGAGGATAAGAACTGGATTTTTAAAGAGTATCTTTGAGGGGCAAAGAAGACTTTGGACTAACACTCCCTTTAGGTCCCTGTAGAATCTAACTTCAGCATTTAGAAGAAAAAGAAGGCCAGGTGCGGTGGCTCACGGTTGTCGTCTCAGCACTTGGGGAGGCTGAGGTAGGAGGATTGTTTGAGGTCCAGAGTTCAAGACAAGCCTGGCCAACATAACAAGACCCCATCTCTCTAAAAATAAATAAATAAATAAATAAATAAAAATAAAAAAAAAAGAAAATGAAATTCCTGACATTAACTCCAAGCTCTGCATACAAACATAACACTTTGCCAAAGCGATTTTCATGTTAACAAGGGAGAATTCCATATTAACTATGATACTGAATCATGGAGCTGATGGGGAGAAAGACTATATACAAGCAGCCACAGATCCTCTCAGTAATCTAGGCCCAGGTTTCTCAGGTCGAGGCTCTTGGTGGATTCAGTCATTGACATATTTGTGAGCAAATGGTGTGTGGGCTTATGTCAGGCAACCACATGTGAATGAGTCAGAAGCACTTTAAAAAAAATCCAAGCTGTTCGTGAAATCAAGAAATTAAACACAGGCAGAAACATCAACACTGTGCCACTCCGAGGCAATCTTCACACAGCTCTAATGTGGAATGAGTAAACTCAGATGCTGTCCTGAAATCATCAATCTGTCCTTGTTTTCTTTCTTACATTGCAGTATTGAAACTCAGAACATGTAACTCTGCTCAACAAGTTGATTTTGACTAACAGTTTCAGGGCCTGAATGGAATTGAACCAAGCTGCAAAGAAATCACATTTACATTTAAATTAAAGATGCTACTTGTTGTGTGGATATGATGATTTCCAGGTAGTATCTCTCTCTGCCATCAAATGCAACTTCTGGCCAGGTATGGTGACTCACTCCTGTAATCCCAACATTTTGGGAAGCCAAGGCATGAGAATTGCTTTAGGCCAGGAGTTCAAGACCAGCCTAGGTAACATGGTGAGACCCTGTCTCTACAAAAAATTAAAAACTAGCCAGGCATGGTGGCTAGTGCCTGTAGGCCCAGCTTGAAGGAAGCTGAGGTGGGAGGATCACTTGAGCCCAGGAGGTCGAGGGTGCAGTGAGCCAAGATCACACCATTGCACTCCAGCCTGGGTGACAAAGTGAGACCCTGTCTCTAAAAAAAAAAAAAAAAAAAGCAATTTCTGACCTACCTTTATAGGCTGAAGTTGTTACGTTCTGCCCTTAAGAATCTGAACTCTGAACACATATTACATAATAAGCCTGCTGAGTAAAAGCTCTTTCACTGTGTGTAGGAATCCTGGCATTCAGTTGGAGTAGGGGATAACTCACTTCATATCTTCTGAATTTCTTTAAAAGGTACTTCTTCCACATCTTCTCTCCTTGTGAGGTGATCAAATGTTAATATAGAAATAAATTCACCATCTAAGACCTATCTTTGCTTTTTGCATGGAGCACCCCCAAAATTCTGAGGGCTTCCTTTCTGGTTTTACAGTTGCTTCAGATGGAGATTACTTGAGCTTCCACTTTGGCTTCCATCATTACCCACATCTTACTAGACACTTTTCCATGCTGATGTAATTCGTGTTCCTAAGAATCAGTTGTATCCTGTTTCCATGAATAACTAGTTTTTAGAATGGAAAAGAATGTGTAGGGCTGGGCGCAGTTGCTCACCCCTGTAATCCCAGCACTTTGGGAGGCCGAGATGGGTGGATCACAAGGTCAGGAGTTCGAGACCATCCTGACCAACATGGGGAAACCCCACCTCTACTGAAAATACAAAAAAATTAGCCAGGCATGGTGGTGCATGCCTATAATCCCAGCTACTCAGGAGGCTGAGGCAGGAGAATCGCTTAAACCCAGGAGGCAGAGGTTGCAGTGAGCCGAGATTGTGCCACTGCACTCCAGCCTGGGCGACACAGTGAGACTCACTCTCTAAAAAAAAAAAAAAAAAGAATGTGTAGAAACGACTCATAATCTTTTGTCTTTTTCAAAAAGCACTAATTATTATAGTTAATGACAATGTATTATATATTTGAAATAGCTAATAGAGTAGATTTTAAATGTTCTCACCATAAAAAGATAAGTATGTGAGGAAATTGATATGTTAATTAGCTTTAGTCATTCCACCATGTGTTCATATATGCAAACATCATCTTGTACACCATAAGTACATACAATTGTTGTTTGTCCATAAGTACATACAATTGTTTTTGGCAATTAGAAAAAAGAATGTAGGCCAGGCACTGTGGCTCATGCCTGTAATCCCAGCACTTTGGGAGGCCAAGGTGGGCGGATCACTTGAGGTCCAGGAGTTCAAGAGCAGCCTGGCCAACATGGTGAAACCCCATCTCTACTAAATACAAAAAATTAGCCGGATGTGGTGGTGCGCACCTGTAATCCCAGCTACTCAGGAGGCTGAAGCAGGAGAATCACTTGAACCCAGGAGGTGGAGGTTGCAGTGAGCCGAGATCGCACCATTGCACTCCAGCCTGGGCAACAGCGAGACTCTGTCTCAAAAAAAAAAAAAAGAAAGAAAGAAAGAAAAAGAGAATGTGACTGGCCAGGGAACCACTAGTTGTGAGATTTGCTTCTTCTGGGCACAGAGTCGTTTGCATCTCAGAGTGTTCATGGCAGACTGGCGAGAAGACCTTCAGGAAATGAAGACTTTTCCTGCATATTTTTTATCAGGAAAAGTAAAACAAGTTTTCAGCCTGGCATAAGGAGGCAAGCAGACATCATTAGATCATTAGTAGGTGACTTTCCTGAAAATGTTAGTACTATTTCTGTAGATAATGTATTGCTTTTTGGTTCAACTTATGAGATGCTTGAGGAAATGGTTACCATGTGAACTACATGATCATCTACTCAAAATGATCAATAAAATCGGCTTAGGTGGCCAGCTAACATTTTCTATGTGCATTTATCTCTCTCTCTCTCTCTCTCTCTTTTTTTTTTTTTTTCAAGATGGGTTCTCACTCTGTTGCCCAGACTGGAATGTAGTGGCACGATCTCAGCTCACTGCAACCTCTGCCTCCCAGGTTCAAGTGATTCTCCTGCCTCAGCCTCCTGAGTAGCTGGGATTACAGGTGTGTGCCACCATGCCCAGTTACTTTTTGTATTTTTAGTAGAGATGGGGTTTCACCATGTTGGCCAGGCTGGTCTGGAACTCCTGACCTTAAGTGACCTGCCCACCTCTGCCTCCCAAAGTGCTGGAATTACAGGCATTAGCCACCACACCTGGCCTGCATTTCTTTTTTCTTTCTTTGCTTTTCTTTCTTTCTCCATCCATCCTTCCTTCCTTCCTTCCTTCCTTCCTTCCTTCCTTCCTTCCTTTGCTCTCTTTCCCTCTCCCTCCCCTCTCCTCCTCTCTTTCTTTCTCTTTCTTTCTTTCCTTCTTTCTTTCTTTCATTTATTTATTTATTTTTAGATGGAGTCTTGCTCTGTTGCCCAGGCTGGAGTGCAGTGGCATGATCTCATCTCACTGCAACCTCTGCCTCCTGGGTTCAAGAGATTCTCCTGCCTCAGCCTCCTGAGGAGCTGGGATTACAGGCATGTGGCACCATGCCCGGCTAATTTTTTTGTATTTTTAGTAGAGAAGAGGTTTCACCATGTTGGCCAGGCTGGTCTCGAACTCCTGACCTCGTGATCTGCTCGCCTCATCCTCCCCAAGTGGTGGGATCACAGGCATGAGCCCCCGTGCCCGGCTTCCCTCCCCTCCCCTCCCTTCCCCTCCCCTTCCCTCCCCTTCCCTTCGTTTCCTTTCCTTCCCAAAACAGGGCTTTGCTCTGTCACCCTGGCTGGAGTGTACTGGTACAATCATAGCTCCCCACAGCCTAGAACTTGGGAGCTCACATGAACCTCCTGCCTCAGCCTCCATGCCTGTCTAATTTTAAAATTTTTTGTAGAGACCGGATCTTACTATGTTGCACAAGCTGGTCTCAAACTCCTAGGCTCAAGCAATCCTCTCTCCTCAGCCTCCCAAAGTGCTGGGACTACAGGCATCAGTCATCACGCTTGGCCAACCATGTGAGTTTCTTTATCATGCTAGAGTAATTTGGCCATATGGAGGCTAATTTGAAAATGCATTAAGATGAAGCTACGGATGATAATTTTTAATTAACAAGAGAAATGAGTTGTTCTTTCTCTTTTCCAAATCATTCCACAAGCCAATCCCTCACATGAGGCAGGTGGTCGGCTGTCAGGGACAAAGATGCACTAATGAGAAGCCGACATTCTAGACTTCCAGACTATGGCTGACGATGACAATGTCTAACACTACCCCTAGGATTCTGTCTAAGGAGTTAATTAAATGTCAACCAAACAGCCTCCCTTGGGAAATAACAACCCACACAACCCACAGAATCAGAGAAAATGTCTACAAATCACATATCCAATAAGGGGCTTGTATCCTGAATATATAAAGAACTCTTACAACTCAACAATAAAATAGAGCTGTGTGTTATTTCAAAGAGCTGGAAATAAACTTTTTTTTTTTGTTTTTGAGACAGGGTTTCACTCTTGTTGCCCAGGCTGGAGTGCAATGGCGTGATCTCAGCTCACTGCAACCTCCCCCTCCTGGGTTCAAGCAATTCTCCTGCCTCAGCCTCCCAAGTAGCCTGGATTACAGGCACCTGCCACCATGCCCAGCTAATTTTTTGTATTTTTAGTAGAGACAGGGTTTCACCATGTGGGCCAGGCTGATCTCGGACTCCTGACCTCAGGTGATCTGCCCACCTCAGCCTCCCAAGGGCTGGGATTACAGGCGTGAACCACCTTGTCCGGCCGGACAGAAACTTTTGAAGCGGAAGCATCAAGGTAGCCTTCTCAACCATTCCCTTTCCTAGGATCTTGTATTTTTCATGCCTCTTTGCCATGGTTCACATTCAGACATTATGTGGATCCTACCACTTTGTGGCATGGGGCAGAGCTCACCAAGTCCCTTCTGGCTGGGGCAGGCCTGGAGTGGGGGATTTGGGGCTCTGGTGGTGATGGGAGAGCTGGAGAGGCCAGGAAGGGCAAGGCCAGGCAGTCCTTTCTGCAGAGGGAGAGTTCCCACAGCAGATGCCAGATGCCTCATCCCACTAATTCCAGGATGGGGCTGCTTGCATCACCACACTGTCCACTCACATTCACCTCTGAACATCTTAACTTTCCCAGAATGTCCTCCTCATACTGCACTCACTATTTTGTACTATTTTTGTTTTTTTATTTGTTTGTTGAGACATGGTCTTGCTCTGTCACTCAGGCTGGAGTGCAGTGGCGTAATCTTGGCTCAATGCCACCTCAACCTCCCCGACTCAAGTAAACCTCCCACCTCAGCCTCCCGGGTAGCTGGGAATACCAACATGCACCACCACGCCTGGCTAATTTTTAAGTTTCTTGTAGAGACGGGGTCTCACCATGTTGCCCAGGCTGGTCTCGAACTCCTGGGCTCAAGGGATCATCCTGCCTCGGGTCCCAAAGTGCTGGGATTACAGGTGTGAGGCACTGTGCCCGGCCTTGTGCTATTTTTGAGTTAGGCTGTTGATGGAAAGTCAGCAGATACTGTTTTCTGTTTCATAGTGATGCTTTGGACTTCCATTCTGCTCACTCATTTTATATCTCCAGAGATGGTATTTAGAGAGCAAGGGCTGGACACTTGGCAGACGCTCCGTAAACACAGATTGACTGATTGACTGATTGGTTGATTGATTATAGGCTCCCTGCTCTCTGCTTAGGTCTTGGTGGCAGAGCTAAGGGTAAATGCATCCATCTGACGGGGGGGGGGGGCGGGTGGGGGGGGGGGGCGGGTGGGCGGGGGTGGGAGGAGTGTGCTTTGTAAATTTGGAGAGTGGGCTGTGCTGCAACTGGCTTAAAGGTCTAGAAAACCAGCCAGGTACGGTGGCCCACGCCTGTAATCCCAGCATTTGGGAGGCTGAGGTGGGCAGATCACCTGAGGTCAGGAGTTCGAGACCAGCCTCACCAACATGGTGAAACCCCGTCTCTACGAAAAACACAAAAATTAGCCAGGTGTGGTGCCGCACACCTGTAATCCCAGCTACCTGGGAGGCTGAGGCAGGATAATTGCTTGAACCCAGGAGACAAAGGTTGCAATGAGCCAAGATTGCACCACTGCACTCCAGCCTGGGCGACAGAGTGAAAGTCAGTCTCAAAAAAAAGGACCAGAAAACCACTTCATCGGCTGGGAATGGTGGCTCACACCTATAATCCCAGCAATTTGGGAGGCTGAGGCGATTGGATCACTTGAGGTCAGGAGTTCAAGACCAGCCTGGCCAACATGGTGAAATCCTGTCTCTACTAAAAATACAAAAATTAGCTGGGCGTGGTGGCAGGCACCTGTAATCCCAGCTACTAGGGAGGCTTAGGCAGGAGAATTGCTTGAACCCAGGAGGCAGAGATTGCAGTGAGCCGAGATGGCACTACTGCACTCCAGCCTGGGCGACAAGCAAAACTTCGTCTCAAAACAAAAAGAAAAACAAAATGAAAACCATTTCATCTAAGAGATTCAGCTCTGAGTGATGAAGGGTTGTATGATCAAGACCAGAGAAGCATCAAAACACTTACAGCCTCAGGATGAAAATGTCATGGGGTTGCCAGGGGGTGGGCAGCAGAGTTCATTTGTAGCAGCTCCCGGGCTGCTCTGCAATGTTTTGTGGCTCAGGGCCATGTGTAGCCAAACAAAAACAAGTGTTATAGGCCTGCTGGTTTCTAGCTGAATTCACTATTCAGAAATATGGCCAGTTTTTTCCCCCTATGAGCTTCATAGTCTCCTACCACAAAGAAGCTAGCAGATTCATGGATTTGAACTGCACTGAGAAAATATAACTCTGCTGGTATTCTTGAACTTGCAGTGTTTGTCTTTAGGTTTTTTTTTTTTTTTTTTTTTTGAGATGGAGTCTCGCTGTGTAGCCCAGGCTGGAGTGCAGTGGCACGATCTCGGCTCACTGAAAGCTCTGCCTCCCAGGTTCACACCATTCTCCTGCCTTTGCCGCCCGAGTAGCTGGGACTATGGGCGCCCGCCACCACTTCTGGCTTATTTTTTGTATTTTTAGTAGAGACGGGGGTTTCACCGTGTTAGCCAGGATGGTCTCGATCTCCTGACCTCGTGATCCCCCGGCCTCAGCCTCCCAAAATGCTGGGATTACAGGTGTGAGCCACGGCACCTGGCCTTGTCTTTAGGTTTAATGTTAAACATTGAGGATACAAATTTCATTGTAAGTCAGAGACATTTTTAGCTGCCGTCCCTGCAGTTGGAGCTGACTCAGCAGACGTATGGTTTTTGATTTACTGTGCCTGGCAAAAGTTATTATACTGAGGCATGTACTTTATTATAAACTTTTCTTGTATAATAACAGACAATTTGGCCAGGCTAATTGCTAAATTAAGCTCATCCTAGTCAAGCTCAGCTGATTCATTTAAAAGGTTATTGACCATTGACATTTTTACAAGTGTTTAATCAGACTAGTAAGTACTCTTAAAATGGAAATTTTGTGACAAACACACTCTAAGCTTGATAAGTAAAAATATGCACCATAAAGCCCCACCCACCACCCACAAAAAGAAAAATTATAGCATATACATATATACACACACATCACCTTTCAGCTGAAATCCTATAATTTGTTACATATGATTATAGAACAAGAACAAATAAGAAAATGGTTCAGGCTCTGATGAAATTTTAATAATAAAGTATGTTAGAGTGGCCTGTAGCATGTTTAAATAAAGCTTAAAAGAAAATCACTCTGCCCTGATAGGTAATAAATGTAGAAACACACACCCTTGGCTGGGAGTGGTGGCTCACCCCTGTAATCCCAGCACTTTGGGAGGCCAAGGTAGGGGCAGATGACCTGAGGTTGGGAGTTCACGATCAGCCTGGCCAACATGGTGAGACCCTGTCTCTACTGAAAATAATTAGCCGGGCACGGTGGCAGATGCCTGTAGTCCCAGCTACTAGGGAAGCTGAGGCAGGAGAACCGCTTGAACTCAGGAGGTGGATGCTGCAGTGAGCCGAGATCGAGCCACTGCACTCCAGCCTGGGCGACAGAGCGAGACTTTGTCTCAAAAAAAAGAAAGAAAGAAATACACACCCTATTTTGTGTTTTCAAATGAATAAAATTCAGATGCAAAGGACTTCACCTTGAAGAGCCAAGGCCTTTTTTAGCTATCAAAGATATGGTCCTTTTGCAAGGAGATTTCAAAATCCATGCCACATATACCTGAAAAACATGAAGGCTTAATTGGCTGGTTTTCCTTATGTGATAATAAAATGATCTGTTCTCTAACCTCTCATTTTTATGCTTGGCAGGAATGTGACTGTACTCGAACCAAAAAGACATCTGCTAGCAATTTGCAGTCTCAGAGCAGCCCACGGTTTTATGGAGCTTCATCTGAAACTCTGATTCATTTTTGAAAAAGTTAGCTAATGCAAGTGGGGGTGAGGGCAGCCGGCTCCTTGCTGGGGGATCGGCAGAGGAGGAGTTGTTTCCGCCAGCCCAGGTTACAGTTCTGTGCTCTGTCTCCCAGGGTCTGTCCTGATGAACTCAGGGTTTCTGGGCTGCCCCAGAGTGGGCAGTGGTAGGTGGGAGGTGCCTGTGTTGGGCCTGAGATTTGGTGCTGAGAATTTGGTCTCCTGCTTAGCAGTCCTACTTTTCATTTAATTCAATTTTTACTCCTGTCTTACTCTGACAGATGGGTATATTCTACTTGATACAGAAAGTTTACAAACTCATAAAATTGGAACCGTACACGCATATGCACACAAGTGCACACACACACACGTGCATATGTATGCACACTCACACATGTGCATATGTATGCACACTCACACATGTACCCTGCAATTAAGGGAAAAGCAGCTCAGGCCTTGGCCTCACACAGAGAGGGCTTCCAATCCAGTTCAGTTACTCAGAGCTCTGTGACCTTAGGGAAATGAATTAACTTTCTCATTTCCTTATTTAGAAAATGAACATCATAATGCCTGCTTTGATGGAGATGACATGATATATGTAATGCTCCTGGAACAGAGGACAGTATTATTTTATATGGCCGGTGTACTTCTTCCTCCTGTCCCCCCTACTTTGTGCTATTTATTGGAAGATCTATTTTAGGTCCTGATGTTTGCACAGACCCATTCAGAGGACAGATTTGGAAATCTGGACAGATTTTCTTTTTCCTGTTGCCAGAAGGAAAACAAATGATAAGCCTGTTTTAGGTCTTACTTGTGGTGCAGTTTCCTCTCCACCTAAATATCTGCACGAGCCTACAGTGGAAAGAGATGAGCTTAGGCTGGGTGAGATTGGGAGCATTGCTTAATTGCTTTGAACTTGAGTTTGTTCAGATAGAAACCAAAGAAATTAATATCTAACTTGCAGGACCATTTCCATAAGATAAATAATATATGTAATACAAATGGTTGTTGCTTTTTACTCTCATATTGCCTAGTATTTTTTTCTCTTTTATTTTGTATTAGGAATTCAATGTGGAATCGCTTAATATTTCTTTTTCTTTCTTTCTTTCTTTTTTTTTTTTTTTGAGACAGAGTTTCGCTCTTGTTGTCCAGGCTGGAGTGCAATGGCACTATCGTGGCCCACTGCAACCTCCGCCTCCCAGGTTCAGGCGATTCCCCTGCCTCAGCCTCCCGAGTAGCTGGGACTACAGGCGCGCACCACCACGCCCAGCTAATTTTTGTATTTTTAGTAGAGACGGGGTTTCACCATGTTGGCCGGGATGGTCTGGATCTCTTGCCTCGTGATCTGCCCGCCTCGGCCTCCAAAAGTGCTGGGATTACAGGCGTGAGCCACCATGCCCAGCCTCCTAACTCTTTATAAACCAGAAAACATTTCTTAGAACTCCCTCCCCATTCCCTCTTATTTTGCATATGGCCAGAAATGGGCACAACCACGTCCCTAGATAAATCACTGCCTGGGGGAATGGAGCCATTAGAACTGGCTGAAAATGCTGAGGTTTGCCTCTGAGCCTTAGAGGAGATGTGTGGACACCATGACAAAACTAGGGCTTTCCCAGCAAAGGAGAAATTGGGGAGTGGCGGTGGCTGGCCGTGCGGCATGTGCGTCGCACCAAGTGACATGCTCCAGTTTGCTTTGGAAGCTTTTCTGTTCTTGTGAAGGTACTGATGGCCTTTCCCTGTTCCCCTTGCAGATGAAGTGGGAGTCCCTCAGTCCCTGACATTTCCCCAGCCTCACAGAGACGTGCAGAGGCCACTGATCGTGACGTGAGATCTGCCTTCAGTGGCTCCCTGTGGCCAACAGGCGGGCTGCGTCAACTGTCGGGCACCAGCCTCGTCCTCTTCGACATGCTCCGTGCATCCTGACAGGGTGGTCTGTAATTTCAGCCTCAGAGGTCAGGCTCTCACGCCCTTCCGAGTGGAGTGCCTCGGCAGCGGGTTGTTATTTCAGGACGCCGAATCAGTCTCAACACTGGGGGCCAAGACTCTTCACAAATGTGTCTTCCGGGGAAAGGTTTATCCACCAGGACGCCCCATGTGTTTGTGAATCTGACTTGGGAATCTCCGGTGAAATGAGGTCCATTTCAGTCATATCTGTTCTTATGGTTTAAACTCCGGCTAACATTTCTTTATCTCGAGTGTCTGGATGAGATGAAGGCTGTAGGGCTTACAATACATATCCAGCAACGCTAAGGCGTCTTGGAATTTTGGTGGAAAAGATGATGCGAGCCATCACGATACTCAGAGCAATTCTCCTGTCTTTTGAAAAATAGAATTTGCTTCCTGCCACAGCCCCAGGTGTCCTGATCAGATTAGAAGTACTCCAGTTTATGTCCAGCCCAGATTTTGAAAACTGATCTGCTGTGACGATCTCCTGGTTTTCTAATTTGCATGTCTCCCTGCTTCTACCCAATGTGGTGAAGGCCGCTGCAATCACCCAGCCCCATCCGAGGGAAGGCAGGGAAGGCGGATGCAGGCCTGGGCAAGTGCTCTGCAAGCTTGCTCTCTTTGTGTCCTGGATGAAGTGAGCGTCTCTCTTCTAATCCATGTAGACTCAGCATCTAGGAAGAAGCAAGAGTCGATTCTTTGTAATACAGGCTGAAAATCTCCCAATCCTTTGCTTCCTACCTTGTTTTTATCTATAAACTTGATTTTCGTTTCCTCTGAAAATTCCCCATCAAACCAAATCCTTCTCCCCTAATTCCTCCCTGCATTTAACACGATTCACCTTTGCCTGTGTGTTGTAGGATAAACAGCCCGCTGCCTCAGTGAGAAGAATGACAAACAGAATAATTTAAAAAACAACCAACTGACAAATCTGAACAAGCTTTGGTGGTGAGGACCCGATTAATTACACTTGTCCACACCCAAGCTTGGCAGAAGGGGGTGCCCTGGGAATGTCTGCAGAAGCCAACCCCGTGCCTGAGGGGTCAGGGGTCAGGGTTGACAGCCCTTCCCTGAAGCTGGATACTCCCAGCCCGGGAGTAACTCCAGCCTGAAAGAGAACTAATTGAGGATGCTTCTTCTAAAGGTAGTGACTGCTATGTTCTGTCTGCTGGGTTCCCTTTAGAGTTCATGGGATACATTCCATCCAGTTGCAGGGCAAAGAGAGGGCCTTGGGGTAACCATTAGTTCTAGGCATGGAAACCTGGGCTTACAAGCAAGTGCTCAACCGGGTGCAGCCGAAAAAGGGAGAAATCCTGGAAATACAGGATAGTCGAGTTCCTCCTGGGAGCTTGGCAGTCATGATTTAGACAACATGCACCTAAGAATATGCTGATTTTACAAATACCTCAGCTAACTTGTGGTAGAAATACCAGATACCATGTGGGTCCCCAGCTGCAGTACTAATAGGCTAGGCTGCCTATTGAAGCCATCAAAAGTCACTTACACTGTGTAATATGGGAGACGCCAAATGCTTACTAGGCCCCCCACCCCAATGTCCTTCCTCTTAACAGGACACAATACCTCTAATGCCTGAATCTTTTATTTAAAGGAGCTAAAAGTGAAGGAAGTCCACAATTAAAACACAAATATGGGCTGGGTGTGGTGGCTCATGCCTATAATCTCAGCACTTTGGGAGCCCAAGGCAGGAGAATCTCTTGAGCCCAGGAGTTTGAGACCAGCCTAGTCCACATAGCAAGACCCCATCTCTGCAAAACAAACAAAAAATACACAAATGTGTTACACCGAAGGGCATCACAGAACCCCATAATCATCCATTAAAGATCACTGGAAATGTTGTTTATCTGAGGAGGCAGCTAGTCATAGGGGGGACCTCTTGAATAAGGGCCAGGAATCTCCCAGTTTTGAAGGAAGGTTCTGGAACTCTCTGGTAGTTTCTTTCTTTTTTTTTTTTTTTTTTGAGACGGAGTCTTCCTCTGTCACCCAGGCTAGAGTGCAGTGGTGCGATCACGGCTCAGTGTGCAACCTCTGCCTCCTGGGTTCAAGTGATTCTCCTGCCTCAGCCTCCCGAGTAGCTAGGATTATAGGTATGCACCACCATGCCCAGCTAATTTTTGTATTTTTAGTAGAGATGGTGTTTCACCATGTTGACCAGGTTGGTCTTGAACTCCTGACCTCGGGTGATCCACCTGCCTCGGCCTCCCAGAGTGCTGGGATTACAGGCGTGAGCCACTGTGCCCAGTCTCTCTGGAACTTTCTGATACTATATAAAAAGAGGCAGTAGGAGCAGTGAATGGCCTTGTGCTGCCTGCTGAAGAATGAACCCACGAAGGAATGTGCATTAAGGGTGTGGTGTTGGGCAGCTATCTGGGAGAGGAACACGGCCATTGGCTGATTCCAGGTCCAGCACCCAGGGTTCACCTGAGGCAACTGGTCCATACTCGAAGTTGTGTCAGATTGCATTTTCTAAACAGTGGTCACAAAATTGTCCCCACATTATTCCCATGTAATTTTTTGAAAGTTATTTGTTTCTTATGATTTTTGCATTAATACATGAGATGCATTTGTAGTTTTCTTGGTTGAAGTGTGCCATCTCAGGTTCTGAAATCAATGTTATATTTCATAAAATAATTCAAGCATGTTCCTTCTTTTCTACATGCTAGAACAATTTACACAGAATTGAGTACTACCTGCTCTTTAAAGATATCTTAGAATGCCCCTGTGACACTAGTTGGGCATTTCTGAGGGAACTCTTTGGCAACTTTTTCTCTTTGTTGTATGAGAATCAGAATGCTTTGATTTTTTTTCTTTGGGATCCATTTTGCTAAATTATATTTTCCAAGAAAATTGTATTTTTCATCCAAGTTTTCAAATTTTACTTTCATGGAGTTGACCAAAGTATTTCCTTATGGTTGTTTTAATTTAATATAGTTTCGTGGTTTTCTCTTAGTCTTTCTTATTTTGTACATTTGCATTTTCTACTTTTTTTTTCTGTATTAAGTTAGCTAGTGCTTTTCTATTCTTTAATTCTTTTCCCCAAAGATTCAGTTTACTTCTTTTTTTTCTGTTTTCTAATTCACTAAGTTAGAAAGTTCTGTTTTTATTTTTATTAATTCATTCTTTCTACATCCCTTCAGTTTATTTTATTGTTCTTTTTCTAAGCTAGATGCTTGGTTCATTTGGTTTTTATTTATTATTTATTTAAGTATTTAAACCTATGAATTTATCTTCCACTACTACCTTAACACTATCTCATAGATTCCAAGGTGTGGAAAATGTATTGTTTTTGTTATTTTTATTTTCTAGAAGTCCTGTGATTTAGGTTAATATTATATTTTGATCCAAGAGTTAAGAAGAATTTCTTTAAATTCATATAGGATAAACTTTAAAGATGTTCAGGTGAAAAGGAATTTTTGTTATCTGTTTTTAAAAATTAATTTATCATTTTATTGCATTGTGACCAAAGAAGGCTGCCTATGCTGTTTCTATGTTCTGGAATGTATTGAGGTTTTTTTCGTGGCCTCATATGTGGTCAGTTTTCCTGAATGTTCTATTCTTGAATATTCTTGAAATAAGAATATGCTCTATGTGTAGAGAATATGTATATATATATATGAACGATCATGTTTAACATAGATTATATGAGAGTTCTATATTATTGATTTCATTTTTATTAATTTGATTTGTCATAGACTATAGAGTCAGGAATGAAACCAGCGTGATTCTGTTTCTTTCTCCTTTTGTATCCTGTAATTCCAAGTTTATGAGTGCCATTGCATTGTTATTTGGTACTCAGTTATTTATAACTATTATATCATTATATCTTCACTGTGAATCATACCCTTTAGCATTACAAGGTGTTTTTATTGGTCTTACTTAATCTTTTTTTTTTTTTGGCCTGAACTCCAATTTACCTAAAATTAAATTAAAGCCATGACCTGGCCGGTCACAGTGGCTCATGCTTGTAATCCCACCACTTTAGTAGGCCAAGGTGCGTGCATTACCTGAGGTCGGGAGTTTGAGACCAGCCTGACCAACATGGAGAAACCCCGTCTGTACTAAAAAGACAAAATTAGCCGGTGTGGTGGTGCATGCCTCTAATCCCAGCTACTTGGGAACCTGAGACAGGAGAATCACTTGAACTTGGGAGGCAGAGGTTGTGGTGAGCCGAGATCGCGCCATTGCATTCCAGCCTGGGCAACAAGAGCGAAACTCCGCCAAAAAAAAGAAAAAAACCATGACCTTTGCTTTCTTCTGGTGCACTCTCCCTTAATACAGCTTTACTCATCTTTTCATTTTCAATATTCTGTTCTAGTTGTGTTTCAGGTAGAGAGAATTATGTTTTGCCTTATGATTTAACTTAAAAATATTTTTCTCTTAGTTGGGATGCTAACCCCATTTGTATTCATAGATGTGACTAAGGTATGTTTAGTCTTAGATCTGTTATATTGTTTTCCATTTTTTTAAAATTTGTCTATTTGCTTTTGCTTTGTTTTTTATATGTAGTTCTTCTGATATTTAGAAAGATTAGTATATTTAGAAAGATTAGTATATTAGTATATTTAGAAAAATTAGTATATTTTTTCTAGTAGACACCTTTATAATAACTTTATTTTATTTTGTAATTTAGTTTTTATTTTTGTTTTTATTTATTTTTTTTTGAGATGGAGTCTTGCTCTGTCACCCAGGCTGGAGTGCAGTGGCGTGATCTTGGCTCACTGCAGCCTGCCTCCCAGTTTCAAGTAATTCTCCGGCCTCAGCCTCCCAAGTAGCTGGGACTACAGCCATGTGCCACTATGCCCAGCTAATCTTTTGTATTTTTGGTAAAGATGGGGTTTCACTGTGTTAGCCAGGATGATCTTGATCTCCTGACCTTGTGATCCGCCTGCCTCAGCCTCCCAAAGTGCTGGGATTACAGGAGTGAGCCACCAAGCCCGGTCCTTATTTATTTATTTTTTTAGATGGAATCTCACTCTGTTGCCCAGGCTGGAGTACAGTGGCACAATCTTGGCTCATTGCAACCTCCACCTCCTGGGTCCAAGCAATTCTCCCACCTCAGCCTCCTGAGAAGCTGGGACTGCAGGCGTGTGCCACCATGCCTGGCTAATTTTTATATGTTCCAGTAGAGACTGGGTTTCACTATGTTGGCCAGGCTGGTCTCAAACTCCTGACCTCAAGTGATCCACCCACCTCGGCATCCCAAAATGCTGGGATTATAGGCGTGAGCCACTGCTTCCGGCTATAACGATACATTTTTTTTTTTTTTTTTTTTGAGACAGAGTTTCGCTCTTGTTGCCCAGGCTGGAGTGCAGTGGTGCGATCTCAGCTCACCCCAACCTCCGCCTCACAGGTTCAAGCAATTCTCCTGTCTCAGCTTCCCGAATAGCTGGGATTACAGGCAGGCACCACCACACCCGGCTAATTTTGTATTTTTAGTAGAGATGGGGTTTCTCCATGTTGGTCAGGCTGGTCTCGAACTCTCGACCTTAGGTGATCCACCCACCTCGGCCTCCCAAAGCGCTGGATTACAGGCATGAGCCACCGCGCCCGGCCAACCTTTGTTCTTTTAATATGTTTACACTTTTGTTACTTGAGCTGTCAATTTTAGTATCAGTCAGGGTCTAGAAAAACAGAAACCCCACTAAAGCCTTTAAAGCTTTAGGTTTTAAAGGCTTTAGGCTGGGCGTGGTGGCTCATGCCTGTAATCCCAGCATTTTGGGAGGCCGAGGCGGGTGGATCACCTGAGGTCAGGAGTTCAAGACCAACCTGGGCAATATGGTGAAACCCGTCTCTACAAAAATACAAAAAAAAAAAAAGAATTAGCTGGGCGTGGTAGCATGGGCTTGTAGTCCCAGCTACTTGGGAGGCCGAGGCAGGAGAATCGCTTGAACCCAGGATGCGGAGGTTGCAGGGAGCTGAGATCGTGCCATTGCACTCCAGCCTGGGTAACAGAACAAGACGCTGTCTCAAAAAAAAAGAAAGAAAGAAAAGAAAAAGCAACAACAACAAAAAACTAATGATTGACTTTAATTCAGGAAATTGGCTACATGGGTGGTAGAAGAGTCAAGAAGCCAAATGAGACCGGGTAGGAACCCACAGATTAGTAACACCAGAAAGCCATGACTTCCTCTAGGTGGGTGGGAGAAGGTGGTGTGACTGTTTGGGGACAGGGGTTACCTGGTAGTAGCTGTGACCTAAGAAAAATGTGTGGGCCGGGTGCAGTGGCTCACACCTGTAATCCCAACACTTTGGGAGGCTGAGGTGGGCGGATCGCCTGAGGTCAGGAGTTTGAGACCAGCCTGGCCAACACGATGAAACCCGGTGTCTACTAAAAATACAAAATTAGTGAAACTCTGTCTCAAAAAGAAAAGAAAAGAAAAGAAAAATGTTGTGGGGTAGGAGCTTTAGCCCCAGAGGCAATGCACCTGCTACTGGCAATGTTGCCCAAGCTTCTCTCCTTCTTGTCACTTTCCAGTTGTCCTCTTGTGTCTTGACATGGCTGACCCAGAAAAACAACAGGAGACACAGGAGCTATGAAACACAGCTTGCAGGGCCCAGCCTTCTCTTGACACTGATCAGAGCAGCAAAGGGGTGAGGACTGGATCTGAGGGCAAGGGGGCAAAGGACCAGGTTTAAATGGTACCCTTTGACGACCAGTTTCTACTTTTTTTTTTTTTTTTTTTTTTTGAGATGGAGTCTTGCTCTGTCGCCAGGCTGGAGTGAAGTGGCGCGATCTCAGCTCACTGCAACCTCCACCTCCCAGGTTCAAGCAATTCTCCTGCCTCAGCCTCCCAAGTAGCTGCGACTACAGGTGCACGCCACCATGCCCAGCTAATTTTTATATTTTTAGTAGGGAGGGCATTTCACCATGTTGGCCAGGATGGTCTTGATATCTTGACCTCGTGATCCATCCAGCTTGGCCTCCCAAAGTGCTGGGATTACTGGCGTGAGCGACAGCGCCCAGCTGACCAGTTACTACTGATGACATGTTCATGAGCTTATCCTCCTTCTTACCTCATTTCCCCAATCACTGTTTGTGTCGGTGGCATCCTTTCTGCATTGCCAAGCATATGCCATTTTCAGTCTGTTCTGTCACCCTCCTTCCACCCCATCTGTTTTAGTCTTAGTTCCGTGGCTCTGGATATTCAAGACCCACCCAGAGTATCTTACCCTCATTACTCCAATTATTTCTTACTCAGCTAAAATAGACACCCTATTGTCCTTAAGTAGTCCTTAAATAGTGTCCTTAAGGATGACACAAGGATCAATATACTCTGCATCTTGGCCGGGTGTGGTGGCACACACCTATAGTCCCAGCTACTCGGGTAGCTGAAGCAGGAGAATCGCTTGAACCCGGCAGGGCGGAGGTTGCAGTGAGCCAGGATCGCACCACTGCACTCTAGCCTGGGCGACAGAGTGAGTGACAGACACTGTCCCAAAAACAAAACAAACAAAACAAAACAAAACAAAACAAAAACTGCATCTCTAGACTTACACCTAAGGACAGTTAGGCTCAGCAGGCCGCTCTTGTCCCTTTCTTTCCTTAAATATCTTGTGAGTGTTGTTCTACTGTTTAATATGGGTTAAAATAACACACAAAGGAATCCAAGGCCAGCCTGAGTTTTCCCCTTTTGTAAATAACTAGATTTTTGTGTGCTGGGCTGCCCAAAAAAGCCTATCATTTCATTAAAAGTTCAATGACTTTTCTAGAATATTTGTCTATGACTATTTGGGGTCAATTTTCTTTTTTTGTATCTGTGACAGGGTCTTGCTCTGTTGCCCAGGCTGGAGGGCAATGGCATGATCATGGCTCACTGCAGCCTCAAACTCGTGGGCTCAAGTGATCCTCCCGCCTCAGCCTCCCAAAATGTTGGGATTACGGGCGTGAGTAACCACGCCAGGCCTGGGTAATTTTGATTGACTTATCTTGCATTTCATTTAGTCTTTCCTCTGATGAGATTTTCTATTTGCTGAGACTTTCTTCAGTTGAAAACATGTGTCTTTTACTTTACTGACAGTAGTTACAATATCTACTTTAAAATCCTGTCTGTGAGTTTCAACTGGGTTCAAATTGGGATGTGGCTTGATTGATTCTCTTTTTTCTTGAGAATGAATTCCATTTTCTCTTTTCTTTTTCTTTTTTTTTCTTTTTTTTTGAGAGAGTCTCGCACTGTCACCCAGGCTGGAGTGCAGTGGCACGATCTCAGCTCACTGCACACTTCGCCTCCCAGGTCCAAGGATTTTCCTGCCTCAGCCACCTGAGCAGCTGGGACTACAGACACATGCCACCACGCCCAGCTAATTTTGTATTTTTAGTAGAGACGGGGTTTCACCATGTTGGCCAGGCTGGTCTCAAACTCCTGACTTCAGGTGATCCACCCGCCTCGGCCTCCCAAAGTGCTGGGATTACAGGTGTGAGCCACCACGCCTGGCCAAATTCCATGTTCTTGATTCTTCATATGACAGGTAATTTTGGATTGATCCTGGAATTCAAATATTAAATTGTGGAGATTCTGGATTCTGTTATTTTTCTCCAATGCGTGTTTTTCCCCCTTTGTGTTAGTAGGAAATTTTAGCGTGAAGAGTATCTCTTGGATGGTAGCTGTGTTCTCAGTTTAGATTTAATTTCCTGAGCTGGGCTGCTTTAAGCCTGTTTCACATATGTGTGCCTCTGGGGTCTGTGAGAGATATAATTTGAGCATCCCATTTCTAAATGTTTCCCTCTGGGACCCTCTCATTCTCTTCAGCTTTCCTGGTTTTCTGGCTTCATTTTTCTTGCTCCCCATGCCAGAAAACCTGTGGATTTGCCATGTCTACTGGCCTTCATGCTACACGGACTGCACACGGCCACAGGCAAAAAGCCACAGAGATGGGATTTGCTTGTCTGGCTCTCTCCCTGCATGCACCAGCACTCCAGCTGCACTCCTCACCCGCCACCGTCACCTTCCGTTCATGCTCCAGGACTTTCCCGTCGTTGCTTTTCATGTCATGTTCGGGTTTGATCATTGTTTTCTACGGGGGAGGTGTCTATATTCAAGTCCAATATACCCAGGGCAAAATCTAGACTGAAGTTTTGATATCAGAATAGACACGATTAGACTTTTAGCACCTGAAAAAGAGACTTCCTGTTATTACCTGAAAGTCACTGAATATAACGTTGTTTCTCTGAGTGGGGGGAAAACTTCAAATAGTGTGTATTTGAAAAAAAAAAAAGGGCAATGGCTGGGCGCAGTGGCTCATGCCTATAATCCCAGCACTTTGGGAGGCTGAGGCAGGTGGATGGCTTGAGTCCAGGAGTCCGACACCAGCCTGGCCAGCACGGTAAAACCCCATCTCTACTAAAAATACAAAAATTAGCCAGCCTTGGTGGTGTGCACCTGTAATCCCAGCTACTCGGGAGGCTGAGGCAGGAGAATCGCTTGAACCTGGGAGGCAGAGGTTGCAGTGAGCCAAGATTGCATCACTGCACTCCAGCCTGGGTGACAGAGCGAGAGTCTGTCTCAAAAAATAAAATAAATAAAAAATAAAAAAGGTTCTCTCTGTCAACTTATTAATTATACTGGGTGCAAGTGGAGAAAAGCATTTATTTATTTTCCACTCCACACACACATTGCTATTCAATACCCCCAATCTTATCAATAGGGTTATAGCACAGTTTTTGTTTAATTAATTTTAATTGTTTACATTTTATGATCTGTATAGTATTCTTCATAACAGAGCCATTGAGTATACTATGAATACATTTTTTGTCTTGTTCTATTCCCCCCTAGAGATGGTAATTGATTTGAACGTCTTTGTTTCTACATTTGAGTTTTTGTTCACTTGGTTTCACATTTGCCTATTATGCCACCTTCTAACTTTCTCAACACAGCACAGTAAGTCCCTTAATAAATTCAGAATCATTGTTATCTATTGGCTTTTATTTTGTTGAATAATTTTTATTTGAATATTTTGTTGAATAATTTTTATTATTTTTATTGTTATCTTACTGTTTTTCTCCCTTGAGAATTCTTGATCTTTCTTGCACGCCCCGCCTCCAGCTCCCCCTCTGTCCTGGTTGCTCTCTGTGGAGCCGTCATCCCAGGAGGCTTTTCCCACCACCCTGGGGGTTCCTTCTCCACCTCCTGTGCTGGACTTCCTGCTGTCTTCATCCTGTGTCTTTTTTTTTTTTTTAGTGTATTCCCTCTTTTAAATGAGGTATATCCTCTAGGATATTCGTAATCTTCTTAAAAATTTATTTCCTGGCCAGGTGCAGTGGCTTATGCCTATAATCCCAGCACTTTGGGAGGACAAGGTGGGTGGATCACCTGAGGTCGGGAGTTTGAGACCAGCCTGGCCAAAATGGTGAAACCCCGTCTCTACAAAAAATATAAAAATTAGCCAGGCGTGGTGGTGCACACCTGCAGTCTCAGCTATTTGGGAGGCTGAGGCGGGAGAATCACTTGAACCCGGGAGGCAGAGGTTGTAGTGAGAAAAGATTGTGCCACTGTACTCCAGCCTAGGTAACAGAGCAAGACTCTGTCTCAAAAAAAAAAAAAAATTATTTCCTCATTTAAATGAGATATATCTTCTAGGATAGTCCTAAGAAATAGTACATAAGACATAATATTTTGAAACTTTACCAGTCTAAAAATGTCTTTATTATACCTCCTGTTTGATTGATAGTTTAGTTAGGTAGATTCTTAACCCTTGAGTCTCTGCTGCTTATATTATGGAATGATATTTACAATGAGCAAAAGCAAACAACCTTACAAAGAAGTAAAGTTGTCTAAGTAAGGAAGTTCTGGTGGATTTTTCTTTTTCTTTTCTTTTCTTTTTTCTTTTTGGATGGAGTCTTGCTCTGTCATTTGGGCTGGAGTGTAGTGGCACGATCTCGGCTCACTGCAACCTCCGCCTCCCAGGTTCAAGCGATTCTCCTGCCTCAGCCTCCCAAGTAGCTGGGACTACAGGTGCATGCCACCACGCCCAGCTAATTTTTGTATTTTTAGTACAGACGGGGTTTCACCATGTTGGCCAGGATGGTCTCCATCTCTTGACCTCGTGATCCACCCGCCTCAGCCTCCCAAAGTGCTGGGATTACAGGCATGAGCCACCGCGCCTGGCCCTGGTGGACTTTTCTACCTCACACAAGCAGTGGACTTTATGTTTTCTTTTGTTGAGGTTATGGTTTTGGAATGGAGGTGACTATGTTGTATTTGTCTGTAAGCATCACTTACTTAGGGGACTCACCTCTCTCCCATTTCTTGTGGATCTGATCAATCACAGTATCCTCCATCTGACCACAGGGATCAGGAGGCTGAGCTGGGAGGATTGCTTGAGCCCAGGAGCTGGAGGCTGCAATGAACTATGATTGTGCCACTGCACTCTAGCCTGGGTGACAGAGCAAGACCCCATCTCTAAAAAAAAAAATAAAATAAAACCCAAAAGTTATCAAGTGATGGAACGGGATTCAAGTAGAACACTTGTCTCATTGTCACCACCCCCTGCCACCCCAGGATGACTCAAGGTTAATGACATGAGTGTGGGTTGTAGGTGGTTGATTTTGTTATTAGCATTTTTTTTTTTTTTGAGATGGAGTTTTGCTCTTGTTGCCCAGGCTGGAGTGCAATGGCACTGTCTCGGCTCACTGCAACCTCTGCCTCCCAGGTTCAAGCGGTTCTCAGCTTCCCAAGTAGCTGGGATTACAGGCGCCTGCCACCACACCCAGCTAAATTTTGTATTTTTAGTAGAGATGGGGTTTCACCATGTTGGCCAGGCTGGTCTTGAACTCTTGACCTCAGGTGATCCACCCACCTCAGTCTCCTGAAGTGTTGGGATTACAGACGTGAGCCACTGTGTCCGGCCTGTTATTATCATTATTATATTTGTTTGCTATAAGCAAAAACAACATTAAAAGTATATGAAGAATATAAAGCAAAACTGAAAAGGAGAAAGGTTTGTTGGGTATTTTTTTTTCTCTGTCTCACAATTAAAAAAAAAATAATGGCTCCATGGCAGTTTAACTGTATCTGTTTATATTCTCTGGGGAAACAGGAAAGGAAGCTCAGTTTGGTTTGGGTCAGAAAATGAGTGTTGTTTAATTGGGATTTAAAATTTTCCCGGTTCTATTCATGGAACATACTGGAATAAAATGTAAGGAGTTGACAACTCTCAGTGACATATAATCAATTTCGTAGTTTGTAGTATTATTATTATCCACCCTCAGGATAGTGGATGGTTTTATAGGCATGTATTTACACCTGTAGATCTCTGTTCTTTTTTCTACTTGTTTAGAAAATAAGAACACAAAACACGACAGCATGAAATGCATGCAATGTGGGAAACAAAGACACAAGATCAGGTTGTGCATTCGTTGTTAGGGGAAAAAAAAGGACTCCTATTACTAAGAACTACAAAAGAAAGCAGCAAACGGTGTTCCTGTGGGAGTCACATTAGACCATCACTAAGGATATTTAAAGCTACTGAGAGCAAAATGCCTGGTGGTGTCCTGAGTGTTGCAGTCCTGGGGAGACGGCAGCTTGGCTGATAACATCACACAGCATCCAGCTCCACTCTCTATCACGGTGTTTCATGTAGAAACCCCACTTCGTGTAGCCAATGGCATAATTTAGGTTACACACTTAGGTTGATGACTTTTAAAGTGCCATTTTCACCCTTGATCAGCTTTAACCAGTCAAGCTTTTGGAGAGAAAATGAAGAGTATTTTTGTTTCATTTTCAAGTCAAAGCACATGCATTTGTAATGTCAATGAAATCCAGAAGGGGCCAGGAGCACTGGCTCATGCCTGTAATCCCAGCACTTTGGGAGGCCGAGGCAGGCAGATCACCTGAGGTCAGGAGTTCAAGACCAGCCTGGCCAACATGGTGAAACCTCGTATCTACTAAAAATACAAAAATTAGCTGGGCGTGGTGGCACACGCCTGCAATCCCAGCTACTCGGGAGGCTGAGGCAGGAGAATTGCTTGAACCCAGAGGTGGAGACTGCAGTGAGCCAAGATCACAGCACTGCACACTCCAGTCTGGGTGACACAGTGAGATTCTGTCTCAAAAAAAGTAAAAAAGAAAAAAAAAATCCAGAAGGTTAGGGAGCCAGAGGCTGAGGTACACCGTGGGAAGTGTGTCCATTTGGGAAGCAGGGTCCCCGGCCAGGCCTTTGAGGAAGGAAAGGTATCACAGAGGAATTGTGTCTGTGGAGTCCAAAAGGTGGGAGAAAGTGGCTTCACGAAATTGTTGGGTGGAATTTGGGATGAGACATCACGGGAAAAGATCCACAGGAAATAATGGATGCTAGCTTTCTGAGTGTTCAGTATGAATGATTTAAACCCAATGGATGTCATACTAGTGAAGTCACATTTCCAGTATAATAACTGACATGTCCAGAATCCGACCATTTCTCACCACATTTGCTGCAACCTCCGTGGTCCCCACCACCCAAATGTCTCACTTGCATGGTTGCCATGGCTCTCTGATTGATCTGTCTCCCTGTGTGCACGCTTGTCTCCTTCAGACCAAGGTGCTGTAAAAATATGCAGGAAGAGCCAGGTGTGGTGGCACACGCCTGTAAACCTAGCACTTTGGGAGGCTGAGGCCGGTGGATGACTTGAGGTCAGGAGTTCGAGACTATCCTGGCCAAGATGGTGAAACCCAGTCTGTACTAAAAATACAAAAATTAGCCAGACATGGTGGTAGGCGCCTGTAATCCCAGCTACTTGGGAGGCTGAGGCAGGAGAATCCCTTGAACCCAGGAGGCGGAGGTTGCAGTGAGCCAAGATCGTGCCACTGCACTCCAGTGTGGGCAACAGAGCAAGACTCTGTCTCAAAACAAAACAAAACAAAACAAAGGCAGAAAGAATGCCAGGCTCTAGTCTCTACTGGCTGAAGAACAGCTCTGCTTCAGACTATCACCAACAGAACAGCCAGGGTGACCCTGTGACAGTGTTGGTCTGATTGTGCCACTCCTAACACCAGAACCTCTGCACAGCTGCCTATTTCACTCAGAAAGTAAGTCAGTCTTGGCCGGGCACGGTGGCTCACACCTGTAATGCCAGCACTTTGGAAGGCCGAGGCAGGCGGATTACCTGAGGTCAGGAGTTCCAGACCAGCCTGATCAACATGGAGAAACCCCGTTTCTACTAAAAATACAAAATGAACTGGGTGTGGTGGCAGGCACCTGTAATCCCAACTACTTGGGAGGCTGAGGCAGGAGAATCGCTTGAACCCAGGAGGCGGAGTTTGCAGTGAGCTGAGATCGCGCCATTGCACTCCAGCCTGGACAACAAGATCGAAACTCCATCTCAAAAAAAAAAAAAAAAGAAAGAAAGTCAGTCTTGACAGTGACCCCCTGCACATTCCCTCCCATGAGCACGCATCTCCCACTGTGCCCCCTCCTCATTCTGTTTCCTCGATGTTTTCTCTCCCAACTCATTTTCCCAGGGCCTGTGTACCTGCTGTTCCCACTTCCTCTGCAAGATACTGGAACTGTCCTCTAATTCCTTCACATCGTTACAAAAATGTCACTTTGAGCAGAGTGTGGTGTTGCACATCTGCAGTCTCAGCTATTCGAGAGGCTGATGTGGAGGATTGCTTGAGCCCAGGAGTTTGAGGCCAGCCTGGGCAACACAGGAAGACCTCATTGCTTAAAAAAAAAAAAAAAGGTCACCTTCACATGAGCCCTTTCAGGCCATCCCTAGTTAATGTTGAAACCCCTATAGTCAAAACCCTCGACCCCATCCCCTGATTTATTTTCCTTCATAGTTCTGATGATTAAATCTGTTGGGTTAGCTGCTTAACCTCAATACTACAGTGCCTGGCACATTGTGGGCACTCTATAGATGTTTGTTGAGTGAACAAATGATCAAATGAAGGCATGAATAATGGTGAGTAAAAGAAAGCAGTTCCACAATTTATGTCATAATGATGCTGTGGAGGTTAGACTAGAGAGAGGATTACAGGAGTAAAAATGGGCCAAAGTCATATATATATTTAGCAGGATAAACTGAACAAAGGGATTCTATCAACAGGTCAGGATAATGTTTATATTAGAAAAACCTAGCCATTTTTCAAAAGTAAATAATATCTCCTAAAGGCATTATAATATGATAAAGGAATAATAGAAGAAGTGCATTTTTTCTGCTAAGAGCCCATATTAAGACAGGCTTAAAATAACATAAAATTGATTGGGGGAAATTGGGTCTTTGGAGCAGAGAGAGATGCAGATAACCATCCATGTCCCTACCTGTCCAGGCCCCAGGAACATGAGTTTCAGGGGAATAAAGCAGCTTCTGCTGAGAGGGACAGGACGGGTATGTATTTATCCAGCCAGCCATGGGCAAAATTGGGAAATCATCATAAAAGCCTTTATGCAGTGCTTTATGGTTTGAAGAGAGCTTCTTTGTATGCAATACATTTTCTTGATCCTCAAAGAAACCCTATGAGGTTGGGAGATAGGAAAAACTGATTTTCAAGAAAAGATGTGACCCAGATTGCCAGCTATCATCATCCAGCAACCTGTGCCTCCAGCCCAGATACCCTGCCTGCAGCCTCTGAGCTTTGCCCAGGACCTCCCCCTTGTCCTCTCCCTTCCTGCAGGAAGGTTGCCCTCCCCTAAGCATCCGGGTTCTGAGTCTTGGCTCCCCTCCCCTGCTAACACAATACACAGTCACTATAGCTGCTATTTCTCACTTCCAGGCACTTCACTCAACCCAGGACTCCAGCTAATACCCCCAACAACTTTCTGTAGCTCACGGGGTACTGTTTTTTGTGTGTTTTTGTTTTGCTTTGTTTTGTTTTGACAGTCTCGCTCTGTCGCCAGGCTGGAGTGCAGTGGCATGATCTTGGTTCACTGCAACCTCCGCCTCCCAGGTTCAAGTTATTCTTCTGCCTCAGCCTCCTGAGTAGATGGGACTACAGGTGTATGCCACCATGCCCACCTAATTTTTGTATTTTTAGTAGAGATGGAGTTTCACAATGTTGGCCAGGATGATCTTGATCTCCTGACCTCGTGATCTGCCCGCCTCGGCCTCCCAAAATGCTGGGATTACAGGCGTGAACAGGTACTGTTATCATCACCATTTGACAGATGAAGACAGAGGTTCAGAGAGGTTACACAACCTGTGCGGAGTCACTCAGCTAGAGATTAGTGGCAGAACTGAGAGACCCTACAGGGACTCCCTCTACCTCTGCAACACCAGACCTCTTCTCTCCCATTGAAACATACCTGTTTCCTTTGTTCCAGTTATAAATATTTACTGAGTACCTTTTATTGTTCTAGTCACCACAGATACAGCAGAGAATAAAATTGACAGGATCCCTGCTTTTATAGAGCTTACAATTTAATGGGGGGGGTGGTGGCGGTGGGAGGGCAAACTAAACAAACATATATACAGAAAGAGGCCGGGCGTTGTGGCTCACTCCTGTAATCCGAACACTTTGGGAGGCAGAGGCAGGCAATCACTTGAGGCCAGGAGTTCGAGACCAGCCTGGCCAATATGGTGAAACCCCGTCTCTGCTAAAAATACAATAATTAGCCAAGCATGGTGGCAGGCACCTGTAATCCCAGCTACTCAGGAGGCTGAGGCAGGAGAATCACTTTAACCCAGGAGGCAGGGGTTGCAGTGAGCTGAGATTGCACCACTGCACTCCAGCCTGGGCAACAGAGCAAGACTCTATCTCAAAAAATATATATACAGAGAGAGAGAGAGAGATCTACATATAGACATAGATATAGGTGATAATATTTATTATTTTTTTTTTTTTAGAGATAGGGGTCTTGCTCTGTTGCCCAGTCTGGAGGGCAGTGGCACGATCATAATTCAGTACAGCCTCCAACTCCTGGGCTCAAAGGATCCTCCCACCTCAGCACCCCCAGTTGCTGAGATTTTAGCTATCGCCTATTTTGGCTCCTGCCACGTAGGTGATGATAAATGCTAAGAAGTAGAGCAGGATAGGAAATAGAGAGTGGTGGCTGGTGGCTGATATTTTAAATGGGGTGGTGTTGGAGGCGGAAAGATTGAGGGTCGTGATCAACTCAGTATATCACTGGAGGCTATATGAGTAAGCAGCAAACTGTTTCTCAAAAATGCAGAATGTTGGCAGACCGACAAACTGTGTCTGCCACCCAGAAGGAATGCTGAGGGCAGTCACGCCCCAAGCGCAGTGTTTCTTGTGACTAGGTACATCTGAAGCCTGTTAGTAATAATATGAACCTGTGATCAATTAAGCAGCTGACCAATCATTACCTCCTCCTCCCTGCTCTTTCTACCCATTAAATACGAAGGGCTGTAGAAGCCCAGGGGCTGCTGCCTTTGCTCACTAGAAGCAGGGTGCTCTCTTCTTCTTCCCCAGGCCGCTTCCTTTAAAACAGTTTGTCTTACGTTTTCATTTCTACATTCGTCCTTTTGTTCAGTCTCTTAATGACGTAATGAGGGTCTCAAGTAGTAACAGTAGTAACCGTCGTGGTGATGGTCTCAAGTAGTAACTGTGGCAGTCTGCCACAGGGTGGTGGAGAGGACCTTTAAGCAGGGAACAACATAAGGTTAGTCATTCAACTACCTGCGGAAAGGCAGTCCAGGCTGAAGTCTCTAAGTGCAGAGGCCCTGATGGTGTGCTGGAAATGGTAAGGGACGGCAGCTGCAGGGGGCTTTCAAGCCAAGACAGGATGGGGAGAATGGTGCAATGAGGTCAAAGAGGTAACCAGGGATCTGCACATCTCTGACCTTATAAGCTTGATAAAGACTGTGTGGCAGGGCACGATGGCTCACGCCTGTAACCCCAGCACTTTGGGAGGTTGAGGCGGGTGGATAATTTGAGTTCAGAAGTTCAAGAGTAGCCTGGCCAACATGGTGAAACCTCGTTTCTACTAAAAATACAAAAATTAGCCGGCGGTAGTGGTTCGCACCTGTAATCCCAGCTACTCGGGAGGCTGAGGCAGGAGAATCACTTGAGCCTGGAAGGTGGAGGTTGCAGTGAGCCAAGATTGTGCCACTGTACTCTAGTCTGGGTGACAGAGTGAGACCCTTTCTCAGGAAAAAAAAAACAAAAAAACCTTTTGGGCCTGGCATGGTGGCTCATGCCTATAATCCCAGCACTTTGGGAGTCCAAAGCAGAAGGGTCTTCTGAGAGCAGGAGTTTCAGACCAGCCTGGCAATACAGTGAGACCCCGTCTCTACAAAAAAAAAGTTTCTAATTAGCCAGGCATGGTGATGGCTCACACCTGTGGGCCCAGCTACTTGGGAGGCTGAGGTAGAAGGATTGCTTGATCCCAGGAATTGGAGGCTTCAGTGAACTATGATTATACCACTCCACTCCAGCCTGGGCAACAAAGCAATACTCTGACTCTAAAAGTAAAAGAAAAAAAAGGCCAGGCGCGGTGGCTCACACCTGTAATCAAACACTTTGAGAGGCCAAGGTGGGTGGATCTCTTAAAAAAAGAAAAAAAAAATTTTTTTTTTTTTTCTTACAGAGTCTCACTCTGTCACCCAGGCTGGAGTACAGTGGTATGATCTTGGCTCACTGCAACCTCTGTCTCCAGGGTTCAAATGATTCTCGTGCCTCAGCCTCCTGAGTAGCTGGGACTACACGTGCTCACCACCATGCCCGGCTAATTTTTTTCTATTTTTAGTAGTCACGGGGTTTTACTATGTAACCCAGGCTGGTCTCAAACTCCTGGGCTCAAGTGATCCTCCCACTTTGGCCTCTCAAAGTGCTGGGATTACAGGCATGAGCCACTGCGCCCAGCCTCTAAATTTTTTTTTAAGTTAGCTGGGTGTGATGGCACACACCTGTAGTCCCAGTTAGGCAGCTGAGGCAGGGACATCACTTGAGCTCAAGGGTTTGAGGCTGCAGTAAGCTAGGATCGCACCACTGAACTTAAAAATAAAAAAGTTATATGATCCTAGGAACTTTGTCCACTTGTAATTAGTGAATAAAGTTTTTTTTTTTTTGGTGGGGAAAGCGTATCTTAAGGATAATTGAGTTAAAAATCATAGAATCCATCCATACTAGTTCAAGGAAAAGCGGAGGTCATGGGAAGGTTATAAAGAACTCTCACAAATCAGAAATAGCAAAAGCAGGCAGGCTTTAGAGGGGTGGAGAGGGGAATTGGGAAATGATTTAGAAATAAGGCAAAAAAAAAAGCCTCTTTCCCTCTTTCCTCTCCTCCTTTTCTTTTCTCTGTGTGTCTGCTCTGTCTTCTTTTTTCTTCCAATTATTCATACTCTTCTTGCACAGGGCTCATGATGGCCACACCCCTAGAAAAAAGTCTGAGCCCTGAAATTAGCATGACCTGTCAGTTTTGCTCATCACAGCAAATTAGCTCAGGCTCTCATTTGTAAATTCCTGGGAGGAAGAAACTGATTGGCACAGGTGTGCCAGGTGTCCACCTTGGCTTAATAACCTGTGATTAGAGAGGAAAAGGTGAGCATGTTGAGCCATCCCTCCCAGGACTGCAGAAGTTTCTTTAACTCAAGACAATGGTTCCTTCGGGTGGGAAAGAAAGTGAGAAGGCATACGCAGGTGGCTTCTACTACTTTTTGTTTGAGACAGGGTCTTGCTCTATCGCCCAGGCTGGAGTGCAGTGGTGCAATCATAGCTCACCGCAGCGTTGACCTCTTGCTCAAGCGATCCTCCCACCTCAGTCTCCCAAAGTGCTGGGATTACAGACATGAGCCACCGTTCCCAGCCACGTTATTTCTTAAGCTTTATAGTTGGTTTCCTGGTGTTTCTTATATTACTTTTTAAGCCATTTTTAATGTCTGAAATCTTTTTTTTAGAATTTCAAAATACAAAGAAAGGCCTTTTTTTTTTTTTTTTTTTTTTTTTTTTTTTTTTTGAGATGGAGTCTCGCTCTGCTGCCCAGGCTGGAGTGCAGTGACGCTATCTCGGCTCTGCAGCCTCTGCCTCCTGGGTTCAAGCAATTCTCCTGCCTCAGCCTCCCGAGTAGCTGGGACTACAGGAGCCCGCCACCATGCCTGGCTAATTTTTGTATATTTTTAGTAGAGTTGGGGTTTCACCATGTTGACCAGGCTGGTCTTGAACTCCTGACCTCAGGTGATCCACCCACCTTGGTCTCCCAAAGTGCTGGGATTACAAGCATGAGCCATGGTGTCTGGCCCGAGGAGCTCTTCTTTAAAAAGAAGAAAACTTCTGTAAAATTGCATGTATATGCACACATACATATCCACCAATGATCAGCATTTTATACAATGATGAGATAATTCTGTTAATTTTTTGGTTCTCAAACTCTTGTCCTAGTTTACTGATAGTTTTATTCAGGAGTTGGTGACTCATTCATTCATCCAACGAATACATATTGAATGCCCATCATGGGAAGCCCTGGGTTTACAAAAAAGCAGAAGACCTGAGGCTTAAGCCAGGCAGACCGATATGCAGCTTGTGAACACTTAGTAAGCAGTATTCTTTTCTTTTAAAATCTGAAATGAGCCTCTATTTAAAAGTTTCTCACAGTTTCTTTCTAGGGACATTCTCAATTATTTGGGAGCAAATTGCCTTTGTGTTGGAAAGAAGCACTTGGGTAGCCCTTCTTGGTCATGAGAGGGTAAGTGGGCACGCATGACTCGAGGGCAAGGAATGAAAAAGGCATTTGTGTGTGTGTGGCTTGACAGAAGCTGCTTTTCCTAATTCCTCCTGGTAATCAGAGCCTTAGGGAGGAGGTGGGCACACTTGGATAGAGGCCAAGGAACTTACTGGGAAGAAATGAAAGGAGAGCTTTATGGTAGACGCAGTGTTTTAGAACCTTTCAAATGGAGACAGAGCCAGGAACAGTGGCTCACAACAGGCATGGTGGCTCACACACTGTCCCCTGTTCTTGGGCCACAGCTCATCCCCTGGGACTTCCAGTTCTACTTAGGTAAGATATTGACCTGGTCAGCAGTGGTTTCCAAAGAGGTTTCACCATGTCTGGGTGAGAGGTTCAAGGGTGGCTTAGCCCCAGACTGGATGAAGGTCATCTCCCTGGCCCCCACCTCCTACACCCACGCTGACTGTCCAGGTCCCCACGCTTCATCCCACTCTCCAGTTTGCAGGATTCCCTTTTGCAGCATTTGGCGGTCAGGTTCTGCTCAGATCCACTAAGACTCCTTTCTATCAGTTTTGTGGCCCTGTCCCTTTCACTTCAGAGTGTAGATAAGTTTGGGGTAAACTGACACCCAAGTCCGCTGTGGGATCCAGCTGAAGCTACTACCCCCTGGGAGCTTTTCCAGAGAGCACATCCCTGCTTGACTCCCGACTCCCTTACCTGTCTCCCCAGGGCTCATCTGTAAACTACTGGCTGACTCCTTGTTTCTCCCTGAAGCATTGGCTGCAGGAGGGTGACCTGAGGCCTCTTCCCTCCTCGCGAGCTTCCCCTCAGGACCCTAGGTGTTCTCTCTGCCAGCAGGTCTCTCGAAGCCATCCAATTTTATTTTTATTTATTTATTTTACTTTTTAAATTTAGAGACAGAGTCTCACTATGGTGGTGCAGTTACAGCTCACTGGACCTTGACCTCCTGAGCTCAAGCGACCCTCTCTCCTTCACCTCCCACACAGCTAAGACTACAAGCATGGGCCAGCATGCCCAGCTAATTGTTCTATGTTTTATAGAGACATGGGGGGCAGTTCACTATGTTTCCCAGTCTGATCTCAAACTCCTGGGCTCAAGTGATCCTCCTGCCTCAGCCTCCCAAAGTGCTGAGATTACAGGTGTGAGCCAGTGGGCCTGGCCAGGGCTAGTTTTTAACAACATGAGGAGCAATAACAGTTAAAAACAAAACAAAACAAAAACAGTAAACTTGTGAACTGATCAGAGGCTCTATCTTATACTTGTCAAATTATTTGAGATCAGAATTGACTCCTTCAAGCTAAGAAAATCCCTGAAGTTTTGGGGCAATGTGATAGGAGAAAAACTCAAGAGAGGTAACAAGCTTCCTGGAAATGTGGCAAGTGGAAACGAGAGCCAGTTCTGACTTGAAGAAGGCAGTATGAATTAGTTTCACTTCATCTGGTGAAGCAGGATATACCAGTTATACCCAGAAATAGGAAGATAACTTCAAATTGTGACAAGTGCTGTGGCTGTAAAACCCAGGTTAAAATGAAAGAGTAATAGGTCTGTTTGGATTTGGAAAAGAGGGGTCAAGGAAGCCTCTCCAAAAGTGTGGCATTTTAACAGAGCCTGAGGAATGAGTTGTGTCGGGGTGAGGGAGGGATCTGTGCAAAGAAAACAGCATGTGCCAAGGTCCTGAGGCAGGAAGCCATGTGATGAACCCAAAGTAAGATCAGGATGGTCTTCAGTGAGGTAAGTGAGGGGTAAATTGCTCCCTCATGACATTGGAAAGGATGGCAGGGGCAGGTTGTGCCGGGCTTTATAGGCAGATGTTGATTTTATTTTTATTTATTTTGACATGGAGTCTCATTCTGTCACCGAGGCTAGAGTGCAGTGGTGCAATCTCAGCCCACTACAACCTCCACCTCCTGGGCTTAAGCAATTCTCCTGCCACAGCCTCCCAAGTAGCTGGGATTACAGGCACCTGCCACCACACCTGGCTAATTTTCATATTTTCAGGAGAGATGGGATTTCACCATGTCGCCCAGGCTGATCTCAGACTCCTGACCTCAACTGATCTGCCAGCCTCAGCCTCCCAAGTGCTGGGATTATAGGTGTGAGCCACCGCCCCCAGCCCCAGATGTTGATTTTAAACATAAATCTTGCTCAGGCTGTTGTGAGGACAATGGACTGGAGCCAGGGAAGAATGGAAACAGTAGTGTGTAGAGCCATCATTTTGGGATTCGCTTACTTGGAATCAAAATTTAGTTCTCCACCTACTAAGTGTGTGACCATGGGAGAGTCACTTAACCTATCTGAGCCTTGGTTTTGTCATTTCCAAAATGGAAATCTCAATAGTACCCATTTCATTAGGTCATTATGAGGATTGAAAAAATGTATATACACATTTTTACACATTGTGTAAAACTGACACATATTAAGTACCCAGTAGATGTTGGCTGATTTATGGTTTATTGTTAGGCTGTCGTTACTATCTGTAAGAGGACAGTGTTGGCCGGGCGCGGTGGCTCACGCCTGTAATCCCGGCACTTTGGGAGGCTGAGGCAGGTGGATCACAAGGTCAGGAGATTGAGACCATCCTGGCTAACACGGTGAAACCCCGTCTCTACTAAAAATACAAAAAATTAGCCAGGTGTGGTGGCAGGCGCCTGTAGTCCCAGTTACTTGGGAGGCAGAGGCAGCAGAATGGCATGAACCTGGCAGGTGGAGCTTGCAGTGAGCTGAGATCACGCCACTGCACTCCAGCCTGGGTGGCAGAGCAAGAATCTGTCTCAAAAAAAAAAAAAAAAAAAAAAAAGAGTGTTGGAATTTTAGGAGACAAATAACAATGCCATCTTTCCCTTCTGAGTTCGGAGTGAAATGAGAAGTAAGACACAGAAGATGACAGATAGGCATCTATCATATCTTTTTGACATGTACTATGTGCTATGAACAAAAGTAAATGAAAAGTCTTGCTCTTGTGGAGCTTACATTCTAGCATGGGTGAGGAGAGTGAGGGATCTGAACAGAAATAAATGTCTGAATCAGCAAGTTGTATAGTACTTCTGAAGGTACCTCTTTTATTATTGATAATGAAAAGTGTAGCTTAGCTGGGCATGCTGGCTCACGCCTGTAATCCCAGCACTTTGGGAGGCCGAGGCGGGTGGATCTCTTAAGGCCAGGAGTTCGAGACCAGCCTGGCCAACATGGTGAAACCCCTGTAAAAATACAAAAGTTACCCAGGCATGGCACCTGTAATCCCAGCTACTCAGGAGGCTGAGGCAGGAGAATCACTTGAACCCGGGAGGCAGAGGTTGTAATGAGCCGAGATTACACCACTGTACTCCAGCCTGGGCAATAGAGTAAGAGTCTGTCTAAAAAAAATAAAAAAAGAAAAATGTAGCTCAGATCTACAATCAGATCAATTTCCCTACAATTTCGCCCTAATATAATCTAATCACAGTCAGAGCTAGGCAATCACAGTCACTCCCTAAGGCTCATTGCTTCAGGGGTAGAGTTTCCCCATAGCTAACCATATAGTAGAAGGAAGACAAGGCCTGATCTTTCCTTAAATCAACTTACAAAGAAAATGAACCCAATTAAAGTGTGCAAATAGATGAGTTTTGATACATTTGTACATTTGTGTATTCATCCTTACAACCAACATGTAGAATATTTCCAGGCCAGATGCAGTGTGGCACATGCCAGGTGGGCAGATGGCCTGAGTTCAGGAGTTCAAGACCAGCCTGGGCAATATGGTGAAACCCTGTCTCTACAAAAAATACAAAAAGTTAACTGGGCATTGTGGCATGTGCCTGTAGTCCCAGCTACTTGGGAGGCTGAGGTGATAGGATGGCTTGAGGCTGCGAGGTTGAGGCTGCAGTGAGCCATGATGGTGCCACTGCATTCCAGCCTGGGTGACAGAGTCAGACCTCATCTCTAAAAATAATGATAATAAAATAAAATCAATCAGTATTTTCACTTTTGGGCTAAAAAAAAAAAAGAACATCTCTATTACTCCAGAAAGTTCCCTCATGTCCTTTTGCAGAAAATCTCAACTCCCCCACAACCCAGGCAGCAACTATATTATAGATTAGTTTGGCTTTTTCTAGAATTTCTTTTAAATGTAATCCTATAGTATGTACTCATTTGTGTCTTGCTGCTTTTATGCAGAAAATTTTTAAGACTGTTCTATGTGGTTTTTTGCATCAGTATTTTTTTTGTTTGTTTGTTTTGAGACGGAATCTCGCTCTGTCGCCCAGGCTGGAGTACAGTGGCTCGATCTCAGCTCACTGCAAGCTCTGCCTCCTGGGTTCACACCTTTCTCCTGCCTCAGCCTCCTGAGTAGCTGGGACTACAGGCACCAGCCACCATGCCTGGCTAATTTTTTGTATTTTTTTAGTAGAGACGGGGTTTCACCGTGTTAGCCAGGATGGTCTCGATCTCCTGACCTTGTGATCCTCCCTCCTCGGCCTTCCAAAGTTCTGGGATTACAGGCGTGAACCACTGCGCTCAGCCTGCATCAATGTTTTACATTGTGTTGTTGGGTAGCATTCCATTGTCTGTATCACAATTTGTGTATCTATTCACCAGTCGGGAGATATGTGGGTTGTTTACAGTTATTGGCTATTGTACATGAAGCTGCTAGGACTATTCATGTAAAAGTCTCTGTGAACATGTGTTTTTATTGTTCTTGGGTAAATGCCTAGGAGTGGAATTGCTGGATCATATTATAAGCTTATTCTCTTTTTTTTTTTTTTTTTTTTTTTTTTGAGACGGAGTCTTGCTGTCGCCCAGGCTGGAGTGCAGTGGTGCGATCTCGGCTCACTCCAACCTCTACTTCCCAGGCTCAAGCGATTCTCTTGCCCCAGCCTCCCGAGTAGCTGGGACTACAGCTGCAGACTATTTTTTTGTGTTTTTCCCTCGCTAATGTTTGTGTTTTTAGTAGAGATGGGATTTCACCATGTTGGCCAGGCTGATCTGGAACTCCTGACCTCAAGTAATCCCCCTGCCTTGGCCTCCCAAAGTGCTGGGATTCCAGAGGTGATCCACCGTGCCCGGCTCATATTCTTAACTTTATCAGAAACTGCTGAGTTGTTTTCCAAATTGCTTGTTCCATATTTTACATTCCCACGAGCCATTTACGAGAGTTTTTGTTACTTCACATCCTGACCAACATTTGGTTTGGTCAGTCTTTTCAGTTTTAGCCATTCCGGTGAGTATGTACAGTTTTCATTGTGCTTTAATGTACTTTTCTCTGATGACTAATGATACTTGAACATCGTTCCATGGACTTATTAGCCATTCCTATTTTTTCTTTTGTAAAATGTCCGTTGAAATCTTTTGACCTTGTTTAAATTAGGTGGGGCCAGACATAGTGGCTTACACCATCAATCCCAATACTTTGTGAGGCTGAGGTGGGAGGATCGCTTGAGGCTGGGAGTTTGAGGCTGCAATTAGCTATGATTGTGCCACTGCACTCCAGCCTGGGCAATAGAGCAAGACCCTTTCTCAAAAAAACAAAAGCAAATAAAGGGTTTTTTTTTTGCCTTATCATTATTGAGTGTAAGAGTCCTTCATATACTCTGGAAACATGGTCTTTGTCAGATACATGTGTTGCAAATATTAATATTTTTCCTCCTCAGTGCGTTGCCATTTTATTTTCAATGGCCTTGAAGGAACAGAAGATCTTAATTTTGATAAAGTACAATTTATCAATTCCTTTCTTTTGTAGGTTGATATTTTTGTTCTATCTAAATAATCTTTGCCTACTCCAAGTAAGAATAGATTTTCTGTGCACCTGTAGTCCCAGCAACTTGGGAGGCTGAAGCAGGAGGATCATTTGAGCCCAGGAGTTTGAGGCTACTATGAGTATGATCTTACCTCTGCACTCCAGCCTGGGTGACCCTGTCTCTAAAAAGAGAGACAGGGAGATTTTTCTGGAAATTTGATAGTTTTAGCATTTATACATAGGTCCATCATCAAGTTAATTTAGTATATGATGTAAGAAAAGCGTTGAGGATGTTTTTTATTGCTTTTTTAATTTGAATTTTATTTTTTATTTAAAAAAAATAATATAGAGATAGGGTCTTGCTATATTGCCCAGGCTGGTCTTGAACTCCTGGGCTCAAGTGATCCTCCCACCCCAGCCTCCCAAAGTGCTGGGATAACACGGGTGAGCCACCATGTCTGGCCTGTTTTTTCTTTTCTTTTTTAGACTTTTTAAAAGAGCAGTTTTAGATTCACAGCAAAACTAAGAGGAAGGTAGGAAGATATCTCATATACCCTCTGCCCTCAGGCATGCATGGCTTCCCCCATTATCAGCATCAACCAGAGTGGTACACTTGTCACACGTGATCAACCTACATTGACACAAAATCCATAGATTACTTTAGGGCTCACTCTTGGTGTTGCCCACCCTGTGGGTTTGGACAAATGTATAATGACATGGATCCACCATTATAGCACAGAATAGTTGCATCGGCCTAAAAATCCTCTGGTCTGCCTGTTCATCCGTCCCTTCCTTCTGCCTCCTAGAAACCACTGATCTATTTACTGTCTCGAGAGTTTGCCTTTTCAAGAATGTCATACAGATGAAATCACATAGGATGTGACCTTTTCAATTTGCCTTCTTTCACTTCATATGCATTTACGTTTCCTCCATATATTTTCATGGATTGATAGCTCGTTTCTTTCTTTTTTTTCTTTCTTTTTCTTTTTCTTTTTTTTTTTTTTTTGAGATGGAGTCTCACTCTGTTGCCCAGGCTGGAGTGCAGTGGTGCGATCTCAGCTCACTGCAACCTCCGCCTGCCAGGTTCAAGTGATTCTTGTGCCTCAGCCTCCCGAGTAGCTGGGATTACAGGTGCGTACCACCATGCCTGGGTAATTTTTGTATGTTTAGTAGAGATGGGGTTTTACCATGTTGGCCAGCCTGGTTGGCCAGGCTGGTCACAAGCTCCTGACCTCAAGTAATCTGCCTGCCCTGGCCTCCCAAAGTGTTGAAATTACAGGCGTGAACCACTGCGCCTGGCCAGCTAGCTCCTTTCTTGTTAGCACTGAATAATATTCCACTCTCTGGATATGCCACAGTCTATTTATCCATTTACCTACTGAGGACATCTTCACTGCCTCCATGTTTTGACAACTAAAAATAAAGCTGCTATAAACATTTGTGTGCAGGTTTTTGTGTGGACATAAGTTTTCAACTCCTTTGGGTAAATACCAAGGGGTGTGATTGCTGCATCATATGGTAAGAGAATGCTTAGTTTTATAAGAAACTGCCAAACTGCCTTTCATACTGGCTGTACCATTTTGCATTCCCACCAGCAATGAATGAGAGTTCCTATTACTCCACATCCTCACCAGCATTTGGTGTTATCAGTGTTCTGAACTTTGGTCATTCTAATAGGTGTGCAGTGGTATCTCATTATTGTTTTAATTTGCATTTCCCTGGTGACGTGTGATGTGGAGCATCTTTTCATATGCTTATTTGCCATCTGTGTATCTTCTTTGGTGAGGCATCTGTTCAGGTCTTTTGCCCATTTTTAAATTGGGCTGTTTGTTTTCTTATTGCTGAGTTTTAAGCATTCTTTGTGTATTTTGAATAACAGTCCTTTATCAGATAAGTCTTTTGCAAGTATTTCCTCCTGGTGTGTGGCTTGTCTTTTCTTTCTCTTGG